>NC_000003.12:141281331-141584361 GCF_000001405.40 Homo sapiens
GGTGTGAGCCACAATAAGACCAGGGTATGGCTGGGCTGGAGCAGTGATGGAGGGAGTAGGCTTCTGAGGAGTCGAAGAAGAAAGGCCGCTTGTTGGGGCTGCCTCTGCCCTCAGGGAGCTCAGCACATTTACAGAGACAGGCCCGGTGCCCAGGACACGGCAGCCCTCAGTGAATAGCTGGCACAGGTGGCAGCAGTGGTGGCAGCATTAGAGAAAGAAGAGGAAGAAATGGAAGAAGAGCAAGAAGTAGAAATGGAAGTAGTTTGGGTGCCATATTTGGGGGCATGAGCCAGAAGAGGGGCAGCCTGACCCCACCTGGGGCAGGGAGGGGACATGGGGTGGCAGATCAGGGAAGGCCACACAGAGAAAGGGACCAGAAAGGTGTGCAGGAGCAAGTCAGGCAGAAGCTGGTGCTGAATGGCCCCTTGGGTGGTGAGACCAACCCATGCAGTGTGAGGTGGTGGACAGCTTGGCACATTGGGGCCCTCAAAGTTAGTTTCACAGGCTTGAGCAGAAAGTTAGTTTCACAGGCTCAAGCGTGGAGTGGAAAACTGGGTAGGAACTAGGTTATCTGAGGCTTCGATACCCAGCAAGGGAGTATGTCCAGGCATGAAGGCAGTGAGAGAGCCGGGCAGTGAAAGGGATGAAAAGATGAAGGTCTCTGACAGCCATAGTGTGGAAGATGGATTGGAAGCTGGTGGCAGCTAGTGGTGTTATTATTAGGGTAGTGATCCAGAGGAGAGACTTCACTCAGAATCAGAATCCACATCCTTAAAGTGCCCCACAAGGCCTGAGTGCCCTTCCTCCACCCCTAACCCGCCTGACCTTGCCCTCCACTCTCCTCGTGCTCACTCACTGCGCTTCAGCCACAATGCTCCTAGCTCTTCCTTCCACATTCAGGCACTGTATGCTGCCTCAGGGCCTTTGCACAAACTGGTTTCTGTCTCTAGAAGGCTCTTCCCACAGAAAGCTTTATGGCCAGTCCTCTTACCTCCTTTAAGTCTTTGCTCAAATGTCACCTTCTCAATAAAACCTACTCAGAACACTCCAGTTAAAATGACAAGGTGCTCCTCCTTCCACCCTGGTCTCCCACAGCCCCCTTAGCCTGCTCTTCTCTTTGCCACAGCATCTGTTACTTTCTAACCCAGACAAACACACACACACACACACACACACACACACAGAGTGTTCATTGTGTATTGTCTGCTTCCCCAGGCTAGAATATAACCTCCCTAAGGGCAGAGATTTTTATTTGTTTTTGTTCACTGCTGCTGCATTCCAAGTGCTTAGGACAGTGACTGACATATGAGTGGTGGGGTGTGATTAAATGTTTGTTGAATGAATAAATGATGGCAGCTGAAACTCAGAAGTGGCAGCAGAGATGGAGAGAGTGAGTGGGTCTTAGAGAAGGTTACAAGGTGGGATCAATAGGACTTGGTGGCAGGTTGGACAGGGGTATGAAAGGCAGGCCCGATGGGGCCCAGGTTTCTGACTGGGTGTCTGGCTGGTGGTGGTACCCCTCCCTGGAATTAGAGAACACAGAAGGGAGGTATGGGGGGAAGTTAGTACAGGCATTGGTGCTACATTTGAGCTATCATGAAACATTCAAGAGACAGTTTCTAGTCAGTAATAGGCTGTATAATTTTTTTTTTTTGAGACAGAGTCTCGCTCTGTCACTAGGCTGGAGTGCAATGGCATGAACTTGGCTCGTTGCAACCTCTGCCTCCCAGGTTCAAGCGATTCTCCTGCCTCAGCCTCCCGAGTAGCTGGGACTACAGGCACGCGCCACCATGCCCAGCTAATTTTTGTATTTTTTTTTTTTTTTATTTTTTAGTAGAGATGGGGTTTCACCATGTTGGCCAGGATGGTCTTGATCTCTTGACCTCATGATCAGCCCACCTCAGCCTCCCAAAGTGCTGGGATTACAGGTGTGAGCCACCCTGCCTGGCCTAGTCTGTATAATTTTGCAGCTCAGGGGCACTGGCTTGCTGGGAAAAAGAGGTTTAGTTGAGAATCTTCAGCATGTTGATGGCATTTGAAGCTGTGGGCTTATATTACAGACAGAACCTGAGGAGTGAGGGATGGGCCAAAACCAGAGTCCTGGGAAGCACCAGCATGTGGTACTCAGAGAGAAAAAGGATTTCAAAAGGGGCCAGGGATGTTGCAAATGGGGAAAAGTCAGGAGAGCAATGTTATGAGAGCTAAGGAAAGCAGGGCAATGCATTACATCAAGTAAGACCAAAAGGTCCAGAAAGCTAAAAACAAAGAAAAGTACACTGGGCTTATCTTTTCATAATCTCATGTTATTAATATGTAAGATGATAAATTCTTTAATTGGCATGAACTTTAAAAATCTAATGTGATTCCAGTTTCCAGCTATGTATGCTCTTTTGGATTGTGTTTTCTGGTAACAGTGTCACTGGTCGTCTGCCTCTTCTGCTTGCCTTAACATTCTGTGCAGAACTCAGTCATTGCTGAGATTTTAAATAAACAATAAATGTTCTCATGGGTGTGTGGATTAGCCTTGGGGTTCAGCCTCAAACTTTGTGGCATAAATAGATGTGAATAATGCATATAAAAGTGAAGATAAGGACTCCAAAGTGAATGACTTGAAGGCTTAAGATAGTAACACTTTTGATTATTTCAGTTTTCATTATGAAAGCAGATTTTCAATGAGCCCACAATAATATGAGTTTTTCCTAAAGAAAAATTTATTTTCATGGATATAATTATGTCTGCATTAGTCAGGGTACACCTATTTTGTAAGTTTATTTTGTAGCACAGGGACTCATGAATGCATTACCTTAAATAACAAGGAAGTTTAGCTCTTCCTCATGTGAAGGTCTGAAATGTGTGTTCCAGATTGTGCTAGTCAGCTCCACCTGGTCATTCAGGGCCCCAGGTTTCTTCCAGGTTGTTGTTTCTACCATCCCCTGGGGATGGCTACATGGTTGAACCCTGGTTGCTGCCATGCCTAAATAATGGCTGGAAGGAAGGAAGATAATGTGAACCGGGCATACACATGATCAGAAAGCCTGAACCCAGAAGTGGCATACATCTTTCCGTTCTGTTGGCGAATGCGGCTTTACCTCATTTCAGGACCTCAGAAATAGGATCTAACCAAGTTCTTAAGAAGAGAATAGATTTTAGTGTACGACTAGTACACTAGTCTCATCCACACTAGCCTTTAGTTTTAATACAGTCATCCATAGAGGATTGGTTCCAGGATCCTCCTTGGATACCAGAATCTGAGATGCTCAAGTCCCTTATGTAAAATGGTGTTGTATTTACACAGAACCTGCGCACATTCTCCCATGTACTTTACATCATCTCTAGATTACTTATAACGCCAAACACAATGTAAATGCTGTGTAAATAGTTGTTATTTGTATTATTTTTATTGTTGTATTGTTATTTCTTATTGGGTTTTTTCCAAGTATTTTTGGATCCACAGTTGAATCTTCCAATGCAGAATCTGAAGAGATGGAGGGCCGACTATATTTTCATCAAAATCTGAATATTTTAACAAACCGTATGGGAACTTATCGTATTCATTTCTACAGATTATGGAAGGCTTGCTATTTTCATGAAACATCCAAGGATGGGACACTTCACAGTTGAATTCACTCACATATATTTTTAGAGCATCTGCTATGTGCTAAGCACCCTCTGGGCTCCAGGGATGGAGCAGTGGACCAGGCAGACAAGGCCTGGGTAGTCAGATCCAGGTCCAGGACTCGAGTTACCTGGTCTGCTTTCCACTAAAAAGATACAGCCATTTGTTGTCAAATGTTTTTTTTCTTTTTCTTTTTCTTTTTTTTTTTTTTTTTTTTGAGACAGGGTATCTCTTTGTCACCCAGGCTAGAGTACAGTAGTACAATCACAGCTCACTGCAGCCTCGACCTCCTGGACTCATGTGATCCTCCTGCTTTAGCCTCCTGAGTGGCTGAGACTATAGGCCTGCGCCACCATGCCTGGCTAGTTTTTGTATTTTTTGTAGAGACATGGTCTCACTATGTTGGCCAGTCTCAAACTCCTGGCCCCAAGCAGTCCTCCCACCTCGGCCTCCCAAAATGCTGGGATTACAGGCATGAGCCACCATGCCCGGCCTGTTAGCTATTCTTTAAATGAAGTTTTTCTTCCACAAATCTTCATCTTTGCATGCCAAAAACAAACAACACAACAACAACAACAAAAAAAAACAAAAATAAAAAACATTGGAATGAATGCAGTTAGATATCATTAAGCAGTCAGATGCCCTGAAAACCTGGGTCACCTCAGCAAACACTTCCAGTCATGAAATTCCATTTCTAAAATTGGCAGCAAAGCTTTCTCAGATCCTCAAAAAAAGCTCCAACCTGAAATAATGGCCTGGTGCAGAACATTTGACTCCTGTTGATGGATAGCCTTTGTTTATGTGGATTACTCTTGGCAGCCTCATTGTCAGTCTGGACATTTTATTTCCCAGTTTGCAAACATTTATGTGCTTTAGCCTCAGGCAAAATAACGTACCCTGTTTTTGTGGAAAGGCATAACTCCCTTTAGCTATCCAGGGTGATTTATTAGACTATATTACATGTCTGGATTAGTATTCTCTAATTTAAAAACGTATTTTTAAAAGATGGATTTTTTTTTTAGCTTTATGTTGTTGATAGATAATAAACCCAT
The DNA here is from genome assembly GCF_000001405.40 of Homo sapiens. Lineage (NCBI taxonomy): Eukaryota > Metazoa > Chordata > Mammalia > Primates > Hominidae > Homo > Homo sapiens. The sequence continues at coordinate 141,286,000 of NC_000003.12, forward strand.
TTTGGCAGCCATTTTTAAAGCACTTTCAAAGTTAACTGGGCCTTCAGACAGCAGGGGTTTGCCATTAGAACAGTTTATCTTTGCTTCTTTTCATGCTGATTCTTATAGAGTTTAGGCATGAACTACTCTATCTGTCCACTTCTCTTCAGCTGGAAAATGTATATACATTCATAGGCTACTTCATTATTCAAAGAAAAGATGTTTATATTCATAGGTCATTTCATTATTCAGGGTAATTGTATATTAGTGACTAGAAAGATTTACCACATATACTTTGTGGCAGAAATATAGATACTCTCAGATCTCATATATAAACTTTTTTTGACATTTATTATTACCCTATATTAAATGAGAGGTTGTATGTCCAAAACGTGGAGTGGATTGTAAAGAGGTATAGAGATCCTGGTTATCTTATTCAGTTAACAATTTTCCTAAAGGGGGATTTTTCAGAGGTCAGAAAAATTAAGGATTATGGGTGACCTTGATAAAGGATAGGGTAGATTTTCTAGGAGGAAGGGATAGCTCGTGGGAAGTGGTGGAAGTGTTGAAGAATGAGGTGCGTTGTGTGTTGGAGGAAAGAAGGCCTTTGGCTTGGCGTGGCCAGAGCACAGTATTAGGGTAGAGAGGGCCAGTGAGTACCAGGGCGAGGCCAGAATAGAGGGACAGGCTGTGTGTGGCCCCTTCCAGAAGGTGGTGATAGGGAAGGGCAGTGACTGGTCAGAGTTACCTTTTAAATCAATCCTTCTGGTGGTGGAGAAGGCAAGATTATTAGAGGGGCATGCTTAATCAGCAAGAAGACCAATAAAGAGCCCATTGCCAGCCAGACAAAAGCTGCCTGAGGCCAGAACCTAGGTAGTAGCTGTGAGGATGAAGGAGAAGGGGATGGAGAAGCACCAGGAGAAAGAATCTGCAAGACATGGGGAGCAGACAGCATGTGCAGGGGCAGGGAATGGAGAGAGTGGGACGATGCCCAGCCTAGGCGTGACTGCTGGGTGGGTGTTGGCGGCCTCCCGGAGAGCGAGCCCGGAAGGCAGCACAGGTTGGGGAGCCGGAAGATAGACGGCGAAGCTGAATCCCACAGTACTGAGTTCAGCAGAGGTTAGGAACTCTGGCCAACCTCACAGAGGGGATTTCATGTGTCAGTGTCAGTGGTCGAGAAATAATGAAATTGGAACTGAAAAGTGATTGAGCCGGTACCTGTTACTGTGGGTGCAAAAGGCTGCGATACACGTGGGATTTGGCTCGCTGAAGCTGGAAACTGTTTGGATTCTTGTGGAGCACTCTGACCTCTAACTCTCTCTATCATCTCTCTAGGAAACCGTATCACCCAAAACTGGAAGCTTTCATTAGTCACATGTCAAAAGGATCCGGAGCCTCTTTCGAAAGCCCCTTGAACTCCTTGCCTCTTTACCCAAATCACCCATTGTGTGAGATGGGAGAGCTCACACAGACAGGTATGTGTGACCCCCATGCGCTCAGGGGTTCCCCCACCCGCTCTTCTGCTTGCATACCTTCCGAGCAGTTCTCCTGGGCGGGGTGCTGTGCAGCTCAGAGGGGGTAAGCAAGGACTGGCTCTGCAAGGAGCTCGGTCACCAGGGCCTCTAAATAAACATCAGAGTTCTCAAAACTAAATAGAACCTTTCTCCTTCTTACAAAAACAATACGTGTTCATGAAAATAATTTAGGAAAGACAAGTAAAAAGAAGAAAAAGTTTAAGCAACCGTAATTCCACCACAGAAATAGACCCTTAAGAGTAACCCTTCTTCCTGTGCTTATGCACACACACACATCTTACTAAACACACTATTTCATAACCCACTTTTCCACTCAACAACACATTTTGTTAATATTTCCCTATGAATAACTGTTTATCCACTACATCATTTATGATAGCGCCATATTCTTTCACTCTGGATGGGCAATTGATCATTTATTTAACTAATCTCATGTTCTCAGATATTTCTAACAAAACTTCTAATAGGTTTTCATGTACAAGATCTCAGGGAGGAAAATGCATGGCACATTTCTACTGCATGTGGAGTTTGTTTGGCTGAGCTGAGTTCTCACAGAAGCACAGCTTTCCCTCCGCAGCCCTAGTCAGACCATGTGCAGTCAGTTCACCATCAGGGTAGGTTGGTGAGTTAACTGTGGAGTCACCTTTGCTGGGAATAGAGGAACAGGTGGTCCTTCAAGAGGTTTCAGTTTTCTGATTCTTCAATCTGGAACCTCAGAGGACCTTTGCCTGGTCACCAGCCTTTATGGGTGAATTGGGAAGACCCATTGGCCATGTTCTGTCTTCATCTTGCATCAGCATCTTAGGACTTCAGCAGGGATGGAGGGAAGGTCTCCATCCTATAGTAGGCCCTCTTAGGTTTTGCCATTATTATTGGGGAAATGATATTGGATAGACAGAGTGGAACAAGCTGAAGCCTCTGGAGGACTAGCCGTGGATAAGGAGTTGTGTCAAAAGCCTTTGGCAATTAGTTCCACATGCATTACTTTAGAACGAGGGTTTTCATCCTAGCAGATCCAACACCCCCTTTGATTACACAATTAACTATTTTGCAATCTCCCTCAACTATCATGAAGTGAAATTTAAATATAATGTAACCAGCCAGGCATGGTGCCTCATGCCTGTAATCCCAGCACTTTGGGAGGCTGAGGCAGGATAATCGTTTGAGCCTGAGGGTTCGAGAGCAGTCTGAGCAACATAGTGGAACCCCATCTCTACAAACAATTTTTTAAAATTAGCCAAGTGTGGTGGCATGTGCCTGTAGTCCCAGCTACTCAGGTGGCTGAGGCGGGAGGACCACTTGAGCCCGGGAGGTCAAGGCTGCAGTGAACCATGATCATGCCACTGCACTCCAGCCTGAGTGACAAAGTGAGGCCCTGTCTCAATGAATGAATGAATGAATGAATGTAATCTTTCTATGCAGTTAATTACTTAAAAGTTATACCAGGGTCCCCAGCGATAACAAATGAAAAGAAACTAATTTACTACCTAATTATATGTGTCTCTGTATAAATGCTTAAGAACAGCTACACTAGAAAATAGAATGAAATCTTCAAATGCTTGTACCTAAATGTGACTCTGACAACTACAAATGCAGATGATTGATGGATGCTGTATTGTTGACTCTTAATACCACATGTCAGGACATGGTTTTTCTGAAGTTCTGATCAAAACAAAATATAGATGTTCCTTAGTTTATATTGTATTTCTGGAAAATTCAGTGAACATTAATATTATACAAAAATGGTTTTGTGTTCTAGACACAAAAACAGAATTAGATTCTACAGTCTAAAGTATTCAAATATGTTTTGCACGTGATGGAATGTCTCATGCTGCATTCAAAAGTTGTGTGGGACAGAGACACGTGTCCCTTCTGGAGACCAGCCCCCCAGCCCCTACCCACTAGGTGCCAGGAATGCCTTTCCCCATACTATTGTGATAACTCCACCCCCAAGCCCTCTCTGAAGGCAGTAGCACTCTTGCTGAGAACTGCTGCTTAGATTCTCTGGTTAAAAATAACAGAAAACACCTCAAGCAAAAAAAGGAAATTTATTATAAGAATTCAGGAATGACTCACAGACTCTAAGATCAAGAGTGTGACCAGACCTCTAGAGACTGGAACCAGGAATAAAAAAGCTGTCTTGTCCCTGCCTCTCTCTCTAATTTTTTGTTGTGTCTGTCAACAAAATTACAGTCCCAGCCACACACACAGATGAACTTGCAAATCCAAATTCTTGAGAGAGGGAGAATCCTTGAGGTCCTAGGGGTTAGCATCCATCAGCCCTGGCTAACAGGTCAGGGTGACTGTGCAGAGAACAGGAGGTGAGGGCGCCAGTCTCTGGATCCAGGAGCTGCTACCTGAGAAGAGGCTGGGGGGTTGGCCCTCACACACCTAATCATTCATTCAGATCTTTCTTCTCAATTCATCTATCATCATCATCGTTTCTAAATTAGTGTTACTCTAGAAATCATTTTTGTAATACTGTCTGCTCCTGTTTCCTCATTCTCTTTTAATGGTCATTTTTATTTCTATTTTAAATATCATGAAAAATGCATGGCTGTTATAATCATCTTTTGTCCCTGGTGCACTTACGGCACCCTACAGTAACTATGTAAGGTAAGATTGCTCATGAGTGCCTACCCTGTTGAAGATGCTTTGGCAGCTGCTGAGTGTGAGAGGGTAGCAGGATGAATAGGACCCTCCTGCCTGTCCTAAAGAAGGCTGCAACTGCAGCACACAATGTGCGTGGAGACAACTGCCTGTAATGCCAGATACTGCAGGGCCTTAGAGAGTAAACACAGGCCTTGGAGTCAGACAGACCTGTAGCATGGGGAGGAGCCTGTCTTCCCAGTGGCTGGTGGTGAATTTGATGAGGTAGCATGTGTAGAGTGCCTAGTGCAGTGCCGGCATATGAGAGGCTCCCAATAAATGCAGCTGATGTTGTCATGGTCCAGCAGCATATGGGAAGAGGAAGGAATTATTAACTTGACCAGGGAGAAGAAGAAGGAAAGCACTACAGAGCAGGTAGTGTTGGAGCTTGGAGCCAGGCCCTGGGAGGATTTCCCTAGGGAGAGAAAGGGGAACGGTATGAACAAAGCCATGAAGATGCAGGCTATGTTTGGCAAGTATAAGAAGCCCTAAATAGCTAGAACTTTGTATTTCGGCATGAAAATGTAAGGGTCTAAGAGCATAAAATTAGGACCAGATGGGGTCTTGGGTTTTAGCTCTGCCACTTTTTAACTGTAAATGGTTCAGGGCCTTTGTTTCTTCATCTATAAAATAAGGAAAATATAAAATATAATAATATACCTTCTTCATTGGGTTTTTGTGAGGATTAAATGGGAAAGGCCTGGCACACAGTAAGCACTCTAACTTTATGTGGCCTAACCAAATAAAATAGGCCCCGCAGTGAACTAGGGTGAGACACGGAATCTAATGTTTGTCTCTCACGGTTTGCATGTTTTTTTGCAAAGCGTCTTGGAAGTGCTAAATCCTGTTCCAGCCTTTAGTTCCTGGGTTCCTGGGGGAGTTCTGTTCTCAATACTCTTCATGCACAGTAGGACCCAGACATCCTTTGTGGGTTTTGCTGAGCTGTTCCCTTTCCCAGGGGAACATATTTCCCTCTGTCTCACAATTTTCAGCTGAAGTTGTCTCATCTTTGCAGTGGGACTTTTCATACTGTTTGGACATCTGAATAAATGGTGTCACTGGTCACAGGGCCTGTGTGTAGAACTCATGCCCATGACAGATTGTGTCCCGTTACCTCCTACTACAGGATGAGAGTGAGCTTGTTTTTGTCTTGGGTTGCCTTCTTCTGCTTAAAGATAAGGCTTTTTCCAATGTTAAAAGTTAATTTATTATCATACCATGATAGTTCAAAACTAAAACAGTACTAAGAAGTAAACTTTAAATTCTTGCTTCTACCCATGTTCCATCCACCTCATTTTTGTACCTCCGTCACCCCCAGGGAACCATTGAGATTAGTTTCTTATACAACTTTCCAAAGTTTCTTTATGCAAAACTCAGGCAGCTGCAAATACATATTCTTATTTTTCCCTCTCTTTCTTTTTAAAGGAGCATAATCAACATACTGTTCTACACTTGGCTTTTTTCCAGTATTCTATCTGGGTATCAGGAGATTGTTCCATATCATACAGAGAATGCATGTGTGTTGACGAGTCTGTAAAGCCCCCAGGATCAGGCAGAACGTACCCAGCAGGTTATCAGAGAACATTCGGTTGGCAGGCTGGGGAGGATGGGGTCAAGGAGGGGACTCTCCAGCAGTGAGGAGACAGCAGCAAGCAGGGAATCTGCAGTCAGCCTTCGCCTGAGCGGTTTCACTGAGCACTCGCTGCACACTGAGGAATGCTGGACAGGAGGGAAAAACCTCTCCTTAGGCCCATGCAATTACAGATATCCCCTGGCTGGGTGACTTCGAACCCTGAGACCAACCAGTCACAACACTTTCCCCAGGGAAGAGGCCAGTCTGGAGGCCAAGTGCAAGGCAGATGGTCCAAAGGCCGTGGTTCTCAAGGCCAGGGCCCCGCTCTGCTCATCCTTCATGAATAACCCCAAGAGGCTCCCTTCACAAGCTGTTGTGAACTCGAGCTTGTAACTTCCACACCATGGGGAAACAGGCTGGATGCCATTCTCTTGCCCTAAAACACTCCAGAGCCACACGCTGACTCCACCTCCCCTTGCTGTTTCTTTTGCTCAGCTGGAAGTAAGGTAAGCTTTGTGTGCTTGTGTTTCAGGAGTTGTGCAGCATTTGCAGAACGGTCAGCTGCTGAGGGATATCTATCTAAAGAAACACAAACTCCTGCCCAATGATTGGTCTGCAGACCAGCTCTATTTAGAGACCACTGGGAAAAGCCGGACCCTACAAAGTGGGCTGGCCTTGCTTTATGGCTTTCTCCCAGATTTTGACTGGAAGAAGATTTATTTCAGGCACCAGCCAAGTGCGCTGTTCTGCTCTGGAAGCTGCTATTGCCCGGTAAGAAACCAGTATCTGGAAAAGGAGCAGCGTCGTCAGTACCTCCTACGTTTGAAAAACAGCCAGCTGGAGAAGACCTACGGGGAGATGGCCAAGATCGTGGATGTCCCCACCAAGCAGCTTAGAGCTGCCAACCCCATAGACTCCATGCTCTGCCACTTCTGCCACAATGTCAGCTTTCCCTGTACCAGAAATGGCTGTGTTGACATGGAGCACTTCAAGGTAATTAAGACCCATCAGATCGAGGATGAAAGGGAAAGACGGGAGAAGAAATTGTACTTCGGGTATTCTCTCCTGGGTGCCCACCCCATCCTGAACCAAACCATCGGCCGGATGCAGCGTGCCACCGAGGGCAGGAAAGAAGAGCTCTTTGCCCTCTACTCTGCTCATGATGTCACTCTGTCACCAGTTCTCAGTGCCTTGGGCCTTTCAGAAGCCAGGTTCCCAAGGTTTGCAGCCAGGTTGATCTTTGAGCTTTGGCAAGACAGAGAAAAGCCCAGTGAACATTCCGTCCGGATTCTTTACAATGGCGTCGATGTCACATTCCACACCTCTTTCTGCCAAGACCACCACAAGCGTTCTCCCAAGCCCATGTGCCCGCTTGAAAACTTGGTCCGCTTTGTGAAAAGGGACATGTTTGTAGCCCTGGGTGGCAGTGGTACAAATTATTATGATGCATGTCACAGGGAAGGATTCTAAAAGGTATGCAGTACAGCAGTATAGAATCCATGCCAATACAGAGCATAGGGAAAGGTCCACTTCTAGTTTTGTCTGTTACTAAGGGTAGAAGATTATTGCTTTTTAAAGGCTAAATATTGTTTGTGGGAACCACAGATGGTTGGGGTTGAACAGTAAGCACATTGCTGCAATGTGGTACGTGAATTGCTTGGTACAAAATGGCCAGTTCACAGAGGAATAGAAGGTACTTTATCATAGCCAGACTTCGCTTAGAATGCCAGAATAATATAGTTCAAGACCTGAAGTTGCCAATCCAAGTTTGCACTCTTCTGGCCTGCCCCATGTTACTATGTGATGGAACCAGCACACCTCAACCAAAATTTTTTTAATCTTAGACATTTTTACCTTGTCCTTGTTAAGAATTTCTTGAAGTGATTTATCTAAAATAAAGGTTGGCAAACTTTTTCTGTAAAGGGCCAGATTGTAAATATTTCAGACTGTGTGGACCAAAAGGCCACATACAGTCTCTGTCATAACTACTCAACTCTGTTTCTGAAGCAGGAAAGCCACCACAGACAGTACATAAAGGAATATGTGTAGCTGGGTTCCCAGGCCGGACAAAACAGATGGTGACCAGATTTGGCCCCTGGGCTGTAGTTTGCTGACCCCTCATCTAAAAAATAGGCTATACTACAATTGCACTTCCAGCACTTTGAGAACGAGTTGAATACCAAGAATTATTCAATGGTTCCTCCAGTAACTTCTGCTAGAAACACAGAATTTGGTCTGTATCTGACACTAGAACAAAACTTGAGGGTAAATAAACATTGAATTAGAATGAATCATAGAAAACTGATTAGAAGAATACTTGATGTTTATGATGATTGTGGTACAAGATAGTTTTAAGTATGTTCTAAATATTTGTCTGCTGTAGTCTATTTGCTGTATATGCTGAAATTTTTGTATGCCATTTAGTATTTTTATAGTTTAGGAAAATATTTTCTAAGACCAGTTTTAGATGACTCTTATTCCTGTAGTAATATTCAATTTGCTGTACCTGCTTGGTGGTTAGAAGGAGGCTAGAAGATGAATTCAGGCACTTTCTTCCAATAAAACTAATTATGGCTCATTCCCTTTGACAAGCTGTAGAACTGGATTCATTTTTAAACCATTTTCATCAGTTTCAAATGGTAAATTCTGATTGATTTTTAAATGCGTTTTTGGAAGAACTTTGCTATTAGATAGTTTACAGATCTTTATAAGGTGTTTTATATATTAGAAGCAATTATAATTACATCTGTGATTTCTGAACTAATGGTGCTAATTCAGAGAAATGGAAAGTGAAAGTGAGATTCTCTGTTGTCATCGGCATTCCAACTTTTTCTCTTTGTTTTTGTCCAGTGTTGCATTTGAATATGTCTGTTTCTATAAATAAATTTTTTAAGAATACCTATACTATACAACTAATGGTTTGTACCTATAAGTCACTCGAGTTATTTTCAAGTGAGAGCCAGTATTTTATTTTTCCCCCTTCATTCAAATGTCATGCAGAGAACCAGTATTTTAAAATTTTATTTTAACTGCTTTACTAACTGCTGAAAGTTGTGTTATCTCTCAAGTATTCAAAGACTAAATGTGTTTTCTTTCCTTCCCACTCACAATATATCTGAATTAGAACTGCTAAACACAGCTTGAAGACTTAAAAATAAAAGTGACTCGGAAGATTTTTTAAAAAATCAATTGATAGTATCTGTTGGTAAAAGTAAATATTGTGGCTAAGAGTCAACACCAAAAGTGTAGATAACAGTTTTGTCTTCTAAGACACTGGTATGCACAGCATCAAAATATCTTCCTCACTATCAAGTTCCGAGACACTTCATTCCATAACAAACACTAAGCACAGAGATGAGATCAGTGGACACAGTCATAGTCCTTGGTTTCTGGGCAGTGGTCTAATGACTTAACTCATGACAGGCCTGGGTGTATACATGCATAATTTAGCTTCCTTGTTTTTATGATTAATACATGCCCACTAGAAAATAACCAATACTGAAAAACAGCTTCAGAAGTGATGTTCTCATCTAATCCCACCTCCAGAGGTAATGTTGTGAGCTGTCTGACATTCTTCTGGAAAAGTTCCATGTAGATTCAGAAATATATGTAGTTTTTAATAGGAACTAGATCATTTTATATATATGTAAATATATATAATATGTGTGTGTATATATATATAGTTCTGTGACTTGCTTCCCTTAAAAATATTTTTCCTTTAAAAATACTTTTAATAGCTTGTATCTTTTAATAGTATGTCTTAGAAGTATTTCTCTTTTTTTTTACAATGTAATTATTTATTTATTTTTCTTTTTTTTATTATATTTTAAGTTCTAGGGTACATGTTCACAACGTGCAGCTTTGTTACATATGTATACATGTGCCATGTTGGTGTGCTGCACCCATTAACTCGTCATTTACATTAGGTATATCTCCCAATGCTATCCCTCCCCCAGCCCCCCACTCCACAACAGGCCTCAGTGTGTGATGTTCCCCTTCCTGTGTCCAAGTGCTCTCATTGTTCAATTCCCACCTATGAGTGAGAACACGTGGTGTTTGGTTTTTTGTCCTTGCGATAGTTTGCTGAGAATGATGGTTTCCAGTTTCATCCATGTCCCTACAAAGGACATGGACTCATCATTTTTTATGGCTGCATGGTATTCCATGGTGTATATGTGCCACATTTTCTTAATCCAGTCTATCATTGATGGACATCTGGGTTGGTTCCAAGTCTTTGCTATTGTGAATAGTGCCGCAATAAACATACGTGTGCATGTGTCTTTATAGCAGCATGATTTATAATCTTTTGGGTATATACCCAGTAATGGGATCGCTGGGTCAAATGCTACTTCTAGTTCTAGATCCTTGAGGAATCGCCACACTGTCTTCCACAATGGTTGAACTAGTTTACAGTCCCACCAACAGTGTAAAAGTGTTCCTGTTTCTCCACATCCTCTCCAGCACCTGTTGTTTCCTGGCTTTTTAATGATCGCCATTCTAACTGGTGTGAGATGGTATCTCGTTGTGGTTTTGATTTGCATTTCTCTGATGGCCAGTGATGATGAGCATTTTTTCATGTGTCTGTTGGCTGCATAATGTCTTCTTTTGAGAAGCATCTGTTCATATCCTTCGCCCACTTGCTGATGGGGTTGTTTGTTTCTTGTAAATTTGTTTGAGTTCTTTGTAGATTCTGGATATTAGCCCTTTGTCAGATGAGTAGATTGCAAAAATTTTTTCCCATTCTGTAGGTTGCCTGTTCACTCTGATGGTAGTTTCTTTTGCTGTGCAGAAGCTCTTTAGTTTAATGAGATCCCATTTGTCAATTTTGGCTTTTGTTGCCATTGCTTTTGGTGTTTTAGACATGAAGTCCTTGCCCATGCCTATGTCCTGAATGGTATTGCCTAGATTTTCTTCTAGGGTTTTTATGGTTTTAGGTCTAACATTTAGGTCTTTAATCCATCTTGAATTAATTTTTGTATAAGGTGTAAGGAAGGGATCCAGTTTCAGCTTTCTACATATGGCTAGCCAGTTTTCCCAGCACCATTGATTAAATAGGGAATCCTTTCCCTAGTTCTTGTTTTTGTCAGGTTTGCCAAAGATCAGATGGTTGTAGATGTGTGGTATTATTTCTGAGGGCTCTGTTCTGTTCCATTGGTCTATATCTCTGTTTTGGTACCAGTACCATGCTGTTTCGGTTACTGTAGCCTTGTAGTATAGTTTGAAGTCAGGTAGCGTGATGCCTCCAGCTTTGTTCTTTTGGCTTAGGATTGACTTGGCAATGAGGGCTCTTTTTTGGTTCCGTATGAACTTTAAAGTAGTTTTTTCCAATTCTGTGAAGAAAGTCATTGGTAGCTTGATGGGGATGGTATTGAATCTGTAAATTACTTCGGACAGTATGGCCATTTTCACAATATTGATTCTTCCTATCCATGAGCATGGAATGTTCTTCCATTTGTTTGTGTCCTCTTTTATTTCGTTGAGCAGTGGTTTGTAGTTCTCCTTGAAGAGGTCCTTCACATCCCTTGTAAGTTGGATTCCTAGGTATTTTATTCCCTTTGAAGCAATTGTGAATGGGAGTTCACTCATGATTTGGCTCTCTGTTTGTTTGTTATTGGTGTATAAGAATGCTTGTGATTTTTTCACATTGATTTTGTATCCTGAGACTTTGCTGAAGTTGCTTATCAGCTTAAAGGAGATTTTGGGCTGAGACAATGGGGTTTTCTAGATATACAATCATGTCACCTGCAAACAGGGACAATTTGACTTCCTCTTTTCCTAATTGAATACCCTTTGTTTCTTTCTCCTGCCAGATTGCCCTGGCCAGAACTTCCAACACTATGTTGAATAGGAGTGGTGAGAGAGGGCATCCTGTCTTGTGCCGGTTTTCAAAGGGAATGCTTCCAGTTTTTGCCCATTCAGTATGATATTGGCTGTGGGTTTGTCATAAATAGCTCTTTTATTTTGAGATAAATCCCATCAATACCTAATTTATTGAGAGTTTTTAGCATGAAGGGCTGTTGAATTTTGTCAGAGGCCTTTTCTGCATCTAATGAGATAATCATGTGGTTTTTGTCTTTGGTTCTGTTTATATGCTGGATTATGTTTATTGATTTGCGTATGTTGAACCAACCTTGCATCCCAGGAATGAAGTCCACTTGATCATGGTGGATAAGCTTTTTGATGTGCTGCTGGATTCGGTTTGCCAGTATTTTATTGAGGATTTTTGCATCAGTGTTCATCAGGGATGTTGGTCTAAAATTCTCTTTTTTTGTGGTGTCTCTGTCAGGCTTTGGTATCAGGATGATGCTGGCCTCATAAAATGAGTTAGGGAGGATTCCCTCTTTTTCTATTGATTGGAATAGTTTCAGAAGGAATGGTACCAGCTCCTCCTTGTACCTCCGGTAGAATTCAGCTGTGAATCCATCTGGTCCTGGACTTTTTTTGGTTGGTATGCTATTAATTATTACCTCAATTTCAGAGCCTGTTATTGGTCTATTCAGAGATTCAACTTCTTCCTGGTTTAGTCTTGGGAGGGTGTATGTGTCCAGGAATTTGTCCATTTCTTCTAGATTTTCTAGTTTATTTGCGTAGAGGTGTTTGTAGTATTCTCTGATGGTAATTTGTATTTCTGTGGGATTGGTGGTGATATCCCCTTCATCATTTTTTATTGCATCTATTTGATTCTTCTCTCTTTTCTTCTTTATTAGTCTTGCTAGTGGACTATCAATTTTGTTGATCTTTTCAAAAAACCACCTCCTGGATTCATTGATTTTTTTGAAGGGTTTTTTGTGTGTCTATCTCCTTCAGTTCTGCTCTGATCTTAGTTATTTCTTGCCTTTTGCTAGCTTTTGAATGTGTTTGCTCTTGCTTCTCTAGTTCTTTTAATTGTGATGTTAGGGTGTCAATTTTAGATCTTTCCTGCTTTCTCTTGTGGGCATTTAGTGTTATAAATTTCCCTCTACACACTGCTTTAAATGTGTCCCAGAGATTATGGTATGTTGTGTCTTTGTTCTCATTGGTTTCAAAGAACATCTTTATTTCTGCCTTCATTTCGTTATGTACTCAGTAGTCATTCAGGAGCAAGTTGTTCGGATTCCATGTAGTTGAGCAGTTTTGAGTGAGTTTCTTAATCCTGAGTCCTAGATTGCACTGTGGTCTGAGAGACAGTTTGTTATAATTTCTGTTCTTTTACATTTGCTGAGGAGTGCTTTACTTCCAACTATGTGGTCAATTTTGGAATAAGTGTGATGTGGTGCTAAGAAGGTATATTCTGTTGATTTGGGATGGAGAGTTCTGTAGATGTCTATTAGGTCCGCTTGGTGCAGAGCTGAGTTCAATTCCTGGATATCCTTGTTAACTTTCTGTCTCGTTGATCTGTCTAATGTTGACAGTGGGGTGTTACAATCTCCCATTATTATTGTGTGGGAGTCTAAGTCTCTCTGTAGGTCTCTAAGGACTTGCTTTATGAATCTGGGTGCTCCTGTATTGGTGCATATATATTTAGGATAGTTAGCTCTTCTTGTTGAATTGATCCTTTTACCATTATGTAATGGCCTTCTTTGTCTCTTTTGATCTTTGTTGGTTTAAAGTCTGTTTTATCAGAGTCTAGGATTGCAACCCCTGCCTTTTTTTGTTTTCCATTTACTTGGTAGATCTTCCTCCATCCCTTTATTTTGAGCCTATGTGTGTCTCTACATGAGATGGGTCTCCTGAATACAGCACACTGATGGGTCTTGACTCTTTATCAAATTTGCCAGTCTCTGTCTTTTAATTGGAGCATTTAGCCCATTTACATTTAAGGTTAATATTGTTATGTATGAATTTGATCCTGTCAGTATGATGTTAGCTGGTTATTTTGCTTGTTAGTTGATGCAGTTTCTTCCTAGCATCAATGCATCAATGGTCTTTTACAATTTGGCATGTTTTTGCAGTGGCTGGTACCAGTTGTTCCTTTCCATGTTTAGTGCTTCCTTCAGCAGCTCTTTTAGGGCAGGCCTGGTGGTGACAAAATCTCTCAGCATTTGCTTGTCTGTAAAGGATTTTATTTCTCCTTCACTTATGAAGCTTAGTTTGGCTGGATATGAAATTCTGGATTGAAAATTCTTTTCTTTAAGAATGTTGAATATTGGCCCCCACTCTCTTCTGGCTTGTAGGGTTTCTGCTGAGAGATCAGCTGTTAGTCTGATGGGCTTCCCTTTGTGGGTAACCCGACCTTTCTCTCTGGCTGCCCTTAACATTTTTTCCTTCATTTCAACTTTGGTGAATCTGACAGTTATGTGTCTTGGAGTTGCTCTTCTCGAGGAGTATCTTTGTGGTGTTCTGTGTATTTCCTGAATTCGAATGTTGGCCTGCCTTGCTAGGTTGGGGAAGTTCTCCTGGATAATATCCTGCAGAGTGTTTTCCAACTTGGTTCCATTCTCCCCGTCACTTTCAGGTACACCAATCAGATGTAGATTTGGTCTTTTCACATAGTCCCATATTTCTTGGAGGGTTTGTTTGTTTCTTTTTACTCTTTTTTCTCTAAACTTCTCTTCTGGCTTCATTTCATTCATTTGATCTTCAATCACTGATACCCTTTCTTCCCATTGATCGAATCGGCTACTGAAGCTTGTGCGTTCATCACATAGTTCTCGTGCCATGGTTTTCAGCTCCATCAGGTCATTTAAGGACTTCTCTACACTGGTTATTCTAGTTAGCCATTCGTCTAATCTTTTTTCAAGGTTTTTTGCTTCTTTGCAATGGGTTCAATCTTCCTCCTTGAGCTCGGAGGAGTTTGATCGTCTGAAGCCTTCTTCTCTCTACTCGTCAAAGTCATTTTCCACCCAGCTTTGTTCTGTTGCTGGCGAGGAGCTGCGTTCCTTTAGAGGGGGAGAGGCGCTCTGATTTTTAGAACTTTCAGTTTTTCTGCTCTGTTTTTTTCCCCATCTTTGTGGTTTTATCTACCTTTGGTCTTTGATGATGGTGATGTACAGATGGGGTTTTGGTGTGGATGTCTTTTCTGTTTGTTAGTTTTCCTTCTAACAGTCAGGACTCTCAGCTGCAGGTCTGTTGGAGTTTGCTGGAGGTCCACTCCAGACCCTGTTTGCTTGGGTATCAGCAGCGGAGGCTGCAGAACAGTGAATGTTGCTGAACAGCAAATGTCACTGCCTAATCGTTCCTTTGGAAGTTTCGTCTCAGAAGGGTACCCAGCCATGTGAGGTGTCAGTCTGCCCCTACTGGGGGGTGCCTCCCAGTTAGGCTACTCGTGGGTCAGGGACCCACTTGAGGAGGCAGTCTGTCCGTTCTCAGATCTCAGACTCCATGCTGGGAGAACCACTGCTCTCTTCAAAGCAGGGACATTTAAGTCTGCAGAGGTTTCTGCTGCCTTTTGTTCAGCTATGCCCTGCCCCCAGAGGTGGAGTCTACAGAGGCAGGCAGGCCTCCTTGAGCTGCGGTGGGCTCCACGCAGTTTAAGCTTCTCAGACTGCTGTACTAGCAATGAGCGGGGCTCTGTGGGCATGGGACCCTCCAAGCCAGGTGCAGGATATAATCTCCTGGTGTGTCGTTTGCTAAGACCATTGGAAAAGTGCAGTATTAGGGTGGGAGTGACCCAATTTTCCAGGTGCCATCTGTCACAGCTTCGCTTGGCTAGGAAAGGGAATTCCCTGACCCCTCGCGCTTCCCGGGTGAGGTGATGCCTCGCCCTGCTTCGGCTCACTCTCGGTGCACTGCATCCACTCACTATCCTGCACCCACTGTCCGACAAGCCCCAGTGAGCTGAACCCGGTACCTCAGTTGGAGATGGAGAAATCACCCGTCTTCTGCGTGCTCATGCTGAAAGCTATAGACTGGAGCTGTTCCTATTTGGCCATCTTGAGAAGTATTTCTCATTAACTTGCCACCCTTATCAGTATGTCGTAAAGATATTTCCATGTTAAGATGATAGGTGATTGATTGACTGATTGAGATGTATATAAATGTAGATGGCTCTTTATAGCCATTGAGTAATATTTCATGGTATAGATTAGACATATTTTAAAAATCTCATTAAAAATCCATGAAATGGCAACTTAAAGCCAAGGTACTAAAACAGGACTACAAGGCTTTACACAGAACAAAGCGGAGGCTCCTTCATTGTGGTGCAGGTATTTATTGATGTGAGGTTTTTTTGGGGTTTTTTTTGAGACGGAGTTTTGCTCTTGCCCAGGCTGGAGTAGAATGGCACAATCTCAGCTCACTGCACCCTCTGCCTCCCAGTTTCAAGCGTTTCTCCTGCCTCAGCCTCCTGAGTAGCTGGGATTACAGGCATGTGCCACCACCACGCCCGGCTAATTTTGTATTTTTAGTAGAGACGGGGTTTCTCCATGTTGGTCAGCCTGGTCTTGAACTCCCAACCTCAGGTGATCCACCCGCCTCAGCCTTCCATAGTGCTGGGATTACAGGTGTGAGCCACCATGCCCAGCCTGATGTAAGTATTCTTTCTCTAACTTCACTTTAAATGAAATTGAGGATCTTAATCTAATATTGCTATTAAGCCTATTTGAGGGTTTTCATAGCCATAGCAGAATTAGACTTTCTGGAAGATTTAGGTGATTCCTTTTTCCAGAAGTCTTAAAGACTGTCTAGAGAGAGGCAGAGATACATGCTTCTGTTTCTCTGAATCTCAGGGAAGCCTTCTGAACAGATTTAGCAGTCCAGACAAGGGTGGGTGTGCCACCTTGTGTTTAAACACAACCACGAGTAGCAGAAAATAGCTGGGGTTTATGTTGCAGTTGTGGCTTTAAGAGCAGCCAGCACAAAGCTCTGGCCTAAACACCAGTTAACTCCCATTGCCCAAGGCCACTGAACTGAATGTTTGGATTGTCCCCCTGTATTTGTGCCTGCCCAGGAGCCAGCTCAGATGAGTAATAGCTTCTGCTGAAGAGGAAGCGGCTGAATACATCAGAGCATCTGGGCAGGACTTCTTGAAGCCCGACTGCCAGCGGAGACTGGCCTTGATGAGGAGAAGGCATCCCTGAGGGCCAGCTCAGCTCCTGAGAGCTACAGAGCCCCTCAGCAGAGGGATGGCCTGAGGCCTGCCTTCCAGACAACATTGTCAGCAGTAAAGTTGGCCATGTAGTGCCAACTACGTGGTTTCCACAAGTGTTTCTTCATGAATCTTCACAACATTCTGAGGAAAGTCCTAGTTCCCTAATGTGAATGAGGAAAACAGGCGGGGGGAGCCCGGCAGGGGTTGAAGTCACTTTTTCAAAGGAAGAGTCACAGCTGAGTCTAACTCAAGTTCACATGATACCAGTGAACTGAAGAGCACTTATAGCTGGGCATGGTGGCTCATGCCTGTCATCCCAGCACATTAAGCCCAAGAATTTGAGATGAGCCTGGGCAACATAGGGAGACCCTATCTCTACAAAAAATTAAAAGTAAAAAAATTAGCTGGGAGTGGTGGCACATGCCTGTGGTCCCAGGTCCTTGGGAGCCTGAGGTGGGAGGATTGCTTAAGCCCACGGGGGTTGAGGCTGCATTGAGCCGTGATTGTGCCACTGCACTCCACCTGGATGACAGAGTAAGACCCTGTCATTAAAAAAAAAAAAAAAAAAAAAAAAAAAACAACCACTATATGAGATACCATGGGAAAATTTACACCATTTCATTAATCTTCACAATAGTCCTACCAGATAGTATATTTGCTGGCAAATATCGATGAATAATATAATAGGGTTAAAGCAGTTCTACATTTAAATCTAAATGGTTAGGGGAATATTCCAACTCTGCCTCTAACCATCTGTGGCTTGCTATTCTCAAGAAAACTTATAATGTAAAATGTATCTTTGCAGCAGTTACATTACATTCAACCACTAGGGGGCAGCATCAACACAATTTTTCCAGTCTTCCATCTGTAAAGGAAGCAGGGTAGTTTGAGGGTGTTTTAATAGGTTGAGCAGCTGTGCAGGTTTGCCTGGCACTGAGTAGTTTCCCAGGATGTGGGGCTTTCAGTGCTTAAAAAACAGGAAAGTCCCAGGCAAACTGGAACAAGTTGGTTACCCTGGTGTTATATGTTGAAATGGTAGTGAGAATACTACTGTCATTCCCACTTTTACAGAAAAGGGAACCACGAGGAGTAGTTCGTCTGAGGCTCCACACGGCTGCTAGTGTGCAGCAGAGCTGGGATTCCCGCTGTGCCCATATCACACGCAGGACCATGCTCTTAAGCAGGGTATGTGATAATGCCTCCTGAACCATTTAGGACTGCCTTTGGTTCCGTGCTACCGAAACCTGATGACAGTGGCCTAAGCAATAAAGCCTTTCACTTTCGCCAGTGGCGCCATTATGTCATCAGGAACCCAGACTCCTGTTCGCCTCTCACTGGCCAGAGTGGGGCCCCTTGGCTACCTCTGCTGTAAACGAGTCGAGGGAAGTGAGGATCTTTATTGGGCACACTGCTGTCCCAAACAAGCTCAGCCTCCTTTCACTCGAGAAAAAAGGGAAAGTGGGTACTGGGTAGAGAACTCGCAGTGACTACCACACTCTCCAAAGCCACCATTACACTGAAGGTGTGGATGCTGCGCCACCCTGATCCCCCACTTCAGGACTTCTTCCCCCAGTTGCTGGTGGTGCTTGGCTGTCGGTGCTTTCAGGGCACTGCTCTGGAGCAGAGAGCCATCTGCTGAAGGACATGCTCCTTCCCAGGGCAGCCACATCCAATGATTGGTCAGAATAGGGATCGGAAGGCCCAGGGACAACCCTGAGGGGCCATCTCAGCTTCAGAGCGCCTTTGGGGTCAAGCCAAGGCCTTGTGACTACAACATAGCCCAACTTCTGCCTCATCCAGCATCCTTCACAGTGTTGAGAGCACTCCCCAGCAACCCCCTGCACACACGTCTGTCTCAGACTCTGCCTCCTGGGAACTGACCTGAATGGAAAGCAAGCAAATCCTAGAGGCTAAGGTCTCTGCTAGCATGGGCAGGAAAGCTGGACTCATTTCTAGAAAAGGGATAAGTATCTATTGATGACCAATAGATCTTCTATCACTGCCTTTGAGAGGCTTACCATTTTATTGCAGAAGCTAAGTATGCACATAGGAAGCAGTAGGAAAAATTTGATTTCAGACAATCCAAAGCTAATTACAGAGGGCTGTGACTTACCATTTGTTGAACAGATACCATGGGCTGGACACTAGGCTGAACATTCAACTAATGTAGTCTGTGTATCTCACAGTATGAGTGAGCACTTGAAGTAGGCATTTATTATCCCCATTTCACACGTAAGGAAAGGCTCTGAGCTCTGAGGCTCAGAGGTAGACGTGTACATAAGATCACACAGTCAATAGTAAGTGGCCAACTCAGGACTGGAAAGTGAATTATGCTAGACTATAAACTCTTCCAGGTCCCTCTAGCTTGGTACCTCTCCCTGCGCCCCCTACTCTGTTACGTCCACACAAGTGAATAAGTAAACTTGACACTTGGGCTACAGTCAAGAGTCTACTCTGCTCAAGGGGATGATCCCCTTCTTGCATCTCTGTTATGGATATTTATATTTCTAGCTCCTTTTGTTTCTTTTCCCATTTTTTCCTAATGTAGCTTTTCCAAGAAAACGGAATCTTGTTATAATAGATTGTCTTAGCCTGGTCTCCCTTGAAGCAGAGTCTGAGAAAAAAAAAAAAAAAAAAGCTTAAATGTAGTAGTTTGTTAAGTTGGTTAGGGGATGTGGTACCAAAGGAGCAGGAGTGAAAGAGGGGACAGAAGGGGAAGGAGGGAAAGCCAGTGTAAGGATGCACAGGGGCAACTGGGTGCTCTATCCCACAGGACCTCCTAAGAAGGCTTGGGAAATACATCTCAGAACTGTTCACTTGTGGGAAACATTTATCCATTGGCTACCAGCCACAGCTGCCTTCCCTGCTCTGCTGACTTGCATGTGCATGACTGCCCAGCAGGAGGGTGCCTTGTACACCATGGCATCAGAGAAACACTAGGGCAGGAGGCAAGAGAATCAATCTCTCTCTCTCTCTCTCTCCCTCCCTCCCCACCCCCATGTGTGGACACAGTAAGAAGGTGGCTATCTGCAAGCCAGGAAGAGAGGCCTCACTAGCAACTGAAAATGCTGTCTCCCTGACCTTGGACTTCTCAGCCTCCAGACCTGTGAGAAATAAATGTCTGTTATTTAAGGCAAAAAAGAGAAATCAGTAACTGGAAAAAGACTAAGAGGGTTGGAAATGGAGCACGAGATGCACTTTATGTGCAGGATGGGCCAGCACTTGTTGAGCATTTCAACGCCCAAGACATGCAGTGTGCTTTTTACGCAGAACCTTGTTTCATCTCACAGTAACCTGTGACTTAAAGATTATCATCCCCTTTTCTTTTTTTTTTTTTTTTTTTTTTTGGAGACAAGCTCTCACCCTTGTCATCCAGGCAGGAGTACAATGGCAGTAATAGCTCCCTGCAGCCTCAAGCTCCTGGGCTCAAGCAATCCTCCCACCTCAGCCTCCCGAGCAGCTGGGATTGCAGGCACGAGCTACCACACTCAGCTAATTTTCATATATTTTTTTGGAGATGGGGTCTTGCTGTGTTGCTCAGGATGGTCTCAAACTCCTGGGCTCAAGCAATCTGTCTAGCTTGGCCTCCCACAGTGCTGGGATTATAGACATGAGCCACCCCGCCCAGCCTATCATCCCCATTTTTAAGACAGGGAAAGAAACTGAGAGGAGAGGTCACTTGCCAAGGCCTCTCAGCCACGAAGTGGCAGAACTGGGAGGCAAACTAGTCTGACTCAAGCCCTTACTCATAGTCATTATATCATTATATTAAACATTCCTCACAGGGGTCTACAGAAAGCATGTGTGATGGCTTACCAATACATACTAAATAGTTCTCTCCGGCATGTATAGATTTTACATTCATGACAGCGTAAATCAAATTAAAAACGCTTCCTTGGCCCTCCACAGCCTTCCAGATAAAATCCAGGCTCCCTAAGGGCCTCCCTGAGTACATGGACTGCAGTTGTTGATGGATTTTCTGCATGTCTGGAAGACAGAAAAAGCGTCTTGGATCATGGTGTGGGGTGTGAGATTGACAGGATCTCCGAGAGGACAGTCGCTTCCAGAGCACTTCAGAAGCCAGTGATTTCTCAGTCCTCCACTCTTCTCCCCTTCCCTATCTGTGGTCTCCAGTGTGATCACCTAGAAAAAGAGCTTTGGAACCATATAGACCAAGCTCAAATCCAGTTCTCTACCACTTCGCAGGTGTGGAGCCTCAAGCAAGGTACCCAGGCTCCTACAATCCCTAAACCAGGGATGATGACTCCCGCAGAGTGTATGTGAAGCTCCAGACACATGGACCATCTCCACCTGGCAGGAGTCATTATTTCTCACAAATGACTCTCTCCATTGCTCTGAGACACCAAAACCAGTTGAAACCAGAATGACAGCCCTGCCCACATTTTTTTTTAATGTGAAAGATGAAAGGTCCTCATTTCTTGTTCTGATAGCTTCCTGCCACACACTGAAGTCTCCTCAAGGACACGTCTTTTACTGCATGCAGCTTCACAGTCAGCTCCTCAAGCAGAAGACTGAACCGTGACTTGTTTTTAGAAGCTCTCCGGGTAGGGAGGACATATCCATATGCAGGACAGAACCTTGCTTTTCAAATTCAAGAAAAAACAGTAACTAATCTATCGATTCTTCTGTGATTCAGTCTGCCAGGGTGTTCTGTAAAGAATCCTTTTCCATCCCTATCACACATTTGTACGAAAGGGGAGGGAGAGGTGGCAGGGTCCCAGTACACCGGCAGGCACTTCGGCGATGCCCGGGGCTCCGCTCCCTTTCTGTTGATAGTTGTAGGCGTCATTTCTGGCAGCTGCTGCAGCTCGATGCAGGGAAGGAAGGGGCCACCCACCAATCACCTCTTTCTGATGCCACATTTTTGACGTTCATGGAAGAGGCCTGTCTCAGAGCTCCCTAAGCTGACAATCTTTGGGCAGCCATCTCTATTCTTCTCCTGGCTGGTGCACTCCTTACAATAATAGGCATCAGAGACTCCCATGGCCTCCACAGATCTCACAGTGTCCCTGGTAAAAGCCATAGTTACACTCATCATATAAGCATACCAGGGTGAAGGGACAGACACAGCGGTCACAAATCACACACTTGCCGTCAGTTTTCACACAATCTTCCGATGGCAACATCAGCCTGCTTGCAGCAAAAGATCAAACCCAGATAATGTTCAGCCGTAGCTCCTGCTCACGCTGCATTGCCCTCTTTTTAAAGCCAAGAAGCCCATCTGGAGGCATCAAATCATGCTTTATGCATAAGTAGGAGCTACAACGCATTGGCCACATGCACCTCCCTTGGGGGGACTCAAATTTACTGAATCCTGCCTTTGTGCCCAACACTGCATTTGGAACCTTATATAAACATCTCCACTATTCCCCAAGAGGGTTCATCCTTTCCCCTTGTTTCTTCATTATCTATGTCTAACTTCCATCCTTCCTGCTTTAGTTGGACTTGCTGTTCATTTGAGAGGAAGCTGCTGACCACAGAGTTCAGCAAAAGAATGGGAGTATGGAGGCTCAAAGTGTGGCCCCTGGAGAAGCTGAATGAGAAGTAGCCCTGGATATGGTGTAGACTCCCACAAACCAGAGATCCTGCCCTCAGTGCCTCAGCTTTAGGAAGCTGCTCCCTGCCTTGCTCCTGGGCAGACAGGTATGGTATTGATTTCCCCATACCCCAGCATCCCCACCCCAGTTTCCCTCTCTTCCCCCATTGCCCGGTGCTTTGGCTGGCATGCCCCTGACAACCAGGGAGGGCAAGTCCTTCTCCTGGTGGGTAGCCGGCTGGCTTCCTCCCAGCTCAGAGCCAAGCATGCCTCAATTAGGTACGCCCTAGGATGGGAAGTCCTTCCAGGGGCCTTTCCTCAAAAGCCGGCCAGAAGTGGGCTCCTTCAAGCCTAAAGTTAAGCCGATGGAGTATGCAGGGTGGAGACGTGAAGGAAGGCCACACCACCTTCTGGTGGCAACTCCGCCTGGCCCACGTTTTGCCGCTTTTCCTCTTTCCCTGTCAACCACACCACGTGAGGCCTCTTTCCCAGCAAACCAAAGCTCCCTCTGGCGGCCCAGGAGGAGTCAAATCTTCTCCCCACCTGTGTACATTATTTTCCAGCTGTAGCAAGTAGAGACACGCTCTGTGTCCAGATGGCCTCACCCCAGCTGCCCTTTTGTCCCACTGATGAGCCAGGTGTTTAGCATTTTAAACAACTAGCACTCTGATTGACAGACTGACCATTAAATTGACTTTCTGACTGATGGATCCTGATGGACCACTGTCTATCTGAAAAGTTAATCCTGAGTAATTGACTGGCTGGTTGGCTGATTAAATATCTAAACACACAAATCACTTGATTGACCTAATGGATTTCTTTTTTTGTTGCTTTTTGGTTTTTTGTTTTTGAGGCGGAGTCTCGCACTGTTGCCCAGGCTGGAGTGCAGTGGCGTGATCTCCGCTCACTGCAAGCTCTGCCCCCCGGGTTCATGCCATTCTCCTGCCTCGGCCTCCTAAGTAGCTGGGACTACAGGCGCCCGCCACCATATATATATATATATATATATATATACATATAGTATTTTTAGTAGAGACGGGGTTTCACTGTGTTAGCCAGGCTTGTCTCAATCTCCTGACCTCGTGATCTGCCCGCCTCGGCCTCCCAAAGTGCTGGGATTACAGGCATGAGCCACCACACCTGGCCACCTACTGGATTTCTTACTGATGTACTAACTGTAGGTAACTAAACATCTGACAAGCTTAAACTGACTACATAACTGACTCTTTAACCAGCTGAATGACTGACTGCCCAGTGGAGGACCAACAATAACTGATGTCTGGCTCCATAACTAAGGGTTACAGATGGATGGGAGAAGAGGCTGCCCCTTCCTCACACTCCAACTCCTATGGGGATTGAGACCCTATTCTTCTCCCCCTCTTGAGCCACTTGAAGACTGCAGAAAGGGTGTTATGGTCAGAATATTGGTGATCTCCCCAAATTCATATATTGGAACCTAATACCCAATGTGATAGTATTAAGAGATGGGACCTTTGGGGAAGTGATTAATTCATGAAGGCTCTGCCTCAGGAATGGGCTTAGTGGCCTTATAAAAGGAGTTGGAATTGAAGGGAGCTAACTTGGCCCTTTGGCCCTTCCACCATGTGAGGACACAGCTACAAGGCACCATCTTTTTTTTTTTTTTTGAGACAGTCTCGCTCTGTCGCCCAGGCTGGAGTGCAGTGGCTTGATCTCGGCTCACTATAAGCTCTGCCTCCCGGGTTCATGCCATTCTTCTGCCTCAGCCTCCCAAGTAGCTGGGACCACAGGCACCTGCCACCATGCCCGGCCAATTTTTTTTTTTATTTTTAGTAGAGACAGGGTTTCACCGTGCTAGCCAGGATGGTCTCGATCTCCTGACCTCGTGATCCGTCTGCCTTGGCCTCCCAAAGTGCTGGGATTACAGGCGTGAGCCACCGCGCCCAGCCCCAAGCATCATCTTTGAAGCAGAGAGTAAGCCTTCACCAGTCCAGTCCTTGATCTTGGACTTCCTTGCCTCCAAAACTGTAAACAATATATTTCTGTTACTTATAAATTACCTAGTCTAAGGTATTTTGTTAGAGCAGCCTGAATGAGCTAAGACAGAGGGCAATCAGGAAACTGATGTTCTGATCTTCTGGTGAGGTTCTTAACCAGGGCCCGACATATGGGTTTCAATTTTGCTTTCAAAACAGTGTGGATGTAAAGATGTGTGTTTATCCAGGAAGAGGGTTCACAACTTTCTTTGGATTCTCAACAGAATTCAGCACACACGAAATATTATGTTCAGAGCTACTGCTCTGGGAATAAGAACCTCAGCAAACACATTTCAGATAAGCAAAGCCCTTGTCTGAATTCAAGCCCATTTCTATCTCCCTCCCATCAAGCCAGAGTGGCAGAAGATGACTAGGAAGAGTCAGAGGACCTTAGAGGAGGTGGATGTAGCCAAGAGAAAGGATAAAGGCTGAGCTGTTTGAAGTTTCCAGAGAGGACTGAGGAAGTCAACCTGGGTCCTTCTTGTGTGGAGGTCACACTTCGCCCAAGATAGCAGAGGCCGTTTAAACTGAGATGGATATATTTACCCTTTGTTTGATGCCAGGAGTATGTGATCATGAATTGTTATGTGGCTGTGTGTACTACATACCGGTGTGTTCACAAGGGTAGGTATAACTGAGCTGTGTGCATAAGTGAACGAGTGGCCTTTGGGTTTAGTGTGAGCATCTGAATGGTTTGGTGAAGGGATGTGCACGTGCATCTTTAACCATTTACCCATCAAGCCTCTCATTAAGTTAAGACAGGTTACGGAAAAGAATTCCACTAGGTGAGAGTATCTGCAGACAGGCCTACAGCCCACACCAGAAAACTGGGAATCCTCAACTCGCCCCACTCCCTGATCCCTCATCATCCACTGAATCCATGCTGCCACTCCCACCATCAGCCCCCATCAACTCTCCCTGGGCTGCTGCTCAGCCTTCAATGGCCTCCCCCAAAACCCTTCTGAATGAACTGCAGCAATAGTGATGACGGTAAAATGACTTTTGGGTCACAGCGCGTCTCCCCTGAAGCGAACAACGGCTTTCCATTGTCGGAGGATACTGCCCATCTCCTCAGTCTGACTCGAGGGCTCTTTCAAGGTCGACTCTGGGGTAGTGAGGTCCCCGGCTTTGGGCGCGTCTCCCCTCAGTCGGCTCGTATCCCACACCCCTTCCCCCTTGGATGCCTCGTTCTCTGGGGCCCTTTGGCGCTGCCCCTGCGTCCCCATCATGGAAACTACCACCTGCTGCCTAACTGCCAGACGCAAAAGTGCCCAAGCCTGTCTCTCACGTTCCACCCCATAAACCTTCCCCACCCGACCAGAAGCCAGAGAGACCACAGGTCGAAGCAGGACCACGCAAGGACGCGCACGCCTCTTTCCCACGCCGCAGAGCGATAGAACCCGCAACAGGAAAACGGAAAGGCCGTGCGCCGGAAGAACAGGTAGGGACTACGACTCCCAGAAGCCTCTTGACAAGGACTACATTTCCCAGAAAGCTCCGCGCGGTTCCCACCCCGGAACTGCCTCTGCTTTCGAAAGCGGAAGGCGGGCCAACCGGGCAGGGAACAGGGTTTCTGAAGGGATAGACCGGTGGGCGGTGTCGCCGGGTGTCTACCTCCAGGGGTCGTTCGTGAGCCAGAGAAACCCGGACTTAGGAAGGAAGGGGCCTGGCCACAGCCCTTCCGCTGTTGGCTGTGCATTGCCCTTATTCCCAGCTCATTCTCTGTCGTTGAGTCGAGCAAGGAGGGTCAGACAGAACCAGGTCCACCACGTTTGTGTCTTTCCGCCAGGTGAGACTTTTACTGATGCTATTCCAGTCATAAAAGCCAGGAGCTACATGGAGTTCCCAAGGAGGCAATTCCCCTAACACTACCCGCTCACTCGCTCACTCCGTAGTCAGAGCCATAGGCACACAGGCTTCAGCCACTACACCAAGTCAGTATTGCAAAGCATACAAAATAGTCTACTTAGTCAACATGTTAAATGTTGTAGATTAAATATTCCACATCAAGCAGGGTAACATTTAACATCAAGAGCAAAGGAGATAGATAGGAAAAGGGGTTAACAAACTAGTCCCAGGAGAGACAAGGTGTCCTGGCCTCAATGTCTTGCAAGGAAGAGTCTTTGATGTGGGCAAAGCCTTAGGCAGCAGATGCCGGGTGTTTATCATGGGCGACAGCAAGATAGGGTCTGTTAAGACGGCCATTTAGAGCTAGAGAAGTCCTGCTCTTTTTATGGCCACGGGGGTCTTCTGGTGACGACTGATAGTGAAGGAGTGTGCCTGTTTATGCCCGTATTTGGTTGGATACACTCTTTTTTGGTTAGGCGAACATCGGGACTCTGTTGGCATGATGCCTTTTGAAACGTAAAGTGGAGTCTTTTGCTAAGATGGAGTTACTTATGTCAAGGGTGTTCTATACACTCCCTCTGCCTGCTCTGGCTTTGCCTGTGGCCAGTACTTGCTCTCTGCCCACCTCTTGGTGTCTCTAGGGGGTAGAGGCTGGTGGCTAGATGGTCTGTCCCTCGCCCTTATCTCCAGTCCTGCATTGCTTATCTGCCGCTTGGAGGCGGTGACCATCTTGACTCTAAGAGCCAAACCCACAGAGCCCTACATGTGAGTTCCACAGCTCTTCTACTTCTGGCTGTGGCTGTCGGAGGAGGGGCTTCAGGCGGTGGAGACAGGCGTGGACAGTAGCTGGGGGGTGGCGGGGAGATCTGTGGCTCCTGATCTGCCACCTCTGTTCCCAAGAAGATAATTTTCCTGTGGCCTGGGCTCATCCAGCTTATCTTCTCAAATGCCTGAGTTCTGTAGGTGGCCGGCCTTCTTCCTCACTTCCTCCACTCCCAGCCTTATCCCTCAGACCCTAGCAATGGGCCCCATGGCATATTTTCACCTTTCCCCTTTAGAGCCACTTAGAGGACCTGTCGAGAAATAGACGTAACTGGATGAACTAAAACAAGGATGAGGCAGAAACAACTTTCCATAAGACATGTCCACCAGTGTGCCATGTCAGTTTACCGTAACCATGGCTACACCCGGGAGTTCCCGCCTCTTTCCATGGCAATGACCCGATGACGCAGAAGTTACTCCCCTTTTCCTAGAAAATTCTGCATAAACCAACACTTAATCTGCATGCAATTAAAAATAGGTATAAATATGACCATAGAACTGCCCTGAGCAGCTACTCTCTGCCTATGGGGTAGTCCTGCTCTGCAGGATCAGTCATGGAGCTGTAACACTGCCACTTCAATCAAGCTGTTTTCGGCTACCCTGCCACCAGCTAGCCCTTGAATTCTTTACTGGGCAAAGCCAAGGAAAAAGCCACATTTTGTGGCTCTCCTGTCCTGCATCACAACCGCTCCTAGGGAGCTACAACCACTGGTAACTGAGTGTCTTCTGACAGACAGTTTCATGAAGTACAGGCTTCCCAGAGGTGCCTGTCCCTTCTCCCATGTTGCTCCATGTTACCACATTTCCTACCTGGGTAGACCTTTGGAGATCCCTGAGATCCTTTTAGGGAATCTGCAAGGTCAAAACTGTTTTCACAATAATACTAAGTTTTATTTGCATTTTTCACTGTAGTGACATTTACGTTTAAAATCATAGGTAAAACTGCTGGAACCTTGGTGTGATTCAAGGCAGTGGCA
Organism: Homo sapiens; assembly: GCF_000001405.40. Classification (NCBI taxonomy): domain Eukaryota; kingdom Metazoa; phylum Chordata; class Mammalia; order Primates; family Hominidae; genus Homo; species Homo sapiens. The sequence continues at coordinate 141,313,963 of NC_000003.12, forward strand.
CCAAACTATATTGGCAGTTACTGTATTTTTCACCAGTATACTTGTAGGGGAAGGGGATGGGAAAGCCAGTTCCACTTAATGTCCTTAATGAAGCTGTAAAGAGTATTCATTTTACTCCATTTTGAGCCTTGATTACATGACGTTTAAATATTTTGTGTGACAAATGGGAAGTGCGCATAAAGCAAGTCTGCTGCACACCAAGGTATTATGTCCTGAGGAAAAGCAGTTCTGTGCTTGAGTTCGTAGCTGAACTAGACCTTTTTTTCTGGAAAACACCTCTTTTATTTTCATTGTATTTTTGCAAACTTTTATTTATTTATTTATTTTACTTTAAGTTCCAGGATACATGTACAGAATGTGCAGGTTTGTTACATAGGTATACATGTGCCATGGTGGTTTGCTGCACCTATCAACCTGTCATCTAGGTTTTAAGCCCCGCATACATTAGGTATTTGTCCTAATGCTCTCCCTCCCCTTGTCCCCACCGCCGACAGGCTCCAGTGTGTGTTGTTCCCTTCCTTGTGTCCATGTGTTTTCATCGTTCAACTCCCACTTATGAATGAGAACATGCAGTGTTTGGTTTTCTGTTCCTGTGTTAGTTTGCTGAGAATGATGGCTTCCAGCTTCATCCATGTCCCTGCAAAGGACATGATCTCATTCTTTTTGATGGCTGCATAGTATTCCATGGTGTATATGTGCCACATTTTCTTTATTCAGTCTATCATTGATGGCCATTTGGGTTGGTTCCAAGTATTTGCTGTTGTGAATAGTGCTGCAATAAGCATACGTGGAAAACACCTCTTTTGATAACTGATAGTATGATTGGGACCTGAGTATTTAATAGACATTTTCTAAAAAAAACAAAGTAAGCTAATCACTTCAAAGGAAACAACTGACATTATTTGATGCCAATGAGAAAATTTGAGTTTTCAAGAAAAAGGTTAGAATTTTGAAAAACTTATCCAGGCTGGACGTGGTGGCTCACGCCTGTAATCCCAGCACTTTGGGAGCCAAGGAGGACAGATCCCTTGAGGCCAGGAGTTCGAGACCAGCCTGGGCAACGTGGCAAAACCCTGTCTCTACAAAAAAATTAGCTGAGCGTGGTGGTGTGTGCCTATGGTCACAGCTGAGGCTGAGGCAGAAGGATCACTTGAGCCTGGCAGGTCAAGGCTGCAGTGAGCCACGTTTGTGCCACTGAACTTCAGCCTGGGTGACAGAGTGAGACCCTATCTCAAAAAAGAAAGAGAAAGGAAACATATCTGCCACCACAAGCTTAACAACATCCCAATACTTAAAAAGTTTTTCTGATGAGCTTGGTGATGGTATTAATAAACGTGATTTTAAAAAATATTGAATAATGAAATGTGCCAACATTTGGAAGATCTGCATAACTCCATGCAGAAAAAAAAAAAACAACTTCACTTTTTTTTTTTTTTTTTTTTTGAGATGGAGCCTTGCTCTGTCACCCAGGCTGGAGTGCAGTTGCATGATCTCAGCTCACTGCAACCTCTGCCTCCCGGGTTCAAGGAATTCCCAGGCCTCACCCTCTTGAGTAGCTGGGATTACAGGCGCCCACCACCACACCTGGCTAATTTTTTGTATTATTAGTAGAGACAGGGTTTCACCATGTTGGCCAGGCTGGTCTCGAACTCCTGACCTCGTGATCCACCACCTCAGCCTCCCAAAGTGCTGGGATTACAGGCGTGAGCCACTGCGCCCGGCCTAAGCTCCACCTCTTAAAGTGAGGAGTATCAAAGAATATGTGGACATATTTTAATAACACTACACTTAATGAACCAGTATTTTATTCATGATGGTACAAAACCATGATGGATGGGTAAGAAAAAAAAAATCTATTCCAATTGCAAGACAGTCCAATGGATTTTTAATGTAATAATAACTCAAGAAGTTAATGGATGTAGTTCTAGATTCCACTTTGCTTTTAAACATTAACAAGCTATATATTTGTTGAGTTTTGGTATAGTATCCAAGAATAATATTCACAATTGCCTGAAAAGCTGTTAAAATAATCTCCCCATTTCCAACTACCTATCTCTGGTAGACCAGATTTTCTGCATATACTTTAACTAAAGCATCAGAATAGACAGGAACGTGGAAGCTGAGAACCCAGCTGTCATTTATTAAGCCAGACAATTAAAGAGATTTGCCAAAGAAAAATTTGATATATTGGGCCTGAATGTGCATTGTTTGGCTCTAAAAAAATTTATGCACATTTCACAGCTTCCTGAGTCTGTCTCTGCAACATAGTTGTGATTTTTTCTTTTTCAACAGATGGGGTCTTGCTCTGTCACCCAGGCGGTGGGGCAGTGGCACAATCATAGCTCACTACAGCCTTGAACTCCTGGGCTCAAGCAATCCTCTTGCCCCAGCCTGCTGAGTAGCTAGGATTACAGGTGCATGCCACCATGCCTGGTTAATTCTTTCTATTTTTGAGAGATGGGATCTCACTACATTGCCCACATTGTTCTCAAACTCTGGTCCCAAGTTGCTGGAATTACAGGCTTAAACCACCACACCTGTTTTGTAACCTGAGCGCCTCCAGACTTCTAGCCACATGTGCGATCTCAATGGATTCTGGCGTAGTCTCTCTCTCCCCTAGGGTCAGGCAAGATATCATCATTTGTCATACATACATATACAGCGTCTATCAGATTCTCTCACAAAAAGCCCTCATGAATAGATATATACTGGGGTGGCTGCCATACCCTGAATCCACTTTAGACCCCTTTAGGAATTCATCTGAGCACCTTCTAAATGGAAGTCCACAAGAGGCATAAAGGTGGCCTCACTACACCATGGTTGAGTGAGTGGACCTGCTCCCAGTGTGATCACCGTATGTGGTCCCAGGGTCCCTCCCTCTCACCAAAGGGCCTTTGGGCTAGGAAAGCAAATTTCTCTTAATGTAACTCTTAGAAATTCATAAATCAAAGACAAGTTTCCTTCTCTTAATGTAACTCTTAGAAATCCATAAACCTGTTACCAGTTGAACATCCTAATCCCAAAATCTGAAACCCAAAATGCTCCAAAATTTGAAACTTTTTGAGTGCCCATATGATGCTCAAAGAAAATGCTTACTGGACATTTTGGATTTTGGATTTTCAGATTAAGGATGCTGAACTGGTAAGTATAATGCAAATATTCAGAAATCTGAAAAAGTCCAAAATACCCCTGGTCCCAAGCATTTTGGATAAGTGATACACAAGCTATAATAAAATTATTTTTATTTTTATTTCTTTATAAACAGGGTCTCGCTCTGTCACCCAGGCTGGAATGCAGTGGTGTAATCAGAGCTCACTGTAGCCTCAACCTTCTAGGCTCAAGTGATCCTCCTGCCTCAGCCTTCTGAGTGTCTGGGCATACAGGAGAGTGCCACCACACCCAGCTCCTGTGATAATATTAGAGAATTAAATAATTCAATTAACAAGATTAGTAGATACTTGAGCAAAATTTGGGCTTTGCCAACATGGAAGACAGGGCATGACTATTAGGTAGGCACAAAAAAATGCCTGCTACAATTCCCTGTATATATTTAAATTATTTCCACAATAAAATATATTGCCTACATGATTAAAGAAGGAAAGAAATAAAGGTAATGAATATGAGGGGAAAATGGAAATATAAAACTAAGAAGTGATGTCATATTTTGAGGTATTTGAGAAGACATGCTGGTAAAATAAACAGACTAATTTGCTAAAAGCCAATTCAATGATTGACCAATTCACCACATTTACTTGCTCCTTTTACTTATTTACAAGGTTTTTGGCAATTCATACTGGATGGTATTCTTTTAACAGTTTTTGAACATTTCTGCAAAATATTTGTTGGCCAGTATTCCTTTATATCTGTATAACAGCATTTTAAGGAATATTCAATCTGTCTCAGCCCAGTTAGTTAGAAGACAGGGTATATGTAGAAGAAAAATATTCACAAGATAAATAAAAAATAAATCAGTAAGAAAAAGGCAACCCAATTGAAAAATGGAAAAAGAATGTTAACAGGCTGTATTAGTCTATTTTCACACTGCTGATAAAGACATACCCAAGACTGGACAATTTACAAAAGAAAAAGGCTTAATGGACTTATAGTTCCACATGGCTGGGGAGGCCTCACAATCATGGCTGAAGACAAGGAGGAGCAAGTCACGTCTTTCATGGATGGCAGCAGGCAAAGAGAGCTTGTGCGGGGAAACTCCTCTTATAATACCATGAGATCTCATGAGACTTATTCACTATCAAAAGAACAGCATGAGAAAGACCTGCCCCCATGATTCTATTACCTCCCACCAGGTCCCTCCCACAACACATGGGAATTCAAGATGAGATTTGGGTGGGGACAAAGAGCCAAACCATATCATTCCACCCCTGGCTCCTCTCAAATCTCATGTCTTTATATTTCAAAACCAATCATCACTTCTGAACAGTCCCCCAAAGTCTTAACCCATTTCAGCATTAACTCAAAAGTCCACAGTCCAAAATCTCATCTGAGACAAGGCAAGTCCCTTCTACCTATGAGCCTGTAAAATCAAAAGCAAGTTAGTTACTTCCTAGATACAGTGGGAGTATAGGCATTGGGTACATACAGCTGTCCCAAATGGGAGAAATTGGCCAAAACAAAGGGGCTGCAGGCCCCATGCAAGTCCGAAATCTAGCAGAGCGGTAAAATCTTAAAGTTCTAAAATGATCTCCTTTGACTCCATGTCTCACATCTGGGTCACGCTGATGCAAGAGGTGGGATCCCATGGTCTTGAACAGCTCCACCCCAGTGGCTTTGCAGGGTATAGCCTCCTTCCTGGCTGCTTTCACAGGCTGGCGTTGAGTATCTGCAGCTTTTCCAGGTGCACAGTGCAAGCTGTTGGTGGATCCACTATTCTGGGGTTTGGAAGATGGTGGTCTTCTTCTTACAGCTCCACTAGGCAGTGCTGCATTAGGGACTCTGTGTGGGGGCTCCTACCCCACACTTCCCTTCTGCACTGCCCTAGCACAGGTACTCCATGAGGGCCCTGCCCCTGCAGCAAACTTCTTCCTGGACATCTAGGTGTTTCCACACATCCTCTGAAATCTAGGCAGAGGTTCCCAAACTCCCAATTCTTGACTTCTGTGCACTCGCAGGCTCAACACCTTGTGGAAACTGCCAAGGCTTGGGGCTTGCACCCTCTGAAGCCACAGCCCAAGCTCTACATTGGCCCCTTTCAGCCACAGCTGGAGTGGCTGGGACACGGGGCGCCAAGTCCCTAGGCTGCACACAGCACAGGGACCCTGGGCCTAGCCCATGAAACTACTTTTTCCTCCTAGGCCTCCAGACCTGTGATGGGAGGGCTGCCATGAAGACCTCTGACATGCCCTGGAGACATTTTCCCCATTGTCTTGCAGATTAACATTTGGCTCTTCATTATGTAAATTTCTGAAGCGGGCTTCAACTTCTCCTCAGAAAATGGGATTTTCTTTTCTAACGCATTGTCAGGCTGCAAATTTTCCAAACTTTTGTGCACTGCTTCCCTTATAAAATTGAATGACTTTAACAATGCCCAAGTCACCTCTTGAATGCTTTGCTGCTTAGAAATTTCTTCCACCAGACACTCTAAATCATCTCTCTCCATTTCAGAGTTCCACAAATCTCTAGGACAGGGGCAAAATGCTGCCAGTCTCTTTGCTAAAACATAAGAGTCACCTTTGCTCCAGTTCCCAACAAGTTCCTCATCTCCATCTGAGACCACCTCAGCCTGGATTTCATTGTCCATATCATTATCAGCATTTTGGTCAAAGCCATTCAACAAGTCTCTAGGAGGTTCCAAACTTTCCCACATTTTCCTATCTTCTTCCAAGCCCTCCAAACTGTTCCAATCTCTGTATGTTACCCAGTTCCAAAGTCACTTCCACATTTTCAGGTATCTTTTCAGCAATGCCCCCACTCTACTGGTACCAATTTAATGTATTAGTTCATTTTCACACTGCTGATAAAGACATAGCTGAGACTGGGCAATTTACAAAAGAAAGAGGTTTAGTGGACTTACAGTCCCACATGGCTGGGGAGGCCTCACAATCATGGCTAAAGGCAAGGAGGAACAAGTCACATCTTACATGAATGGCAGCAGGCAAAGAGAGAGCTTGTGCAGGGAAACTCCCCTTATAATATCATCAGATCTCATGAGACTTTTTTCACTATCATGAGAACAGCATGGAAAGACCTGCCCCCATAATTCTATTACCTCCCACCAGGTCTTTTCCACAGCACATGGGAATTCAAGATGAGATTTGGGTAAGGACACAGCCAAACCATATCACAGGTAATTACATAGTCAGAAACACAATTGGACAACCAACATATGACAGCATTTTCAACATTACTAGTATTCAAAAAAATACTAAATAAAGTAGCAGTAAGATGTTTATTTTCACAAAGCATATTATCAGATAGTTAAAGAGTAATAGGGTTATTGAAGGTATTTCTGAGATCAAGTCTTTTTGTTGAGTTTAATGTTGATGTGCATGTAAATTGGTACAGCATTTGTGGTAGGCAATTTGGCCCCCTTATCAACATTAAAATGCTTGTGATCACTTTGAGGTAGTAGGGAGCTGGGGAAGAGTGGGAGGGGCTAGGGGAGTGGACACAATGGGAGGTACTAAAGGACTGGAATGTAAAGGGGGGGATGTGTGGGGCCAGGAGGGATTTGGAAGAACCAGGATTGATTGGAGGAGGGGGAGAGGAGATAAAAGGCACTTAGAGGGACTGGTGGAAAAAAAACAAGAGAGATTGGAAACAACTGAAGAAACTTAGAGGGACAGGAAGAGAAGGGGTGGGACTGGCAGGGACTACACATGTAAAATGGAAACAACTGGCATTCAGCAAATTGACCTACAGCCACTGGCAAATGGGACCTGTTCACATTGACCAGGGTCCTTCAGGAGAATGAGATTTGTTAGCAAACAGGAAACAGTGATTTTCAGAGTGGTACTAACTGTGCTTTGCAGAGTTCTTTTACTTCCTGTTATCTTGACTCTATTATTACCTTGTATTTTGCTTCTACAAAGCAGCCTGAGCTCTTTGAAGACTCCTTAGTCTAAAGCCTCTGATGGCCAATGGTCTGCATCTTTCCCATGTGCTCCTGAGGTACAAAATGGACATTTCAGCTGCTTTTAATAGAAACTCACTGTGTCACTCATAAAACTCAGGAAGCTGTCCCAAATCCTGGGAGGACATGAAAAGAGGCTCACTCTGTAGTCAAGCACAGGTATGCCTAAGGTGTGCAGGTCCCAAGACTCTCCCACTTCTCTCTTAGTTTGGAGTGGGCATTCTTTTAAGAAGTGGAGGACCCTGTGGTCACTGGCTTCCTTAGTGGTGAATCATAGGGCAATCAGAGAGCAGGAATCTGCAAAGGGGCGCTGTCATGTGCTGAATTGTATCTCCTCAACATTTATAGATTGAAGCCCTAGCCTCCAGTATCTCAGGATGTGACAGTATTTGGAGGTGGGGCTTTTAAAGAGGTGGTTAAGTTAAAATGAAGCCATTAGAGTGGTCCTTAATCCAATATGACTGGTCTCCTTATAAGAAGAAACTTGTACACAGAAGAGATACACAAGGGACATGGAGGCACAGAGAAAAGCCCATGTGAAGAGGCAGCAAAAGAGTGGCCATGTGCAATCCAAGAAGAGAGGCCTCAGAGGAAGCCAGCCCTGCCAACACTTTGATCTTGAACTTTCGGGTTCCAGACTGTGAGAAAATAAATTTTTATTGTTTAAGCCACCCAGTCTATGGTGTTTTGTTATGACAGCCCTACCAGAGGCTTGAAAGCCTAAAGGCTTAGGGTCCTGGGAAAATAAAAGTTAATTCAGGTCCTCCAGTTAACTGTTATTAGGAACTATTTGAAAATACCTTCTTTAAGTATAGAAGAGGCCCCTGCTACACTCCCATACACATTTTTACTTATTGTTTAGGAAGTGTGGAGCTTGCTGTTACACTGCCCTAAAAGTTCCTGGGTTGAGCCGGTTGCCAATAGTAAGTTGGTAAAGAAAAATAGGGATGTCTGGCCAATTAGGCTGGGTCTTTCAGTTATCATAGCTTCTACCCCTGCTGAAGGATTAGTCTTGGGCTTTGTAGATTCAAAAAAAATTTCAGTTCAGGCCTAAGTAAGTAATTTACATACTAGTTCTAAGTAATTAATTGGAACTCACTGGTTAACAATGAGAACCATATTTTTCAAGAATACTGAACTATTCATGGTAGACTAGTCCTAAAAAATCTTTCCCATTAGGAAGAGCTAAGTGAAGACAAAAAAAAAAATTTACCTTGGAAGGATCCTTGTGACCCTTGTCCCACTGAAAGATCACTTCCTCAGGAATGCTTTCTCTCAGCTTCCTGGGGAGCATTAGATTGCCTCTGCTCTGAGATCCCAAGGAACCTTCTGTCAGAAACCTCAACCCAGTTTTTTAATTAGTTGAGTATAAGCCTGCATTTTTCCCATTAGACTGTGAGCTCCAAGAGGAAAGGGATTGTGTCTTACCTATCAAGTTATATTAATAGTATCTAGATTTTAAAAGGAGGCTGAGAACAGTGGCCCACACCTGTAATCCCACCACTTTGGGAGGCCGAGATGGGCAGATCACTTGAGGTCAGGAGTTCAAGACCAGCCTGACCAACATGGTGAAACCCCATCACTGCTAAAATATAAAAATTAGCTAGGCATGGTGGTGTGTGCCTGTAGTCCCAGCTACTTGAGAGCCTGAGGCAGGAGAATCACTTAAACCTGGGAGGCGAGGTTACAGTGAGCCAACATGGCACCACTGCACTCCAGCCTGGGCAGCAGAGTGAGACTCCATCTCAAAAAAATAACATAATAAAATAAAATAAACAGGAGAATGAATGAATGAATGAAATTATGATAGTCCATGTCTATAGGACATGGCTTCCAAATGGACAGAAGATCAGTCAATCATCCATCCATCCATCCCGCCAGTGCTGATGACACGGTGATAAATCCTTATTCCCTAGCTTTTCCAGACTCTTCAAGGATAATCACTCTTCTACAGATAGTTATTTGTCCTGTACCCTTCTGTTTTGTCTGAATTAACAAATAGTCTTTTCCCTGATTGTATTCACAAAGAGGCCCCTTACTCTCACCACAAAACTATCTTCAAATCGCAACACAGCATGAAAAATTTCTGGGAGAGCCTTCTAGAAGAAACGTGTTCTCCATAAACTATGATGCCTGTGATCTATAGTCCCTGATCTGGCCTCCAGGTGTTTAACCCATCTCAGTTTTGGGTTTGCTCACCTCTGTCCACTGACTGTGCTTCCTACACATTCTGAATGGGCTATTACACCCCCAACTCCAATTCTTCAGGTTAGAGATTTGAGTGTGGTCATGAAGATTGATGGATATCAGTTAAGCAAAGGACATTGCGTAAATATTGAGCCTGGGAAAGCCAGGGACTTGAGCTCAATTTTTAGAGGTCAAAAATCATAAAGAAATCTGAAATTCAAGAAGCTGATTCCTAGGCAAGTGCAGACATCCAAGGGTTTCATGTTTCCTGTTAGGGCAGGCCTGGAGGCCTCAGTATAGATGAGCCTGAGCCTAAAGATGTGGATGCTTATATGGTCTTGCTGAGCTAAGAGAAAGATAAAAAAGGGACACAACCTCAGACTAGTTAAAAGTTGAAGGGGTAGGTTCTTTGGGCTCTGGTATTCCAAAGAAACTAGCCAAACTTGGCAGATTCAAGTTTAAACATTGTCTTTTTCTTTGTATAATCCCTATCTACATTCCAGTTGATTTTTCAACATGCCCCCTGCATGTTGCTGAATTTTAAGCTTCATGAGGGCATGTTCACTGCTGTGTCCCCAGCACCATCACCTAGAACAGTGGTAATCAACAAGCATTTGCTGAATCGATCATCAACAGATGTATATATGGGTAGATGGATGTATGAACAAATCTGTTTCCAATCCATTGTACAGTGCATACTCCTGGTCCCCATGATGATTTGTGATTCTCTCTGTGATAGGTCCCTTTGTCCAGCCATCTGCCTCTTGGTAGCTCTGAAGGCCCTTAGTCATTTGGCTCAAAATCCCTAGCTTTGGAGACTAGCTTCTTATTAACTAAGCCATTGCACCACTTGTTCTTGTAGCCTTAAATTAATTTGAGTTAATTCTTAACTGTTTCCCTTCTGTACGTGTGTCATTTAATGGTTTTCCTTTATCTGATTTTCCCCAATTCTTCCTGTGCATTTGTGGTTGTCCACAGAAGCCCTCTAGCCAAGGCCTCGGGCAGCCCTACCAAATGAATATGGGCACTTGAGTTTTCTAGGAGGGCTTTCCTGCTGCCCTGGGTCTCATCCAACTGGTATCCATCTAAACATTCCCACCCAGGGTTATTCATGCTAGAGGAAGAAGAATGCCCTTTCCAGAGCCAGTTCTTGGGGAAAAGAGGAACTGTTGATATAGCCAGAGCCCGAAAAGAAGATTACTCTGCAACAGCTAAAGGTTGGTGACATACTTTTTCTCCAACTTAGTGAAAGCTCTCTATGTTTGCTTTCCTTCTCATGAATTCCATTAGTGTATTTTCTCTAAATGACCCTTGGAACAGATAGGAAAGATTTTAAATCAATAGAATAAGCTTCATGGAGACCAAGAGTTTATCTATTATTGATTCCCCAGCATCTAGCGTAGTGCCTAACATGTTGATGCTCAATAAATCATTGATGAAGAAAGAAAAGAAAGACAGGTGGAAAGGAGGGCAGAAGAGAAAGAAAAAGGGTTTGGAGAATAGGTATGAATGTAAAAAGTGTTAATGTATTATTCAGAAATCATGTGACGATAACAGTCTTGTTTTCAAAGTAATTGGGTATATTATCCCTGCTATCTGGAGTCAATAAAGCAATTGAAGTTACTTTGTAAAATGAAGAGTGTATTTATAAAGATAAAATAATAGCAGACAAGCAGAATAACAACAAAAAAGGTATTCTTTGAAACTTAGGTTTAAACAGTAGTGATCATATATTAAGATAAATTCAAAACTCTGTAACATTAACAGCCGTTTGTTCTGTGTCTATGCCAGTTTTCAAAAGCAAACTAAAACAGTGAAGAACTTTATTTTGGTGTACAAACAGATGTCTTATGGATAAATGCAAGCTGATCATGGTGGTGATAGAATTGACTGCAACTGGTCCATTTGATATTTAGAAAAGGTCAACTAATCAGGAATGATACACTGAGGAAATTTACAAATATCTAACCTTCCTGCCATTTAGTAAAATTAACCACACAGTAATTTAGCAAAGGCTCAAAAATATTTAATTGTGTGTCAAGGAAAAACATTTCAGTGCAGGGGGAATAAATTAAGAAAATTAGCATTTTTTTAGTATCAGTCTTTCATTTATTTGAGATCATACATTGACACACTTCAGGTCCAGCAAGCCAACTTTAAATGACATACACTGTTCATTGCAAAAGAACCCACCTAAAGTGGAGATAGAAGGGGAGTAATTAAACATAGTTTGTACAGAGTCAGGCTGTTAAGACTAAGGGATTCTTTCTTCAGCAACCCGGGTAGCAACACATATTAAAGTTCTCAAGGTTAGGAAAAGTCACTATATTTGTATACTTCCTTAATTTGGGGAAAATAAAATGTAACCTAGGAGAAAATATAAAAACATCTCCAAGGCAAATTCAGAAAAATCTTCCTTTTAACACCAGCTTTGCAAAGATTGCATTAGTGAAGCATAGAGTTTGGTGAGTTGAAGTGTTTGCTAGACTAATTGAGACTACCATGATTAACACAACTGTAAAAAAGACAAACCAACAAACAAACACTCTTGATAATTTAAGCAGACGATGGCTGGTGACTAGCAAAACAAATAAATATACATCTTAGCTGCTGTGGGTTGTTCCTAAAGTTATAATAAGATGATTAAGGTTTTACCTGTGCGATCAATTTTACTTGTGAAACTGACTAATGAAAGTGTTCAGAGTCCCACACTTCAGCCAGTATAATTTTTGCCCCATCTTTTAACCACTTGTGCTGCCATTTAACATGTTTTTTCTTTAATTAAAAAAAAAGTAACAACATTTTTTAAACTTAGTGGATATTGCTATCTAAAATCATCTCGAAGAGGCATTCTTTGGAAAACATGTCAATACCAAAGTAATAACAATAATAATGATAAGTTAAGACTATTTCAAAGTAATTCTATGAGATAGAGACATACTGGTAGAGAAGAAATCAGAATCCTTAGAGCTCATGGGAAAATGTTGAGGTAAATCATATGCTCAGATTACAGTTTGCTCTTTGCAGCTTTATTTAAGAAGCAAGTTAATGTTTACATGACATTGAATTTCAAAGTCCAGGCAATAAGGAGGAAAAGAGAATGAGAGAAAAACAGTTAATGTGCTTTGCCTCCTTGCTCCTCCCAACCCATGGAGAGGCATGGGGGTTGCAGGGGAGCAGGGTGGGGGACAGGAAATGGCCACTGGAGGGAACAAAAGCAGGGGGGTTAAGGTTTTATCTTATCAGAGTGCAATAATGTTTTATTAAATTGTAAAAATTTATTGTGCTAAGATACAAGTACTATGTTTCCTAACTCACATGACAGTTATTCTTGTTAGAGTTTCAGTATCTTTAAATAATAATCCTCTTTTCTACAGTCTTGGTGTGAAACTCTGTGCCTTAATTCTCTTTGAAGTGATCCAATCTCTGATCATGTTGTGTTTTTTTACAATGATACTCTTGGTTTACAGGAACAAAGTGTTGTTTTTGGAACAAAGTAGGACTTTATTTATCTATAATACAATGAAAAGATCCTCTGCATCATTATTCTTTTCAAGTACTTCCTTTCCAATTCCTCCCTCTTGAGGGGGGTGGTGTCATTATTCCTGACTTTGCAGTTAGGCCAGGCTCGTTTGTGGCACCAGTAGAACAAAGGGTGAGGCTTTGCCAGATGGACCCCTGGACAAGGAGGCATCCTTCTAGGCCTGCTTCGAAGGGGACCTCCATGCCCGAAGGGAAGTCATTTTACCTGCATTTTAAAATCTTGTGATGTAGTTTTTTTGAGGTGTTTGTATTTAGATACATTTAGAAATATTAAGTCCCATAAAAGGTCCCTGTAAAGTCAGGCTCTATAGTTGACAGGCCTGTGTGTTCTTAAAAGGGTGTCTGAAAGAAAGGAAAAGAAGCTGAAGAGATGTTCTCTTCAAATGAAAAGGCAGGGTGAGATTTAAAAAGCTGACTGCCTCTTTCCTCAAGAAGGTGGGGCATAACTCCATACTCCTTAAGTGTGGGCCACACATAGACTTCCTTCCAAAGAGTACAGCATGGAAAGGGGGAAAAAGAGAAATCTGACAAACACTATCTTAGCCAGGCGATCAAGGTCAATATCAACAGTGATGATGTTGATGGTCTGTACCTTGATATGATGTGACAGGAACAGCACCTTACCTCTGCGGTCTTCCTCCCCCAAACCCATGACCCCAGTCCAACCGTGAGAAAAATGTCAGACTAAAATTGAAGAAAATTCTATAAATACTTGACCAGCACTTCTCAAAACTGTCTGGGTCATCAAGAAAACAAGGAAAATGTGAGAAACTGTCAAAGCCCAGAGGAGCCTAAGGAGACGTGACAACCAGATGGAATGTGGTCACCTGGATGCTTCCTTAGAACAGAAAAAGGACACTAGTTAAAAACTAAGGAAACTGAATAAAGCTTGGACTTTAGTTAATGATACTATATCTGTATTGGCCTGTTAGTTGTAAGAAATGCACCACACTAATGTAATACATGAATAATGGAGGAAACTGGGTAATGGGTATATGGGAATTCTTTGTACTATCTTGTCAACTTTTCTCAAAATCTAAAAACTACTGTAAAATAGAAAGTTTATTTTAAAAATATATAAAGCTAATTGCCAGGGAAACGACTGGTTGGAAAGCTACTGAGACTCTGTGTCTTCCAATCTTTCCTGAAAACCCTTGAGAAATTTTATAACCACATGCAGAACTAGGTCATGCCTCTGGTGGCTGCTGCACCAAGATTAATGGGGAAAGATTCTGGTTGTATAGTCTAATGCTTGAAGTTCAAGATGGGAAAGCCAGGAGAAAAGGTAAGGTAATTCATCATTTTACATAATATATTCATCATTCATTCGTTCGCACGCCGCTGCACAGAAACAGTGACACCCTCTCTTCCAGTTCACCTTCTCCCAGTCTCCTTCATGGACTTCTCTGTCTATCCATGCTTAAAGGTGGTGTTTTTCATACAATTTCATGTGCATAATACCCGACATTTTTCTGTCCTCAGCCTCATCTACCACTTATTTGCCAATGACTCTCAGATCTAGAGATAGATCCACTTGTCTACAGCCATCCCCATTTGAATATCCCACATGCACAGCACATCTGCAATGGCACTTAGCACCTCCTCAAAACTTGTTGAAGCCACTACTCTTTTCTTAATCTCTCTTTCTGTGAATGATGTCACCACCCCCTCATTTACTCAAATCAGAAACTCAACCTGAACTTCTTGTCCATCCCAGAAATCCCCTCAGCTACCAAACTGTGCACACTCTACCTCCTAAATGTTTCCTGGGTCTAGGCCCTTCCCTCCAACCTCAGCACCTTAGCCAGCTTCTTATCATGTCTCATCACAGAGCCCCTACCTGGACTCCTCCAGCCCCTGGGTAACCCCCACACTCCCCACACAGAGCGTCTCTAAAACACAGCCCAACCACACCACTCCTGTGCTGACAACCCTCCAAGGCGCTCTGTCACCCCTGGAATGCAGCCAGGCTTCTCTGCCTGGCACACAAGGCCCTTCTTTCCCCTCTTGTCATTCCCTCCTCATCTCCTTTCATGTTCCCAAACGCACCTTCTGCTCCCACCAAACTACTGGGGATTCCCTTTCCCAATTTTTCCCATGTCCTACTCCTACTTGGTCTTCAAAATTCAACCCAAGCTCTCTTTGGGAGCATTCCCTGAGCCCTCCAGGCCTCCTCCTGAGTGCTCCCATAGGTGCTCCTCCCCTACCTGTCTCCCCGTCCCCCAGTCGTGCATAGCTCTGCCATTGCTCTCATTCTTTCATCCAATAATTGGCTAGTCTGAATACTACAAATACAACAGCGAACAAGCCACAAAAGAAAAAAACCCCGCCTCCTTGGAGCTTTTACTCTCTGCACACTAGTTTTCCTGTCTTTTCCCCTTGAAGGTGAGAACCATCCTTTATATGCTTCTTAAGCACTTAGCATAGTGCCCAGCACATGGCCAGTGCTCAAAAATATAGATGAGTATGTGAAGGAAGGTCCCTGACTGTGTTCCTCCCATCCTTCATGCCATTCAACGAAAGGAATTAGAGAAATGCCTTCAACATGCTCAGGAAAAATAACTTCGATACATCACTCCATCCCTTCCCACATCCTTCTCCCAGCTTAATTTTATTTCCCTCGGAGCGGCACACGTTTAATGACTCGTGACTGTACATCCTTCTTTGAGGGTCTCCACTTGCCTCTGGAAAGAATAATACTGCCACAAGCAGAGTATTATACATGCTACTTGTTTGTTTTTAATTTTAACAATCAACGTATATAAGCACAAAGAATTATATTTCTAGGGCAAGACATACAAGTTATAAAACGTGGTGCCATGTAGCAGTGATATTAAGGGACCCAGAGGTTAGGGACAGGGGAGGAGAGCAGAAATGGAAGGTTAATTTTCTCATCTTGTAAAATGGAAGTTTCCAGATACTGCATTACATTTATGTGTCAATAACTAGAATCCTATATTTCAACCTCTATTGCTTTTCATTGTACAGCTTTTGGTACTGTTTGGATTTTTTTTTAATTAGAAAATTTTAGAAAACTCGTTGGAATAGAAAAATAATGAAGGGTGGTGAGGCACGGTGGCTCACGCCTGTAATCCCAGCACTTTGGGAGGCCAAGGTGGGTGGATTGCTTGAGCCCAAGAGTTCAAGACTAGCCTGGGCAACATAGTGAGACCTTGCCTCTATAAAAAAATTTATATATCTACATATATTGTATATATATATCACATATAATTTATATACATTTATTTATGTATGCATGTATTTTATATATATAAAATAATGAAGGAGAGATGACATATTTATTGTGGAAGAAAGGTGGCACAGTCACCAGGAGGTTCTTTGAAGAGTTCCTTCCTCTGGAGTCATGATGGGCACTGGGAGGTGTACGTGTCCAGTGTTGACTATAGCCAGTGGCCTCAGGGAGTGTGTCTGGTCCAGCTTTCAGCTGACAGCTTTCTCATCAGTGCTGGGTCACTGGCTGCAGCTGCAATTAATGCGCTCTCCTGACTAAGGGTACCATGGAACGTCCTCTGCCTTTGCCCCCCAGAGCCTTGGGAACAGATTCCTGGAAATTCTGAGCAAGGTGCTAGCAAGTCCATTGCAACCCACTCACCAGAAAGCCTTCCTCCACTGATGGGGGATGTACGGTGGCTGTCTTTGTCCCTCTGTGTCCCTTTTCTGATGATGTCATTCTCAGCCACCCTGTGGAGTTGTTGGAAAGAACACAGCCTCTGAAACCAGAGGACCAGGATGAGAGGGTGTTCAGGCCCTCCCTTGTTCAGGGACCTTGTGTCAGACACTCAGACTCTTTATGCTTCTGTTCTTGCCACCCTGCCCAAATGCACTGCTGTGGTTTGAATGCTCCCCTCAAAATTCACGTGGAAACTTAATCCCCAATGGGGCAGTATTGAGAGGTGAGGCCTTTAAGAGTTGATTGAATCATGAGGGCTCTGCCCTCAAAAGTGGATTAATCCATTCATGGATTAATGGTTAAAGGGTTATCACAGGAGGGGAACTGGTGGTTTTACAAGAAGAGGAAGAGAACCTCGCCATGCGATGCCTTGTGCTACCCCAGGACTCTGCAGAGAGTCCCCACCAGCAAGAAGGCTCTCACCAGATGTGACCCCTCAACCTGGAACTTCCTGGCCTCCATAACTAAAGGAAATACATTTCTTTCCTTATAAAATACCCAGTTTTAAGTATTCTGTTATAAGCAACAGAAAACAGACATGTACTTTCCCCATGTCTCCAGATCCTTATAATGATCAAAGAGAAGATATATGTAGAGTTCCTCTGTCAGCTCAAATATTATTACTAGCAGCATCTCTTTGAACTTTTGCTTATAAGATCTTCAATTCCAACTCCATCTCATGAGTCATGACATCAACTCTAAATATCTCATTTACTCTTCTGTTGAAGCATGCACTATGCAATGTGTGACACAGGTGAACGTGTACCTTATGGAATAACATGCCTAAGAGCTCTGGGGTGATTGGGCAAAGTCCTTGGTTATGTTCCCACCTGGAGAATCTATTTCACTCTAGGCAACTACTGGACAAATTCAGGCTACTGATTATGTAGGAGAGAGAGACAGAGACAGAGCTGGCTAGCCCTAATATGTCACCATCAAATTGTGTCCAGTGAGGGAATGTCTTACACTGTCGTCCCCATGGAAGTCTGTAGCCTGAGTACAGCTTTCACCTGTACAGCACTGATGTTTATGCCTGCTTCAAGAATGACTGTGTTTGGGTTGTTTTTTGTTTTTTGTTTTTTTTTTATTGCTCACACACAAATGAGAAGGAATTACTGTATTTTTGTGTAGGTGTTTGTGTTCACTTTGCTGGTTTTAGGAGAGACTTCAACATGGGGCCATTCTTCTCTGTATTCCTTAGGCTGCAAGTGTGTCATAGTAAGCTGAGGCTGAGCCTGAGGCTGGGAGAGAGTTAAGGTGTTTCCCATTCATGGGTTTGAGCAGAAGAGGAAAGATCTGAGAAGCGCTGACCGAGCCAGGAAGCTGCTTTCACCAGCCGATGAACAAGTGTCTGGTGATCATGCATCTGTGCTTGGACAGGATTCTTCTGGGAAGGCCTGTGAGTCAGGGCCCCTGGGAGTCCTCGGCTGGGGACTTCAAATGAGTCACTGTGCTTTCTGATGCCTGACAAATAAGTGGAAGATAATGCACTTGCCTTCAGTCTGGAAGACGTGTGACCCTTTGGGGAAGAGGGTCAGCAGCGGGGAATTGTGTCACCAACGTTTCTTTTTCTGACCCTTGGCCTTTCCTGCAGATCCACGTCAAACACCATAACTGAGCAGCTTGATGTCTCATTTTTGTGCTTATCTTGTTTTTCATCCTAATACTTTTTTCCTAAGTTGAATCATTCAGGGCTCTTGATGGCCTCTGAAATGAGTTGAATTTTCCTAGCCTGTCATTCAAATTCTGGCCCCTTCCTATTTTCCCATTGAGAATGCCCTGCTACTCCAACCAAATTCATCAGCTGGCCATTCCCTGAGTGCACCCAGACAGTTCCACCCTTGCTCACATTTCTCCTCTTGTCTGTGTCTTGTCTACACACCCCTTCTCTTTTTATGTAAACCTATTGAAATTCTGCTCTAGTCCCACATACTGGGTGGCAGTGGCCCCTTCCCCAACTACTCTAGCACCTGGCAACTCCTCTCAGCTCTGAGCCCTGCAGCCCTAGCTGCACCTCCAAACTTGGCACAGGCTCTCACCCGGCCACCTCTCCTTTATGTTGGGGATGTGTCTTGTACTTTGCTGTATTTCCAGAGCTTGTCAGGGGCTATAATATGTAATGGGTGCTCCATGATATTTGCTGTAGATAAGGATGAAACGATCTGCCGCCCTGAGCAATGCCCTGAATGCTTGTTCCTGGCGCCCTTGGCTTCTAGAAGAGCCTGCAGATGGAGTGGGGGAGGGATGCCGAAAGAAGAAACCCAGAGGGCAGCTCTGCTTATATATCTTCTGTACTGAGGTTTCAAGTAACATTAGCTTAAGAAAAAAGATTCTGTGCTGAAAATTTGAAAACTACTGGAAACTATTGTTATTGTTTCTACACCTAATTGATAAACTAGGGGAAATTCATACCCGACATTCAGTGGCACAGAGAACTCATCAGAAAAGGAAGGATACAGAACAAGTGTGGGCATTTTACATGGCACCAGGAAAAAAATACCTGTCCTGTAGAAAGGGGTTTCTTAAACAATGAACTTGCCAAGACCATCTAAATTCTAGAAGTTTGCATTTTGGGTCTCAAGAGGTCACAAGTGATTGAAGCTCCACAGTGAGTTCTACAAGGGGTTGGAGATCTGGCTCCTTTGTAAAATCCTTAGCAGGCCTTTGAGGGCCCCAGGGGACAGTGTAAAGCCCAGACTCATTGTTTGCTCCGGTAAAGCCTTGTTCGGATACAGGAGACAGAAGCCAATGCCAACTGGCTCAGTTAATAGGGGACTGGGGTTGGTGTGAGGTTATAGGTAAAGGAGACCTAGGACAGCAAGTCAGACTCAGCCAGGCCCAGGAAACCAGCACGGGAGAGTCACTCACATGGTTGGTTGCTCACTCCAGGCCCACTTCATCCCTGCTTCTGTCTGCCTGTCTCTGCTTGACATCTACCAGCCCAGAGTCCACAAGACCTCATGGCTCCAAAGCCTGCTGCTATCTGGATGGCCAGCCACAGATGGCCTGCCACTCAGATCACATTTGTGAGATGGAGGCTCAGGTTGACCAGGCACAGCCCCTGCTGGGTCCACTCCATGCCTAATCAGTGAGAGGAAGGGGTTACCACAGGATCAAGAAGCACCAACAGGGCTGGCTGCAGAGGGTGGACAAGTAGAGCCCAGGCTGCCAAGACAAGGGCAGTGTGGGTGGGGAAAGAGTGCCCAGCCTTGCATTGACCCCTTGCCTAGCACCCTCATGGACCCAGAGACATCTGGCCCTGCAATTTGTTGGGTTTTGGAGCACACACTCACTGTGTAAGCACAGTAATATTGCAGTGGATATTTTCATAGCCAGCTTCCACCAATGATTGTAAGTTCTTGCTTCCTCCTAGGGCTGCAGTCTAGTTTCTCCCTCACAGTGTGGATCTTACAGCTTAGGGTGGAATCTGGTTGGCCAATTTTTCAGCTTTGACAACATGGAAAGTCAGAAAATAGACTTTCATAAACAGTGTGGTTGCCTCTTACATAAAAGGTAGTGTCTAAAGTCAGCACACACAGGGAAATACATGGAATCAAAATGTCTCCTGAGAATCCTTTGAATCACCCATAAAGAATGGGACGCATACATCTCTCAGGAAGCCTAATATAGCCATTTTCTTCTAGCACTAGACAGACCATGTGTTTTTGGCTGACAACCAAGCAATGTGGTTGGTTTGCATTCAGGATCATGTTTAATGAAAAATCTTTAGATCCCTTCTCAGGTATTTAAAAGAAAAAAAAAAAAGCTATGTGCCAAAGAGGCCCATGGTAACCTAGAACCTCAGGGAAATGCAGGTTCTCTCTGAGGCATCTTCTCATGGGAATGTGAGGGGGGATGCTTTCAACATTAAATCGCCTCCCTGCCTTCCTTCTTTCCTCCCTCCCTCCATTTTTCCTTCCTTCCTTCCTTCTTTCCTTCCTTCCTTCCTTCCTTCCTTCCTTCCTTCCTTCTTTCCTTTCTTCCTTCCTTCCTTCCTTCCTTCTTTCCTTTCTTCCTTCCTTCCTTCCTTTCCTTCCTTCTCCCTTCCTTTCTCTCTGGGAAGGATATATTGTTAAATTGCCTTAGGTTAGCTGTACATGGGATGTCACCATAAGAGGACAGCACCCCTGTCTGTCCCTCTCCCCTTCTCGCACATGGGGATGAGATACTCTCTCAGGCAGGGACTGTCCTGTGGTCTGCAGTGCCTCTCCCTATACCTTCCCCAGCCCCCGGCACCACATATCCTAGCCCCCTGCATGCGCTACATCCTGCTGTAATGACCCCTGATTAACGAGTTGATTCTAACCCTGCTGTGCCCAGTTCCTCTACCTGAGAAGTGAGCTTTAACAAAGAAGGAGACAGGCTGCATAAAATTAAAACACCTGATTTTGAACAATTAGCTAGATATGGAAGGCTAATCTTTCAGATCATCTTTCTAAAAATGAAAAAATGGACTAGATCTCTGGTCCTTAAACTTGGCCATCCATCAGAATCACCTGCAGAGCACAGATTCTGGTTCAGTAGCTCTGGGGCAGGTCAAGAATCTGCATGTCTGACACTACCGCCTCTGCTGCCGACACTACCGCTTCTGCTGCCGTCACCACTGCCAGGTCTGCCCCACTCAATGCTGGTGCTACCGGTCAGCCAGAACCACACTGCATATCCCTGGAAAGGGTGCTTGGTTGGAAGGCCTTTGTGAGAGAAACAGCCTTAGTGTCCCTCGTGCATAAACTGAGGATAATAGTTGTCTGCTCGTGTTATGTAGATTTGTTGCGAGCACTAAATGACTTAATATTTGTAGTGTTTAGAACTGTGTCTGATACAAAGTAATGGCCATACAAGTGTTTTTAAGTAACAGTAATTTTTAGAGTCCCATGCCTATTATCCACAAGTAAACTCTAGTCTTATACCTCTAGAACAAATGAAATCAACTTCCTTAGATACAGCTGAAATCCTGGCCTGAGTTCAGCTGAAAGCCTGGGCTTAGATGGCTGGAAAACAAAATAAGAAGTGTGAATGTTCCTCATAACTTTTCCCAGCCCTGGAGCACAGATAACCTACAAGATCTGGACTGAATCTGCTGTTTCAGGCAGCATGATGCCCTGGGCTGGGCTGGAAGAGACAGGAACAGGCACAGGCCTTCCGTGGCTGCTGCCTTGGCCACTGATGGCACAATTATCATTCCCCACAACAGGGCCCAGCTAGCCTCAGATCACCTCCCAGAGGCACCTCTGCTGAACTCTCCATGACATGTTGGTCCCACCAGTTTCTATCAATCACATCCGCATGCTGTTTCATCACAATAGTAACCACTGTTTAAAATGACCTGATTTATGTGTATCTGTTTATTTATTATGCCTTCTCCACTAGAATGTAAGCATTTATGTCTCATCCTCTACTACACCCCAGCACCTAGCACAATGCTGACACATAGTAGAATGCTCAGTAAATATGTGTTGAATGTATGAACCACAAGTGTCAAAGGGTATGAAATTGAAGGGGAAAATATCATATATTCTTTTCATTTTGCCTGTCATCACCTTTCTCTCTCTTACTACTGTGAGTTGAAAGCTGCTTTCTAAGAGCCAGTAGTGTGAAGCAGACTACTAGCAGACTGAAAGCAGACAGTCCTGTGCTGGAACTGCTAACCATGGGAGAAGGGACCCTCCCAACTTTACTTGGAAGGCTCTCAGTCTTGCCTGACTGCTGGTCGATGGGACGTTTGTCTTAAAGTATCAGCAAAGTACAAAGGCACTGGCTGGTGCCTGGATGAGCTTTATTCTCAGAAATATTCACATACTCTAAATGGGAGATGTCAAACCCATGCCAATAGCTCCATTAAAACCCAGGCTTCCCACCAAGAGCAACTGGCATGGTTTTCTATTTGCTTCTCTTGACCATCAGTGATAAAATTTACTATTTTATATAGAGAGACAGAACATGTGTTGGGCATCTCAGTAGTTCAAACCAAAGACAGAAAAACACCTCTTACATGTATGTAATAGATTTTTTTAAATATACAGTTTTCCTTTTTTTAATTAATTCATTTATTTATTATAGAGATGGAGTCTCACTGTGTTGGCCAGGGTGGTCTTGAACTCCTGGCCTCAAGCAATCCTTCCACCTCAGCCTCCCAAAGTGCTGGGATTACAGGTGTGAGCTACCACACCTGGCAGTAATAGATGAATTTACTTGTACAACAAACACAAATTTTTGTGTTGTGCGGTTTCTCACTAGGGCCACGGTCGGCCTCTGGGCAGAGATACTATTATGTGGTGTGGGATTTTCCCACATGGTAGGACATTTAGCATCCCCCGTCCCTGGGGAACTAAATGCCAGTAGCCCCCAGGAGAATTTGTGACATCCAGAAAATGCCCCCAGGCATTTCCAAACACCTTCTGATGGGTGAGACTGCCCATTTGAGAATCACTAGGCAGGGAAAAGTAAATTCCTTCATTTTACTTCAAATGGGGTGTGTTAGCATCATCTTGCTTGAGCAGCTTTAAAAAAATAGTTTCTAATTACGTACATAACACATTCTCTTTGCAAACAAATCCTATAGATAAAGCTGAAGTCTCCTTTGACGCCCACTTCCAGTTCTAGTCACTCCCCGCTTCTCTGAGGAAGTGAGAGTAACTGACATGGTTTCTACCTTCAAGACCCTTTGCTTTATGTTTATATACAGATGTAGGAACCTGCATACAAGTATAACGGAGTGTTGTTGGTGTGTGTTTGTGCTGTGTATTTCATCTGCAACTTGAATTTTTTACTCCACAATACCTGTTGAAGGTCTTTCCATGTCCAAACACGTAGAAATGCCTCATCCTACAGCCGAGTAATATGTAATGACTGCACAGCATTTTATCATGTTGATGGGCCTCTTAGCAAAGAGCTGCAAAGGAAATCAATTCCCTGGATGAGGCGTTGCCTGTGGTCTGGTCACAGGACCAAATTAGACAAAAGCTGAGGTCATTTTGAATCATCCCCTCCAACCCTGCCGCAGTCCACAGAACAAAGCAGTGGCCTGACTTGAATTTGAACATAGTATCTCTAAGCCTGGGTATTCTGGCATTGTGTAAACACAGATCTCTGAGCCTACTGCACTGAAATGGATTCATTTCCTTTTTTAGCTTCTGGCATGGCATTTTTAGTTGATAAATTGTGGTTCTAAGGAAGCAGGTTTGATGATCCCCTTTGTCCTTCAACCAAGTGTGTAAAGGAGGATGTTTACTTTTATGGGTAATTACAGGTCTATGAATTGAGCACTTAATATGAGGCACCTTCATCCCTTATCTCAAGTCCTCACAACAGTCCTTTGCAGGAGGTATTACTAGCTCATTTTTGCAGGGAAGAAAACTGAGACTTGCGGAGATTACATAATTTGTCTAAGGCAAATCAGTTAGTAAGTGACACAAACCCAGGGCTTACTCTCAGATAATAATTATCACTAATTTATTTATTTATTCAACAATATTCATTGAATGTCTATCATGTGCTGGAAATGGTACCCAGCACTAAGAATACATCAGTAAACAAGGTAGTAAACAAAGCCAACAAGCATATGAAAAAATGTTCAACATCACCAATCATTAGATAAATGCAAATAACCACAGTGAGATACCACCTTGCACCATCAGACTGGCTATTATTAAAAAGTCTAAAAATAACAGATGCTGGTGAGGTTGCAGAGAAAAGGGAACACTTATACACTGCTGGTGGGAGTGTAAACTAGTTCATCTGCTGTGGAAAGCAGTTTGGTGATTTCCCAGAGAACTTAAAACAGAACTGCCACTCCACCCAGCAATCCTATTACTATACTCAAAAAAAATACCCAAAGGAATATAAATCGTTCTGCTGTAAAGACACATGGATGCATGTTTATCGCAGCACCATTCACAATAGCAAAGACATGAATCAACCTAAATGCCCACCAGTGGTGGACCGGATAAAGAAAATGTGGTACATAGACACCATGGAATACTATGCAGCCATAAAAAGAATGAGATCATGCCCTCTGCAGTAACATGGATAGAGCTGGAGGCCATTATCCTAAGCGAATTCATGCAGGAACAGAAAAACAAATGCTGCATTTTCTCACTTAGAAGTGGGAGCTAAACATTGAGTACACATGGACACAAAGAGGAGAACAATAGACAACAGGGTCTACTTGACAGTGGAGGGTAGGAGAAGGGTGAGGGTCAAAAAACTTCCTATCAGGTACTATGCTTGTTACTTGGGTGATGAAATAATCTACACGCCAAACCCCTGTGACATGCAATTTGCCTATGTAACAAATCTGCACATTGTACCCCCTGAACCGAAAAAGAAAGTTGGAAAGTTGGAAGAAAAAGAAAATAAAACAAAGATGAGATCTTTGCCCTTCTAGATTCTAGACCTGACATTCTAGTGGGGGACAGAATAGGTAAACAAACAATCTTTTAGGGAACATTAAGTACTATGAATGAACATCTTTTAGGGAACATTAAGTACTATGAATGACCATAAAGCATAATAAAGGGACAATGAGTTGCAGAAGGGCCTTTTTAGAAAGGGTGTTGGATAAGACCTCCCTGGAGTTGTGACATTCAAGCAGAGACCTGAATGAAGCAAGAGAGTGGGCCATGCCAAATCTCAAGTGAACCAGTGTTGCAGGCAGAGATCAGTAGGTGCAAAGGCTCTAAGGCAGGATATTCTGGATATGTTCAGGAAACATAAAAAGGCTGACAAGGTCATATTGGAGTCACCAAGGCAGAGAGAGATAGGAGGTAAGATCAGAGAGGAAGCCAGACCCAGTTCACTTGAACTGTTCTAGGCCTAACATGCCACTCCACCAGCAACTCCACGGGTTGATTCTGAATGTGATAGGAAGCCTTTGGAGCATTTTGAACAGAAGAGTAGTATGATCTTGTTTAAGTTTTTAGAGAATCATCCTGGCTCCTATGTGGAGAAATGTTGGTAGGTGGGGAAGAGTAGATTTAAGGACACAAAGTAGGAGACTACTATAAAAATCCAGGGAAGAGGTCATAGATTGGCCCAGAGCAGTAAGCTGTGGAGAAGGTAAGATGGTAAGAAGTGGTTGAATTTGTGTGTGTTTCGAAGGTAGAGCTGATAAAGCTTTTTGATGAATTGAATAACTTTTAAAGAAGAAAAGCAGTTAAGGATGATTCCAACCTTTTTACCTGGGCGTCTCACTGGAGGTGGTGCCATTTACTGAAATTAGAAAGCCTGGCGTGGAGTGGCGAGTGGGGACCAAATTCGAGGAGGAGTGGGGAATCAAGAATTCTATTTTTGACATGTTACAATTGTGAGGCCTGTTAGACCTGCAGATAGAAGTGTTGAATCAGCAAATGAATTCATCAAGAAAAGAGTCCGGGCTAGAGATACTAATTTGGGAGTTGTTGACGTCTTGATGATCTTTACAGGTGTGGGATTTAATGAGCTTAATGGGAATTAAGTAAAACTATTTTGCTTATTACTTATTATGGGTAGGTCACAGCACTTTGTGCTTGGAGTATACCAGCAAGCAAGGCAGACACAGTGATTATTCTAAGTGGTTTGCTCCGAGCCCTGCATGCCACCAGGAATGGTCTTGACTTTTGTTATTGTTAAACTTATTAAATGTTGGAGTGGACGCAAACTTAGAGATGACCAAGTACAAATTCCAAAACCTCTCTCAAATTTACAACTGAGGAAACTGAGGCATGGAGAAGTTAAGTAATTTGTTAAAACCTAGTGTTTAAAAACCATGTATACTTTAGAGTTTTCAATAATATTCAGTCCAAAGCGTTCATATTCTTCCTTTTTATTTGTATTTTTCTTATAGTCTAAGAAAGGAAGTTAAGTTGAGGGGATAGTAAAAAAGATAATTAGAGACTTTGCCTAAAAGACCTATGAGAGATTCAATTGAATTCAATAACTAATTATTGAATGCCTATTGTGCTAGAAACTATGGGTATAAAGACGACTAAGAAGACAATTCCTACAAGGGGAGAAAATTTTGCAAATCACATTTCTGAAAAGAGACTTGTATTTAGAATATATAAAAACTCTTCAACTCAATAATAAAAAAGACAGATAACTCAAGTGAAAAATTGGCAAAAGATCTAAATAGACATTTCTCCAAAGAAAATATACAAGTGGTTGGCCGGGCGTGGTGGCTCACGCCTGTAATCCCAGCACTTTGGGAGGCCGAGGCAGGCGGATCACGAGGTCAGCAGATCAAGACCATCCTGGCTGACATGGTGAAACCCCATCTCTACTAAAAATACAAAAAATTAGCCGGGTGTGGTGGCGGGCACCTGTGGTCCCAGCTACTTGGGAGGCTGAGGCAGGAGAATGACATGAACCCAGGAGGTGGAGGTTGCAGTGAGCTAAGATTGCGCAACTGCACTCCAGCCTGGGCGACAGAGCAAGACTCTGTCTCCAAAAAAGAAAAGAAAAGAAAAGGAAAGGAAAAAAGAAAAGAAAAGAAAGAAGGAAAGAAAGAAAGAAAGAAAGAAAGAAAGAAAGAAAGAAAGAGAAAGAAGAAAGAAAGAAAGAAAGAGAAAGATAGACAAGTGGTTAATAAGCGCATGAAAAGATGTTCAAATAATTAACCATCAGGGAAATACAAATTAAAACCACAGTAAGATACCACTTCACATCCTCTATGATGGCTATAATAAAAAAAGACAGACAGTAGCAAGTGCTGGTGAAGATGTGGAGAAATCAGAGCCCTTCTACATTGCTGGTGGGACTGTAAAACAGTACAGCTGCTTGGGAAACAGTTTGGCAGTTTCCTAGAATGTTAAACATAAAGTTATCACATGACTCAGCAATTCCACTCCTAGGTATATACCCAAGATAAATTAAAACATATGTCTACACAAAAACTTGTATACAATACACATGACTGTATACAAATGCTGTTCATACCAGCATTATTCATAATAGCCAAAAAAGTAGAAATAAACCGAACGTCCATCAACTGATAAATGGGTAAACAAAATGTGGTGTAGCCACACCATAGATGGTATCCATATATACAATGGAATATTATTCAGGAGAATTGCCTGGGAAGCAAGTTCAGGGTGAGAATGGAGAGCCAAGGGCAGAATCCTGTGAAGCACCAATACTGAAAAGACAAGTAGCAAAGGAAGGTCTGTGAAGAAAACAGATGGTCAGGAGTAGAAGATTAAGAGAAAGAAGAGTTAATATTATGGAAACCAAGGGAAAGTCTTCCAAGAAGGAACTGCATAGCAGAGGCAAATGCTAGAGTGATGTCATCAGTGAAAACCAAGACACAGCCACCAAACACAGTGGACATCCATGACTGCAATCTGAACACACCAGCTGTGAAGACATTGCCAGAATAATTGAGGAAATAGGAATGTGGAATGTGTGTATAAGATGATACGACAGATTTGTTGTTAATTTTCTTGGTTTGATATGATACTATGGGTGTGTAGGAAGATGTTCACTTTTTTAAAAAAAAGCATACTGAATTATTTCAGGGTGAAACGTTAGAATGTCTATAATGAACAATAATTTAGCAGATAAAATGGATGAAACAAGGCAAAATAGTAACAATGGGGCCGGGTACGGTGGCTCACGCCTGTAATCCCAGCACTTTGAGAGGCCAAGGCAGGTGGATCACGAGTTCAGGAGATCGAGACTATCCTGGCCAACATGGTGAAACCCTGTGTCTACTAAAAATACAAAAATTGGCCAGGCGTGGTGGTGCGTGCCTATAGTCCCGGCTACTCAGGAGGCTGAGGCAGGAGAATCGCTTGAACCCGGGAGGCAGAGGTTGCAGTGAGCCAAGGTCACGCCACTGCACTCCAGCCTGGCAAGATGGAAGATACCAGGCAAGCTGGGACCAACACAGAAAATGGACCAATATCTTGAGCAATCTCAACAGAGCCAGTGAGACTCTGTCTCAAAAAAAAAAAAAAAAAAAGTAACAATGGTTAAATCTAAGCAACAAGTATATACGTTTATTAATTATACTATTCTCTCTAGTTTTTTGTCCATTTGAAAACTTTGGAAAATCTGAAGCAATCAACCACACAAACAAAACCTGTAAAGAAGCCACTGGATTAGGCAGTTAGGAGAACCCTGGTGACACTTGAGAACATAGCTGCGGTTGAGAAGCGGGTGCCACACCCAGATTGTAGGGGATTTGAGGTGAGGCTGGAGAGTGGACACAAACCCTCGTGCAAGAAGTTTAGCCCGAAATAAAAAAACTAGAGAGGGCAATAAGGTCCCATGATCTTTTTTTTTTTTTTTTTTTTTTAATGCACAGATCTGGGTTTGTGTACAGGCAGTGGGAAGAAGCCACTAAGAAGCTAAAGATGGAAGGTGTTGCTGAGAGAAATAATGATTCAGGGAGGGAGAGAAGAAAAATTATGAACAAGAGCTGAGGAAGGGGAGAGGACAGGTCTTTTAAGCTAGGGGTGGAAGGGGATTATTTGATGTGAAGAAAACTGAATGAGCACGAACAAACCTGCAATGTCAATATATGGAGCTGTGTTCCATCTCCATTGAGATCAAATGTCTGCAAGTCTATATGTTTATGACACTGAATATATCATCAGAAACAAAGCTGCAAAGTATTTCCCATCAGTTTCATACATTTTGGGCATTGCATACTGTATTGTCAGGATTGATCCAAGAGAACAGCAGCCATGTGGCTTGCTGGATCGGAGGAAGTTTAGGGCAAGGAAGTGAATGAATGGCAACAGGAAAGCCATCTGGGGTAAAAGTGGTAATCCTTCCCCACTCAGGGAAAAGATGGGTGATTCACAGCAACCAAGACCACGGGAGTATTGGTTAAACCAACACTCCAGTTTACTCTTATGAACCACCTCAGAATCCCTTGGGGTTTCCATTCAAGGGAGCAGGACAGTAGTATCATTTGGGGACTTCCAAGCATGGTGTTAGGTCATGAGAGCCAGGGAGGTGGGGATTGTCAACAAGCAGATACAAGGACCCTTGGAGGTTGGGGGAGGAGAAGGACTCTGAGCAAATGGGATCAAACAGGTAGAATGTTTCTCCCACAAATTCTCAAAGAGGGTGACTAAGGCTATCACAGCATATATAGTCTTCCCATCCACACAGGAGCTTTGTTTCCTGATCTATACCAGCAGAGGTACAGATCAATCCAGGATAATTATCCTCAGCCCCTGTTGGTTGAAGATACCAGGCAAGCTGGGACCGACACAGAAAATGGACCAATATCTTGAGCAATCTTAACAGAGCCAGGACCAGGCATGGATCAAAGTACAACTCTCCTTCTGGATAAAGAAATATCCACAAAAATCTGCTTCGAACATCATATCATCTTGAGACAGTTCCATGGCTCAGATTCGTGTTGTTTTCTCCTTTGTCTTTGTGCCCCAGAGACGTGTTCCATTTTGTAAATGACACGGATGAGGACACCATTCTCTTGTCAGTGATTCTCAAACTTTTTCACCCAAGGGCCTCTAACAGTAGAAGAGAGAAAACATTGATGCTGGGAATTTTGAGGGACTTGCATCTAATCAATATGTCCAAAGCACAAAATCGATTCCATGTCTCCTGGTTACCTTAGGAACCCAGGTGTACTTTGTATTCTAGTAACAGCAGGACAGGAGACCTCCAACTGTGGTCCACTTTGGCTATGTTTTAGTTGGCTGCTGTTTTCTGTTGCTGCTGTAGTAAGTCACCGAAAACTTGGTGGCTTAACACACACAGTTATCTTACAGTTCCATAGGTCAGAAGTCCATCATGGGTCCCACTGGGCTAAAATCAAAGTGTCTACAGCTCTGTGTTTCCTTCTGGAGGCTTAGGGGAGAATCCCTTTCCCTACCCTTCCCAGCTTCTAGAGACGGTCCTGATTCCTTGGCTCATGGCTTCCTTCCTCCATCTTCTTCTTCTATTTATTTATTTATTTTGAGACATGGTCTTGCTCTGTCACCCAGATTGGAGTGCAGTGGAACAATCACAACTCACTACAGCCTCAACCTCCAAGGCTGAAATGATCCTCTTGCCTCAGCCTCCTGAATAACTGGGACCACAGGCACATGCCACCACACCTGGCTAATTTTTTGTTTTTATTTTTTGTAGATGTGGGGTCTCACTGTGTTTCCCAGGCTGATCTCAAACTCCTGGGCTCAAGTGATCCTCCTGCCTTGGCCTCCAAAAGTGCTGAGATTACAGGCTTGAGCCACTGCACCCAGCTCTTCCATCTTCAAAGCCAGCATTGTGCATTTCTCTGACCTTTCTTCATAGTCATGTCTCTCTCTCACTAACTACAATTGGGAAAGGTCCTCTGCTTTTAAGGACTCAAGATTATATTATGCTTATTCAGATCTTGCAGGATAATTTCCCCACCTCAAGGTCCATAATCTTAATCACATCTGCAAAGCCTCTCTTGCCATGGAAGGTAACATATTCACATGATCTTGGAATTAGGACCTGGACATCTTTGGGGGTCCATTATTCTGTCTATCACAGCTGCTATTGCAAGAAGTCCTGCTGTTAATCCTAGGGAAGAAATTAAGGAAATTCTCATCTTCCTGAGAGGGGAGGCAGGCCTATGGTATTTCCAGACACTTCTTGTCATCTAGAGATCTAAGCTTAACTGTATATTGCTAAGAGTCATCAACCTCTCTCACACGAACTACCAAGAACTTTTGCAAAAGAAGCTGGAGAAGACTTTGTGTTGGGATAAGTTGGAAAAATGGGGCACCCACTCCAGATAGATGTATGGCTTAGGAAGAAGCTCTAGTGGTTTCTGTGGGAAAGGGAGGCACAGTGTTCCCAGATGGCAGAACTTTTTTTTTTTTTAATGGCTTTGGGAGGGTTGGTAAAGGTCAGTCCTGTGACACAGATATGGAGGAGCAACCACAGGGCTACCCTTGGCTATGGCTGCAAGGGCCTGGACAGCTGATGTTGGACTACATGCTGGGAACAGGTGAGCTCTGGCCCATGGTGGTGTATACATGGGGGCATGAAGAAATGAGGGCTTCTGCTCGGCCTGCAGCTCATTCTCTCCTAGACTTTTCTTTTCTCAACCCATCTATTTGCATGTGAGATTCATAGTGCTTCTGCTAATTCAACTTTGACCCTATTTTATGTAAACTAATTATCCTGGCCTTACTATGCAAGGACAGTATTCTCCCATCTCTTTCCTGGGTTCCATCTCTTAGCTTCCCTGTGTTGGCATATTACTTCTCCCTGAGCTCAGAAAGGCTGCTTATGGTTGTGGTGCATGGGTGTGTGTGTGGGTGTGTCTTGGGGTGGGAGGTGGGAGGCTGGTAGTGCTTAACCTACGATAGGTTCCAATGCTAGTTTCCTTCCCATCCCTCCCTTGCCCATTCTAACAGCTTAGTTTTCCCCCAGGCCCTCACCCACCAAATCATTGTGACAACTGAAGACACCCCCATGGATTTCCCAAAGACCTCCCGGGGGACAAGGCCACCCCCACTGAGAATGTCTGCTCAGAAGGGTATGAGTGGAAGGCAATGTCTGTTCCCGGCAGGGCTTCGGGGGCAGTTTCTGGCTTACAGAGGCTGAAGAAATTTCCTGGAATAATACCTACTGGGCTCCACTGCTCTAAATAGTGGCTGTGATTTCTTACCAGTTAAAGCAATCACCTCTCTCTGAAGCTCCTGTTGTTTAACCTTTGGCCATGATATATCCAAGGTGGGGCTCACCTCAGAGAGTCTCCACCCTGGCTGCACGTTGAAATCACAGGGTACCTTTAAAAAATACTGATACCCAGGTGTCACCCCAGACAGTCTGATTAAACAGGCCTGGTCCTCTAGCTATTTTAACACTCCTGGTGATTAGCCAGAGCTGATAACCTGTTATTAGGGGATTTTCTCTGTGAATAACCTTGACGCTGGAGTGAGGAAGGGCTTAGCAGCATTGAAATAAACGCTTCCCATTGGCTGGAGAAATTTCCTCGTGAGCCACTCCTCCTTTAATTTATCCCACCCTTTCTCCTTTCCTCCCTTCTACCCATTTTTGTTATAATTATTTAGAATTAATCATACAGTTCCCTTTCATTCATCCAAGCTATTACTCTGTTGCAACAAAGGTCAGGATGAAAAGGGCAGCGCGGTTGGCAGCTCCATATTTTTACTTCCTCTTGGTGTAAAGTTTTACTGAATAAAGGGAGTGCTACAGTGAGACGCTCAGACGAGGGGTAAATAGGAAATGAGCCAGTGCCCAGCTGGGCTCAGCCTGGTCCACTCCACATTGCCAGCCATCAGACTTTCTAGAAAACACAGGCTGAAGGCACCCCTGCTGCCTCTCAAACTCTCCGAGGTTTTTTGTTTTGTTTTGTGTGTGTGTGTGTGTGTGTGTGTGTGTGTGTGGTGCAATGCTCACACATGAAGAAGGCCAAACCTCAAGCTTTCTT
Source organism: Homo sapiens (assembly GCF_000001405.40). Lineage (NCBI taxonomy): Eukaryota > Metazoa > Chordata > Mammalia > Primates > Hominidae > Homo > Homo sapiens. The sequence continues at coordinate 141,346,861 of NC_000003.12, forward strand.
CACGTACCTGTACATTTCAGTCTCTGAAAGAAAGCACTGTCTACTACGAATGTTTTATTCTGCCATCTGCCTGGTGGAAATTACTGAGGGAAACAGCTGGTTCAGCACTTCCGCCACTAGCTTTTATAAAGGAAGAACCAAAGAACTGTTCCTCATCAGTTGTGAAGCCTAGGTTTCAGAATGCACTGCTTTTATATTCTCATGAAAATTACCAAAGCATATTCAAGTTAGTTGTCACTGTTTCAAACGCCACACAGTTGATGAGTTACATATGCGTGGGCTGCATGGCATTTCTGCAGTCATGGGAATTGTAGTTGTGCATCTTAGACTCTATGCTCCTAGTGTTAGGGTTACAGACAAAATGTGAGTAGAGAAATTGTCTCTACTTTCAAAGGTGGTGGGGTGATGTGCTTCTTGGTTTAAAAAATTAAAAGTATAATTTGTGGCCAGAGGAGCAATAGTTTATGGCTCATTTGAACCTGATCTGAATTCATTAAGACAGTCTTGACTTGACTGGACAAGACATAATTTGATCTGAGTATATATAGAGCCATAGAGGCATGTACACATATATTTCTATAATATATAGTCTCTTAGCATATGTTTAACCTAAGGAAGGACCACGCTGTGTAAAATACATTATACACGGGCCTGTTTGGTTTCAGACTCCTTCCTCACCCTTCACCTACTCTGCTCTTTGTCTTACCAGTGCCCACTTTTGCAAACAGATTTCTCTGGCTGCCAGGTCACCTAGGCTCCGGCTGGGCTCAGCCAATGAGAAACACTGGAAGGCAGGAGGAAGGAAAAGACCAGGGTTTCTCTCCCTAAGCCTCTCAGATGTGGATGGTGCGTCTGACAGTAGCAGAGGCCTGGCTCCAGTTCCTGCCAGAAAGGCTGCCATGGTTGTGGCTGTTCTCAGTGACCCTAGTCCCTGGACATTGGTAACACCATCTCCTCCAATGGTTCCTTCAGTCCAGGATTGGGAGTGACTTCCTGCTGTCACTATTCTTAGCTTCTCAGATTCTCTGTCACCTGTGTAACCAAGTCTCTATATTATATTCCTTCTGTTATAAATACATGTAATGGTTTCTCTTGTTCTGATTAGACCCTGACTGATACATATGTCATGGTTAAAACACATTTTCCTTTAACATAGATTACCCATTAGTAGATTATTTAATTACAGTTGTGGTTGCCAATCTATTATTATTTGTAATTATTTGTTTGAAGGGTAGTTCTTAATCTATTGAAGTTATTTGTATTTGCCCATAACATTTTAAAATGCTTAAATATCATAAATGCTTGTGAATTCCACCATCTTGAGCTTCAAAGGAGTGGCCTAATTTTACTATATATGGTCATATGGTAAATGTAATGGAAATGATAAATCATAAGCCCGTGAATAATTGTTATTCATAATGGAACTGCTACTGTATTTTGTAGAAATAGCCCACATCTATTCTTGAGCTAATATACATGCTGATTTCCAGCAATAGTGCCATGGAGGAATTATCCAGTAGTAGTTACAGTAAAAGAAATGCTCATAATAGCTTTGGAACTTGGAAGTAATTATATCTTCCTCTTTAAGTGATTTATTTTTATCATTACTTGCAGTGTCTTTCCTGAACCTTAGCCTAAAATCCTCTCTCCTGCTGACTGCAAATTTAGATCCTTCCAGGAGGGGAATGCATTAGTAGAATATCGTCAAAGGGCCCTCAACTAAAGCAAGTCAATGTGGCTACCATTTCCTTTCTTCCCTCCTTTTCTCGTCTTACTCAAGCTTAAAGGACTGTACAAGTGTAAGTAAAGCACATAAACGAGCTAGGATTTCAAACATGGAACCTGGCACTGTATCTGTCAAGAGCCAATGAGTATCTGATTCAAGATGGCAGATAAGCACACTTGATTTATCCTCACCAAGACCCCACTAAAATGATAGTAATGGCATTTAAAAAGTGATAATCACCATAGTAATGGTAAAGGGACTCCCGGCAGAGAAGCAATTTTACAGAATTTCTGGAGGGTAAACAGTGGATGGAGAAGTGGAGGTAGAAGAAAGATAAAGGAAGCCAAACCTATATTACAAGAGTAAGGGTGGGGGAGGCTAGAACTGAGGAGGAAATCTTTGCAATGCAAAATCTAAGAGACTAGGCAACTCATAAACATCAGCTGAGAGAGTGATGGGGCTGAAATCACCATGATTCATGAAATACCCCAAAGGAGCACTTAGCCTTTCACCCCACTTGGCAGCCAGACAGGCCCTCCTCTACCTTTTCTCCCTCACTCCACTAAAAATCTGACAGACTTGCTCTTCTCTCTAAAAATGAGGTGGCCCCAAAAATGAAACTCCTGATATCCTGACATTTAGGAATTCCCTAGCTAAATAGCTGAGTCCCTACCAAGTAATTATAATGCAAGTAATAGAAGCAGCAAATAGTTATAAAACACTGCAATTAGTACATTATATATTAATTCATTTAATATTCACAACTCTAGGAAGAAACTAAAGCACAGAGTGCTGTTTGAGATCATGCAGCAGTTAACCGCTAAATCACCACAAGGTTAAATCACCACTAGTAAGCTCATTCCAGGTGCAAAAAACAAGCAAACAAACAAACAAAAAACCCCAAAGCCAATTAGCACCTTATTGTCTCATTCTGAATTAAAGACAACTGAGGATGATCAGATACTTGAAGAAAGAATACAACACGATACAAAAATTAGCTGGGTGTAGTGGTGCAGATCTGTAATCCCAGCAACTTGAGAGGCTGAGGCACAAGAATCACTTGAACCTGGGAGGCAGAGGTTGAAGTGAGCTGAGATCATGCCACTGCACTCCAGCCTGGGCAACAGAGTGAGACTCTGTCTCAAAAAAATAAATAAAAATACATCACGAAAGACAGATAAAAATAAAAACAAGAATGGCCCAAGAAAAGAGTAAAGATGAGAAACAGAAGGGAAGAAAGAAACCCCCAGTTGGCACCCCTGAGAAATTTGATGAGATATTGCATCATAAAAGAACAGGATGCAATGAAAAAAGAAAAATCAGAGCATTGTTAGAAGCCCTTGGATATTTAAAACATTTACAAAAATATCTCTATATATTTTTAAACAAAAGCATTAGAATATAAATTCAAAGAAATCTCCCAAAGAGGACAAAAAGATAGAAATCATAAAACGAAAGAGTCTTAGAGGGCTAATCCAGGATGCTCCACAGCTGACTAATAGTAGTGACAGTAAGAGAAAATGCATATTGAGAAATAGAAGACATTTCCTAGAGCTGAAGGACATGAGTCCATTAGACATAGAATCATTACGTTTACACATCGGGGATAAGAAAAGATCCTCTATGACATTTGTAGTCTGTGTTGTGACTAAAATGAAGTCTTTTGTGCTTTCTTTATAGGTTTAGTCTAGGAGTTGAAAATGAGTAACAGGGCTTACATTATGGTGACCATGAAAAATATTGTAGGTTTAGTAACCACTCTGATTATATTTCTTTTCTTGTATAGTCTTTTGGTTTTTTTCACTGGAGTTTGTATTTGCCTTTCTGAGCATCTTTGTCATCATTTTATCCCTCAAGTTTATTCAGTCTCCTTATGTAATCAGTAATTCTATCAAATCCTCTTCTTTGCTCCTGAGACCTCACCTACTTCAATTTGGACGTCTTGCTCTCTGGGTCTTCACTGGATTAAATTGCTTGGAGTCTACATTTTGTTCTTTCTGGTCTTAATTCCTTGGTTTGCTGAAACAGATCCTCAGGTAACTTCTTTAGAAAGGATGTATAGGTGATCAATTTTCTTTGACATCATATTTAATTATCACCTTTAATTGATATATGAGTCAAAAGTGTATTTTTAGTTTGAAAATTGTTTTTTTCTTGAAACATGGAAAAATTGTTCCAATGCCTTCTAGCATCAAGTGTTGCTAAGAAAAGTTCTGATAAAATTCAAATTTTCATTCTGTTGGTAAGAACATTCCTTTCCTCTACTCTCACTCTCTTAAAATGAATACAGCATGCGCTAGCAATATAAGCATATTGCTTAAAGATATGGAGATGTCTACCAGAAGAAATGTCTGAAAAGGTAAGAAACGATTGCCTTTGTACAGTAGTACTGGAGAAGACAGTTCACCATTGCTTTATTTATTTTTTCTTAACAATGTGCATTATTATTTTGAAAAAAATTTATATTATAAAACGTGGGTTGCTAAACTATAAAGAAAAGCCAGTGAAAGATTATCACACAGGGTAGGGTTGTGTTATCTCTAGGTCAGGGAGGTGGTTGTGCTCAGAACTCAGAAAGGAATGCTAGGGGCTCCTAGAGAACTGACATTACTGTTATTTGACTTGAGAAGTAATTGACCAGTTGCTTGCTTCATACTTATCCTTTAAATGGTACAACCATGTTTTATGAATGCTCCTAATATACAATTCACAATTTTTAAAAAGAGGCATATGACATACATTCATTCCAAATGCCAATGTAAATGTCTGGTCCAAGTCAGCTTAGCAAAATAAAAATTGTCTTGCAAAGATAAAATTATCAATACTTTTCTTTAATAGTACAAAAACATATATCAGACCAGGCATGGTGGAGAGAAAGTTCCCTCCCTAGGACTTTGGGAGGCTGAGGCAGGAAGATTGCTTGAGGCCAGGGGTTCATGACCAGACAGATCCTATCTGGGCAACATAGTGACCCTGTCACTACAAAAAAAAATTTTTAAAGCCAGGCACAGTGGCACATGCCTGTAGTCCTAGTTACGTGGGAGACTGAGGCAGGAGGATTACTTGAGCCTGGGAGTTAGCTGTAATCATTCCACTGCACTCCAGCCTGGGTAACAGAGCAAGACTCTGTCTCTTAAAAAAAAAAAAAAAAAAAAAAGTATTGTCATTAATTTTCCCTTTTCGCTTTTCTCAGATTCAATATTATAGGTTGAAAATGTTAAATATTAAGTGCAATCGTGATCTAACAATTCATTTATAGATGAGTTAAGCTTATATTTTTGAGGGGTTTTTAAATCCCATGGGAGAGGAAGATACCATTTGAACCTCAGGTTGTTGGAGATTTCAATACAAAGATAAAGTCTTGTTTTTGTAAGGTTTTGTTTCTAGAGGTTTACTTCTCATTATTTAATTCAGTTCCATATTGACTGAGTACTTGAGACCTACCAAGAATTCATTTACCCAATAAATATGCCAGGCATGGTTTTGGCCTAATGCTGCAGACAAAGTCCTTGCTCTCACCAAGCTTACACTCTAGGGGAGCAGGGGAGGCAGATAGTCAGCAATTCAATAAATAATTTTTTTATATATCAAGTGATAAAGAAAAATAGAGCAGAAAAAGAAGCTAGAGTGGAGAGAGTGGGCTGCTATTTCATGCAGAAACCCAAATGAAGTGAGAGAGGGAGACGTGTGGCTATCTGGGATGTATAATCCCAGCACCTGCCTCCTTCTGGGGTTACACAAATAAATATGTCTGTGTCCTCAAGGTATGTATAGACTATGAAAGAACCCATGATAATCTGAACTCTCAGAATCAGAATGTTGTAGAAGGGGTAAGATTCAGAGTATGTTTAGAGTGAAGATATACAGATGGAGGGAAGGTCAATGGGAGGGCTTCAAGTTTAAGAGAGAGATGAGTAAGCAGGCAAGAACAGATGAAGCATTTCATAAAGGGAAAGCCAGCTAGGGTTGGCTCAAGGAATAGCTAGGAAAATGGGGTGATGATGGTATACATGGGTGAAGGGAACTGGGGGAGAACTTAAAGCAAAATGAATTATAGGCATAATACATGACAAATGGGGTAAGCCAGAGAGTGGACGAGAGGGATGGATGATCTTTGCCACAAAGCAGCTCTCTAGGCAGAGTAGAGAGTGAAGCCTGTATTTTCCCCAGATGAAGGAGTGGCCCCGCTGAGCTGGGCCACTACATGCTGCAGCCATAAAAGCCATATCTCTGATCACAGCGAACTCACAGGCCAGTGAGCCCAGATATCAAGCATGCACAGACAAAGGAAACCTGAAGACACTCGACTGCAAAATTGAAGGTAACATAAGAACCCCCAAATAAGACTAAGCTGCCTTCAGTCTTAGTAGTACTAGTTTGCATGCCAAACAAATGAACAAACAAACCAACAAACCCTGACCTCCCCTTCCCCCATCCCCAAACCTTGAAAAGTAGCAGAGTATGTGCAGACCATGATGAAGGAGTTTCAGGGCATAATGCACAGCAAAACTTCCTCCAGACAGACAAGAGTCCCTTCGTCCCAAATCCCTCAGTTCACCAGGGGTGTTTAAGCCCAGAGGCTCTCTCTTTTCTCCTCCCCATCAATCTCTCTGTCTCTGTCACCTTCACCATTTCTCTTCTACCGCCTCCTCTTTCTTTCTCTCCAAACCAAGCCCTCAGACCTCAACCCAACCCTCTCTTCTTTCCATGAGTTCTGGCCCTTCCCCCTGAGGGTGATGCCCCTTTTTCATCTTTCCCCTTTTGCATCACTTACCCCCAAGCTTCCTCCAACCCACACCTCTTAGAAAGTAGAGAAAAGTAAAGAATTCTAAAATTTCTCATTGAATGTCTTCACTCTTGCTACTAACCAAAAAGCAAAAGACATTAGAACTCATGGAAGAAAATTGAGAATCAATTACCTACCAATACAATAGATATTTCAGTTTTCCAGAGGGAAAGGGCATTGGGAAGGGGGGAAGGGGAGAAGGGGGAAGAAGGAAAGAGAGAACAATGGCTCCACTATCATTTGTATGTATGTATGTTTCTCCCATGGATTATGGACCATGCCACACATTGCTGAAGCCTGTATCTTCCACAGCGCCTTAGCAGGTAGAAATACTTGAATGAATGAGTGAATGAATAAATGGACACATGAGCATAGCAAATGAGGCATTGAGTGCAGTGAGATTGCTCCTAGCTGTCTGATGACAGTCCTGGTTCACTGTTACTCACTGTAGATGGAGACAGCTTCTTGGAAGCTATCCTGGACTCCAGCAGTTATCTCCAGGAACACTCTAGTTGTTCCTCCGGCAAGTGTGGTCTTGCAGAACAACATGATCATCAGCTAACTGCTGCAGGAATTCATAAGCCACCTTATGAAGTCAACACTTGGGTATCTGGTCTTATCCCAAAATTTCTTCAACTCAGGCCCTCTTGGTTGGACTTGTTGATTTCGTAAGTCAATAATCCCTTCACACTCTTACAAATAGTGTGGATTAAGTGGTATCAAGGTATAATCTCTTTCAAAGTTCTGTGCACAATACACACAATGCTTGTATCTCAAAGTTAACTTTTAAAAAATACCATAAACGTTATTACAAGGAAATCATTACTAACCTACAAAACCCTTAACACTCAGTATATCCCACGTGAGCTGCCTGCTAATCCTCTTTAAACCCTGCTCTCAGCATGGAATTCCTGAGCTGAAAACCCAGCTGCCCAGTGTCTGAAAAACTCTATACAGCATTGAAAGCTGGTCCCACTTTCCAGGCCACACTCCATGCATTCCCCATTGCTTCCAACATGCTGCCTCGCAATCAGGTGGTGGCCATTCTCATCTCTGTCCCTTTGTCCAGCCAGCTTCTTCTTCCCTGGAGTTTCTCTCTCTTTCCCCTCCTCTCTCTCCCAGCTGACTGAAATGGAGAAATTGGATGGGCAAAAGTTTCCTCCTAGAAGCTCTCTTCCAGGGAGCCTTCCTGACTGGTCCAGTCCTTGTAGCTTTCTGGGCTCCCTACATCCTCCCTTGCTCATGGTCAGCACAGCCCCACCTCGGGATTCATCGGCATATCTCTCCAGGCAGGCAGTACCTTCCTCCTGGAAGTACCCATATCTTTTACTTCTCTCTGTCTCTCAGAATACTTAACACATTGCTTTTTGCATAATGGCTATTACTGCAAAACTCTGATTGAGTCAGAGGAACTAAATCCATTTGTTTAAGGACTTGCAGTTCATCCTGTTGTTCCTCAGGTGATGGGCACTGGGAGAATGATGGGCACTGGGAGAATGATAGGCGTAACCAAGATGGAGGGTCTAGGCCTAATTCCAGGCCTCTTTCTCACGATTCTTCTTGAAGATCCTGTTTTCATCTTATTTTTAGGATGGGTAGTGGAGCACATGGCAAGATCCTAAGAAGTCATGTTTCCACTAAATTAATATATGCACACATTGTTATAAACTAAGCTATACATGCTTAGTTTATATTCTCTTAGAATTTCTAAGAGGTAAAGATTACAATGAGAGGAAGGAGAGTTGAGGAAGCTCTCCTCAAAGTACAAGCACTCCTCTCTTTCCAGGGAATCTCATAGATTACATTATAGAGATAAATGTGGGTAACAGGTAAGAATGCTGTGTAATAGCAATACCCAGAGGCAAAGAATGTCACATTCCTGTACTTCTCTAAAATCAGATTAAACTTGGCTACAAGGTCCTTACTCTCCAAGGTTGGGAAATAGTCTAATATCCTGATTACTGGGTCTTCCTGACCCCTCCATGGGCATGTACAGGAGCCCTAGTCTTTCACATGCCCAGAGAAATGGGGATATCCTGATTCATAGACCGTGGTGGTTGTCGTGGTAACCGCTACTCCTGCTACTCCATGTTCTAGTCTTTTCTGCTAGTTGGACCCTCTAGGGGGCCATGGAAAGGCGTCTTGGTGCTGTGCTTGTCTCCCCTGGCCACAGGTTATCCATGGAGAGCCCTACTCCGGCTCTCAAAGTCAGAGCGTACAGTGTGCAGCCTCCACAGGCTTTCCAGTAGCTCCCACCTGAGTTCACACAGCAGGGGTGGGATGTAGATCCCTGCCACCCTGTAAATCTCTAGCCCAAACACCCACCTCCCACACAGACTTCCCATCTTAGGGGGGTCACCAGTAGGGCTGGACCATCCTCTCCTCCTTTAGCCACAGCAACTGTCTCCACCATCCTGAATAATTCTTCTTAATCAGTCTGGATTTCAAACAAAGATCTGAGTGGAGGGGCTTTATCCTGGGAGCCCAAAAACTTCTCTGTTTTAGGCTCCAAAGCACAAAGGGCTATTTCTTTCCCCCTGAGGAAGGAGAGCCAGCCCAAGACACAAAATTCAAAGCTAAGAAGAAATTCCCTTATCATGCTTTTTTGCTGGTAAGGCCGCAGCAGTAAAAAGGACACCAATTAACTTCTCTGCCACTCTGTTTCATGGGTGAACACTCAGCCTATAGGTGTGTGTTTGTGTGTGTGTGGTGGAGTGGGGGTTGTGTGGCCAAGTGCATTAACAAAGGCGATGTGGAGCCCTGATGAAATCTCAAAGGGCAGTTCTGAAAGAGGAGCCATGGAAAGAAAGCATTAACTGTAGCAGATGCTGCTGTGCCCTGGGACCATGGGAAGTGAGGAAATGGCAATTTGTTAGGATTTCCTGCACAGCAGTTGGACTAGGGCTGGAGTAAGGAATAGGACTGCTCATACAGTGGCCCAGGGGTGAGAAGACAGACGGCTCTTCCCTCGCCCAGCCTTGCATCCTGGCATGGGGCTACACTTCAAGGGACACCTTTTCTCACTCATACAAAAGTGTTACAGGGCTGCTGCGGCTCTGTTTAGGAAAGACAGTAGGGTAAGAAAATATGCCAGGTTCAGGGGAAGCCTCGGTATTTGGTCGACCATAAAGACTGACACAATTCTGTACTACATCTAACCTTACATGAAAGCCTCACCAAGCATCAGGGAAACAAAACACATTGACACAACCAAATACCAATCAAGGGAAGCCAGGGATGGGGAAACCAAGGCAGAGCAGCATCTCGTCCCCCTCCCTGCTCTCCTCATCGAGTTGGTCAATTGGTCAAGTGCTCTGGCTGTATCAGTCCAGGCAAATATGGGCAATTCTTAAATTCTCACTTAAAGTGTTAGAGGAGAGCTTTTAAAGATGATTGTTCCTGCTAGGCTTCCTTATTTGTTATTGCAAACAACTGGGAAATTATCTTAATAAGCGTATTCTATATAAGTGTCTTAGAATGGAGAAATTGGGGAAAAAAGATTTAAGATTTCCTTCATTAATCATCAAGAATGACTTTTTTTAAAAGTTCACTTGGGAACTATAAATGTAATATCTGTTCATTGCAGAAAATAATTAGATCACTACCAAATTGCTGTCTTCAAAATTATGTATAATATATGTTATAAATTATATAGAACCAATTTGTTTTCTCATTACTACTATTTGTGTTTGATCTTTTCTCCATACACTTGACCATTAGGCATATTCTTAATCTTTTCCATGTTTGCCAATGCGACAGGCAAATGACCCTCCTTGTGTTGGTCTCCATTTCCCTGACGCTAGTGATATTGAACATGTTTTATATACTATTTGTCATTGGTACTTTTTCTATGACTTACTTTTTTTTCTTTGCCCTCTTTCTTGTGTGTTGTTTGTTCTATTAGCACTGATATTAATCCTTTATTATTCTCCTGAAAATATTTTCTCAAAGTATGTCATTTGTCTTTCAACAGTGTTTATGGTGTCTTTAGCCAAACAGGGTTTTTATGCAAAGAAATCTATCAATGACTTACTTTATGGTATTTGGAGTTTTGTGACTTATTCAGGAAGGCACCCTCCATTATAAAAATATTCTTTTATTTTTCCATTTGGTATTTTTGTCATCTTTTGTTTTTTGTTTTGTTTTGTTTGTTTGTTCATTTGTTTGTTTGTTTCGAGATGAAGTCTCGCTCTGTTGCCCAGGCTTGAGTGCAGTGGCGCAATCTCGGCTCACTGCAAGTTCCGGCTCCGGGGTTCAAGCGATTCTCCTGCCTCGGCCTCCTGAGTAGCTGGGACTACAGGCACCCGCCACCACGCCCTGCTAATTTTTGTCTTGAACTCCTGAGCTCAGGTGATCTGCCCACCTCAGCCTCCCAAAGTGCTGGGATTACAGCATGAACCACTGCGCCTGGCTATTTTTGTGGTCTTTAAAAAAGTTTGTATCATCAACTTAGCTTTTATTTATTTGTTGTATAATGCAGAGGTAAGACCCTTAATTAACACCACCTAACCACATTTTATATGCATTGTAGAGAAAAAAGGAACCTAAGCTCTTTTATTCATCTGAGAGACCGTGGTGAGAACTCTGTGAGAGAGGAAAAGATGTTTCCCAATAAAGATCATACACTCTAGTGGGAAGGCTATTATGGTAGCCACATAATCCAAATTTTCTAAAGTAGTCCTGGTTTGTAATATTCTTTCTTACTGACACAGTATTAGCACCAACTTCTGATTCAGAAACTGTGGTCATATAGCCAATCAGCCTATGAAAGAGGACAAGGTAAGCGCCACAGGAAGTCTGTTGAATTCTACTAATTCAGAGGTGCAAGGGGCATTTCTGCCTGGCTTTCCAGGCAGAAATATTAGGGAGAACATTTGAATTGAACCTCAGAGGCAAGTTAAATTTTGATAGACCAAGATGGTGGGAGGGATCCTGCCAGGCCCAGGGAACAAAGGAGCAAAGGCAGAGAAGCAGTGAAGCACAGGTTGTGTGTCTGGAAGCCTTGCGATCTGTCCAATTGTCTGCCATATAGGGAAGTCAGGAGGATTTAAATTAGATGATAGTTTGAGGCCAGAGGGTGGAAAACTTTGAAAGTCAAGGAAATGAATTTGTGCTTTATTTTCTAGATAATAGATCACCACTGAAATGTTCTTTTAAAAATGGCTTTATTATGATATGATTCACACATCATTCAATTCACCTATTTAAAGTGTAAAATGCACCCTTTTAAAGTGTATAATTCAAATTTTTTTAGTATAGTCACAGACAAATGCAACCATCAACATAGTCACTTTTAGGAAATTTTCATCACTTCAAAAAGAAACCTTGTACCCTTTGGCTGTCACCTCCCTAAGCCCCTATCTCCATCCCAGCCCTAAGCAACCACTAATCTATTTTCTGCCCCTATAGATTTCCCTGTTCTGGACATTTTATATGCATGAAAACATAGAATTTGTGGTCTTTTGTCAGTGGCTTCTTTGATTTGGCACAATACTACCACTAAAGGCTTGAACTACAGAATTCTCTAACCAAACTGGCTCTTTAGAGAGAAGGGACTGGATTCAGGATGGTGGATTGGGGCTGGGCGACCAAGGAGAGCCATTAGGAGGCCAGTGAGTAGCTGTTATGTGGTCATATGAGTGCTCAGTAAGGAAGATTTTGGCTGCAAGTAAGGAACACTGAACTACAAATGGCATAAATGACAAAGACATATTATCTTACTAACAGGAAATCTGGAAGTAGGTGGTTCTCGAGTTGGCCCAGGACTTACCAGTGTTGCCAAGGACCCAGCTCTTCCACCTTTCTCTTCACCATCTTAATGTACTGGTTTTTACACTCTGACCTTCCCCCTCATTGTTGGAAGATGCTGCTGCTCTTCAAGGAATCACCTCTTCATACAATTGCCTACAGAAACCTGAATCTCTGGCTTTTAAGGAAAGAAACTTTTTCCCAGTGCTCTACCCAAGAAACTTCCCTTCATGTGCCATTGGCCAGGATCATGCCACACATCCATGCCTTAGTTGCGAGGTAGGCTGAGCATGTGCCTATCTGCCATTGTCAGCCCCTATGGTGGGTGGTGAGCTGTGCCCAGCAAGAAGGAAGGAAGAGGTAGTGGCAATTGTGTAGGCTAACAACAGTGTTTGCCACAAGAGACAAAGAAGATCCAGGATAGTAGAGCATTCTTAGTCCAGCAAAGGACAGTATTTTTTGAAGATAAGAATGTGGTCAAATGGCACAGTGAAGATAAGAAAAACAGTAATCAATAAAAAGATAATGGGCCAGGTGCAGTGGCTCATGCCTGTAATCCCAGCACTTTGGGAGGCCAACGCAGGAGGATCACTTGAGCCCAGGAGTTCGAGACTGGCCTGGACAACACAGCAAGACCTCATCTCTACAAAAAGTTAAAAAATTAGCCAGGCATGGTGGTCCATGCCTGTGGTTCCAGCTACTCAGGAGGCTGAGGTGGGAGGATTGCTTGAGCCCTGAAGGTTGAGGTTGGAGTGAGCCATGATCACACCACTGCACTCCAGCCTGGGCAACAGAGCAAGACCCTGTCTCATAAACAAAAACAACAAAATTTTTTTGAGTTGTCTTAGTTTTTCTTATAAATTTGTCATAAGATGAAGTTTTAAAACCTCATATTCAATAGAAAACCAACAGTGCTTCCTATAAAGTGCCCATAATAATAAATACAAAAACAACAAAAGAATCTTACTAATTTCTAGTTAGACAGCATAGCCTACAGAAGACTCTAATCCTGAACCAAGCTCTCTACAAAAGGGTGAGATCCCAAGTGTCAAAGAGGCATTAAACACATGCACCACACAATTCAGTGTCCTCTAATGTCTGTCATAGACCATCTTAGCTCTGGGACCCCACAGTGCTGCTTATAATCTGTGCTGTTGACTCTAACTCCTGTATGACAAGCAAAGTCAAAAGAATCCCCTGTGTGCCTTGATGCTTGTTTCGGCGTGTGCCTGGAGTGAGGGATGAACGTCTTAAGCTTTGCCATCAGAAATTGCCATTTTTGTACATCAAAAAGGGTCTACAATTGTCATTTCTAATACAGTTCGGCCTAATCAACCACCAAAGATTTTAACATTGATTCTGGGGAGGCATGAGGGGATGGAAAATCTTTTAATTATATTTTATTATATTACTCTTATTTATGAACATGTATTATTTTTGAATCATTAACAATTCTAATTTTTAAAAAGTAAGGAACAAAAAGAGAGTGCTTAGTCTGAGCTGTCAAAAGCTGTGAATAAGCTGTAAGTCCCTGGGCAGGTCCCGTCATTTTTCTAGTCTAGGATTTCTTCACCTCGGCACTATCGACTTACTGGACCAGATAGTTGTGTTGGGGTCGGGGGGCTGTCCTGTGTATTATAGGATGTTTGGCAGCATCCCTGGCTTCTACCCACTGTTGACGGTATTACCCCCAAAATGACAATAAAAAAGTCTCCAGATGTTGCCAAACGTTTTCCAGGGGGCAAACGCACCCCTGGTTGAGAATCACTGCTCTTGTCCTCAGTTTCTCATCAATAAAAGGAAGCACAGAACCAAGTGCTTTAAGCTCACCTAAAGCACCAAATTCTCTGACTCCGTCAATGTCAAATCTGTAAATTTGTTTTCCAGAAGCTATTTTCCTCCAGAGCCACTAGAGGGGACACTCTGCTACACAAAGGACAAAAACAGAGCACTCAGGGAACTTTGTTTTCCTCTCCTCTTGACTTTGTTTCTGTTTCTGACCGCCCCAGCCTTAAATAAATAGTCTTTGATGTTGAGTGTGATAACCCCTTACCACGAAGCATGAAGAGTTGTTTGTCTTGTGCCTGGTGCCATAAAAGTCAGTGTTTTTAGATATGGCGGGGAGGGGAGGGCAAAATATTCTCTGCTTTTTAAACATTCTTTGTAAGGTAGTCAGATGAATCATGCCTCTAAAAAAAGATGTGCATTTCCATAAGCGGAGCCTGCAGGACAACCAGGCTGGGAGGTGGAAAATCTAGTTCTGTTCCTGGTCCTGCCACTTCTGGGCTGTGTGATGTTGGCCAAATTTCTTGACTTCTCTGGTTTTATATAGATAACAGAACTGAGGAAGCTGAGGCTGAGAAGTTAAGGTCACACAGTATGTTAAGTGGTCAAGCAAGGACTTGCGTCTGACCCATCAACTTCATAGAATAGTTGTGAAAACCAGAAGAGATGGAGAAAGTGAAAGAGTCTTGAAAAATAGAAAACCCCACAACAAGTTCAAGGTGTGAATGTGTAGATATTGTGGGAATGAGAGAAGGGGATGGCTATGGGGTAGCATGAGGGAGCAGGGTAGGTCCAGACAGCAAACAGAAGTTACTCCTTCTCCAAGTGTTGTAAATTACAGGAAAGAGCCTCAGTGCCCCCAAATACTTCACTACTGATGGAGCTTCATCCCTAGGACTTAAGGTCTCCATCCCTATAAAAGTGGACAGATCACTAAGAGGAGTTTACTTTATGCTCTGATGAGTTGTTTATACACCTCAGCGAAAGTGAGGGATCTACAACACTGGTTTTTAAACATTTTTTTAAAACCCTGAACCACAATAGAAAATATGTTTCACAGAGAGACCCAGCTCACATACATATTATAAAATCGAAACGAAAGTGTTAGTTATAATGTACTTGGATCTTTTCTATTGTTTTATTTTATTCTATCACTTGCAACCCATGCTGACCCACTAAATAATGAGTCCTGACCTGCACTTGAAGGTATTATACTAGAAGGTTTTGTGGAGGGGAAAGAGTTTAGGGTCCTGGAGCTGGTCTAGGGAGGAAACAGATGTGTCCTCCGAACAGTATTCAAGGATCCCTAAAGATGAACTTTTTACAAGTTTTATAGTTTTCCAAGGGCTGATTCTCTGAGGCGTGATTCAGGAGGAAGAAAAGAGAACAATAATTCCAAATTTGAATTCCCAAAATTCACCCAAATGAGTGAGGATGGGCCATTGGGTAGCAACCTCTAGACTGGATTCTCAGAGGTTATGATCTAAACCCCCCACATCATTAACATAAAATAGATAACATAAAATATAGATAGCATAAAATGACCACCAGCACAAAAAACATTTTTAATCCAACATTTATTGAGCCATTATTATATATCAGACATTGCACTAAGCACTTTACATGAGTGATAGGACATAAATTAAGTTTAAGTGTTCCCTGATTTTCTTCTCTTCCTGCCCACTAACAAGAGTTCTGGCTTTGTTTGTCCAATTTCTTTTTCTGCCCCAACAGAAGAAGAACTGGACAGAGCGGAAGGACCAGAGGAAGGCTGATTAGGACTGGAGAAAAGATTTCAGGGAGTTTGGGAGAAAGAAAGGGAGGCAGAAGCTATGGGGTGTAAGAGGCTTGGATAGGAGGGGAAAAGGATGCTGAGGGGAATTGAAGGGGCTCTTTGTGATGTTTGAGAAATGCAAGTATTAATATGAGTTAATTAGAAATTACTTTTGGTGACTAGACTGGGTTTCTTGGGCTGCAACCCTGCCCCCCACCCCAAGACTGCACCCTGTAGGTCATGGTCTGAATAGGGTTACATATGCATTATCTTATTTAATCTGCATAACAAACCCATGAGGTGGTATTAGTATTTCCTTTTTCTCAGATGAAGAAAAAGAACTTGAT
Organism: Homo sapiens; assembly: GCF_000001405.40. NCBI lineage: Eukaryota > Metazoa > Chordata > Mammalia > Primates > Hominidae > Homo > Homo sapiens. The sequence goes on from NC_000003.12 coordinate 141,363,027, forward strand.
ACAGTCTAAGTAACCTTACATTACATGCAGCTAATAAATAGTGAAACCAGGACTGGGACTTAAGACTTTTGATCATGAAAGCACAAGCTCTTAAGTCCGTGAGCATAGATGATTCCCAGTATAAACAATACCAGTTAATAAAATACTCGAGAATAAATTTAACAAAAGAATTGCAAGACTTGTACACTGAAAACAACAAAACATTGCTGAAATAAATCAAAGATCTAAATAAATGAGAAGGTTTCCTAGGTTTATGAATCAGATGACTGAATATTGCTAATATGGGATTACTCCCAAAATTGATCTGCAGGTACCATTTAACATCTATCAAAACCCCAGCTGTATTTTTTGCAGAAATTGAGAAGCTGATCCTAAAAATCATATGGCAATGCAAGGGATCCAGAATAGCCAAACGATTTTGAAAGAGAACAAAGTTGGTGGACTCACACTTCCTAATTTCCAAACATAATATGAAGCTATAGTAATCAAAACAGTGTGGTACTGACATGACAATAGATATCTAAATCAATGGAATAGAATTAAGAGTCCAAGAATAAATATTAATATTTATGGTCAGTTGATTTTTGACAAAGGGGCCAAGACAATTCAATAGAGGGAAAAATAAATAAACTCTTTATTTTAGAATAGTTTTTTAAATAAACTCTTTATTTTAGAATAGTTTTATATGTACAGAATTATTGTAAGAATAATCTTTTCAACAAATAGTTATGGGACAACCAGATAGCCACATGAAAAGAATGAATGTGGATCCCTACCTCACACCATAGGCAAAATTAACTTAAAGTGTATCATAGATCTAAATGTAAGAACTAAAACTATAAAACTCTCAGAAGAAAACTCAGGTGTAAATCTTCATGACCTTGGGTTAGATAATGTTTTCTCAAATATGATGCCAAAAGTACAAGTGATGAAAGAGAAGATTGATAAGTTGGACTTTATCAAAATTAAAAACTTTTATGCTTCAAATAACACCAACCAGAAAAGAAATGACAACCATAGACAGGGAGATAATATTGTAAAATATATATCTGGTAAGGGACTTTTGTCTGGGGTATATAAAGAATCCCTAAAACTCAAAAATTTAAAAAAAAAAATTAGGCCGAGTGTGGTGGCTCACGCCTGTAATCCCAGCACTTTGGGAGGCTGAGGCAGGCAGATCACCTGAGGTCGGGAGTTCAAGACCAGTTGGACTTCATCAAAATTAAAAATTTTTATGCTTCAAATAACACCAACCAGAAATGAAATGACAACCATAGACAGGGAGATAATATTGTAAAATATATCTGATAAGGGACTTGTGTCTGGGATATATAAAGAATCCCTAAAACTGAAAACTTTAAAAAAAAAATTTTAGTCCAGGTGGCTCACACCTGTAATCCCAGCACTTTGGGAGGCTGAGGCAGGGAGATCACCTGAGGTCGGGAGTTCAAGACCAGCCTGACCAACATAGAGAAACTCCATCTCTACTAAAAATACAAAATAAGCCAGGTGTGGTGGCACATGCCTGTAATCCCAGCTACTCGGGAGGCTGAGGCAGGAGAATCGCTTGAACCCGGGAGGTGGAAGTTGTGGTGAGCTGAGATTGTGCCATTGCACTCCAGCTGAGGCAATAAGAGGGAAACTACATCTAAAAAAAAAAAAAAAAAAAAAAAAAAAAAAAAAAGCCCAATTTGAAAGATAAAGGATTTGAATAGACAGTTCTCCAAAGAAGATATACAAGTGACCAATAAGCTCCTGAAAACACACTCAACATCATTAGTCATTTGTTAAATGCAGTTCAAAATCACAATGAGATATCACATTGTACCCACTAGGATGGCTATAATAAAAAAGACAGGCAATAACAGCATTGGTGAGGATGTGGGGAAATCAGAACCCTCATAAATTGCTAGTGAGAATGTAAAATGATGCAGCACTTTGGAAAACAGTTTGATAGTTTCTCAAAATGTTAAACATAGTACGATATCACTCAGCAATCCCACTCTTTTGTGTCTACCCAAGAGACATGAATGCATGTCCACAAAAAAAAAACTTGCACATGAATGTTCATAGCAACATTATTCATAACAGCCAAAAAGTGAAAACAACTCAAGTGTTCATCAACTGAGATTTGGATAAACAAAATGTTGTATACCCACACAGTGGAATATTATTTGGGCATAAAAAGGAAAGAAGTACTAAAGTATTCTATGCCTTAGTTCATTTGCTGTTGCTTAAACAGAACACTTGAACCTGGGTAATTTATAAAGAAAAGAAATTCACTTCTTACAGTTATGAAGGCTGAGAAGTCCAAAGTCTAGGGATCACATCTGGTGAGGACCTTCTTGCTGGTGCGGACTCTCTGCCAAGTCCCAAGGTGACACAGGACATTACATGGCAAGGTGGCTGAGAGTGCTAGCTCAGGTCCCTCTTCCTCTTCTTATAAAGCCACAAGTCTCTCTCTTGTGATAACCCATTAATCCATTAACCAATTAATCCATTAATCCATGAGTGGATTAACCACCTCTGAAAGACCCCACCTCTCAGTACTGCCATATTGGAGATTAAATTTCAACATGAGTTTTGGAGAGGACAAATATTTGAACCATATATTGTATGATTCCATTTGTAGAAAATGTCCAGAAGAGGAAAATCTATAGAGACAGAAACTAGATGAGTGGTCATCTAGGGCTGGTAGGTGGGGACAAATGAAGAATGATACCTAATAAGCATGGTGTTTTTTGGGGTGGTGACAAAAAGTGTTAAAAAAAAATAGATTACAAATTACATAATTCTGTAAATACACTAAAACCCATTGAATTGTACACTTTAAGTGAGTGAACTTTCTGATATGTAAATTATACCTTAATAATTTTTTTTAAAGAGAGGGAATAAAATGAGAGAAATCTAAGTCAACAAGTATAGACAAGTCTTCCAAGGAATTCCTTGCATTCATAAAGGTTTGGTTTTAATTACCAGCATTTAACTGCATTTGTTGTAGCAAAGGAGGAGGATGCTCCACTTCACGTAGAGACCAGGGAAGTGCCATTGTACTTACTTCTCTGTATCTCCAAGTGGATATTTTTCCCAGTTCTCTGATTTTATTTTCACTGTTAGTATCAACCCCAGAGCATATAACCCAAGAATCTGTGTCTCACTTAAGCTTACTGATCATTTCTGCTTCTTTTCTTTATTTTTCTGTTCACATTATCCTGATAGGATGCAGGGTGAAGAAATAATCAGCCTCTGTTCATCTTATTAGAGAAATAAATACCTGTGTATATGAAGCAAGCAAGGCCACTGAGTCTTTGGGGAAACAGAGCAGGGAGGTGCCCAGAGGCATTTTCTGCAGAGAAGGAAGAAAAGAATAAACAAGTCTTCTGCCAAAAATGCCTGGAACTTAAAGCGATTTCCTCAGCCCAAGATCAGGCTGTGTGCAGACACTGACAGTGAACCTGATCAGTTGCTGCTGCTCCCTTGATTAAAAGCATGTAGCTTTCTCTCTTGTGAAATTCACCTCTATAAATTCCACCTGCCTAGGGATTCAAACTACATGGAACAAGTGCAATTCCTCAGAGTGGCAACTGGCAGAGCTCCCAGGAACAAGGTAGAACTACACAATGTCCCAGGCATCAGAGGCATAGATTGCCTGAGTCAGGGAGAGTGGTCTCTGTGACCTGACACCCCACCCACAGTGGGAAGGAAAGCTGTGGGTGTGTTATCAAGGAGGCCTCCACAAGGGGCTGGAAATTCCTGGTTTTGTCTTCCTCTTGGAATGAGACATTTACTCTAAGAGAATCATGGAAAAGTACAAACCACAGAATCATAAACCACAGAGGGAGAAGCTACCTCGTAGGTCATTCTTATGCTGGGCCCAGATACCCCGATAAGCAGATGTTCTCTTCTCACCACCCCTCCTCGCCTTTGCTTGCCCACAGCCATTGCCAGGACTCTTCCTCAGGCCCAGAAAGGCAGCTGATTCCTGGTAGGAGGGCGCTAAGAGTAGAAAGTAACTACCATTGTCAGGTCCAGATCTGTTCCCAATCCCTTCTCACTCCTCCTGCACTCTAAAACCACACCACAGTTCCAACTCTTTCTGAGTCTGGAATCTTTGAGAGTGCCGTCATGTCCTTCTTCCTGTAGCCTTCTTGTCCACCCCAGATGGACTGACCCTCCCACCTACATCCATGAGGCCAGAAGGCAACAAAGACAAGCGTGGACTCTGGCTCCCGCCGAGGTACTCTGTACCCCGTGGCTCTCGGATTTTGCATCTACCACATGCCACAGGCTTGCGTCCATCCGACCTCCCTAGTTTCTCATCCCCACTTGAACCTGATGACTGATTCGCCCTCCTGGCTACGCTGAGTAAGCCACCCACTTGCCAAACCTCAGACCTGGTGTTGACGCAGTAAGAAGGCATGAGGCCCATGTTGCCAGAACATTCCTAATTGTTTCATTGTTTCCTTGTAGGATGTGGTTTCAAGTCCCATCTTTGTCTCTTTTCTCCTGGCCAGGTTGCCCTTGGTCAATATTCCTTCATTCACTCCAGCCACTCAGCACCGTGATTAAGAAAACAGGATGTGAGATTAGATGATCCAGGCTCTGCCATGAACTAACTAGCTGTGAGGCTTTAGAGAAGTGTCTTAACCTCTCTGAGCATCCATTTCTTTCTCTATAGCATTAGGAATATTAATAGTACCTACCTCACAGCTTTTTTGTTGTGATAATACCAATAAATGAAATAATCTTCATAAAGCACAGAGGCTTGAATGTTCACTCTAAGTATTTAATATGTGTCCTCTACTATTTTATTTTACAATTATCATTCCTTAATTCATCATATAATTACCAAGCCTCATGCCAGGCACTGAGATATAAATATCCCCTTTAAAGAGTGGTCATGTCTTAAATCCAGGAAGAGCTAGTTCATGTTGGCACCCAGGGTAGGGAGCGAAGCCCAGGGCCACAGCACAGAGGCAGAGGAGAATAGACACTGACCACCAGGAGCTGCCCGGGGATGGTGACAAAAGTGCCTTCCACCTTTCCGCATCTCTTTCAATACCACTGCAACTCCTTGAGTAAGGTGGGCACCACACAGAAGAAGGGGGATGGCAGAGGGGCAGTGAGAGGTCCCCAGGGAAACACCCTCTTCTTCTTCCCTGCTTCTCTGACAGAGCACGGCCATGCCTCTGCCATGCAGGAGGGTGATGTCCTTTGGGGAGGCCTTGTTGAATCTGTCTGGGGCTGTTCCGGAAGTAGGAAGGGCGGCTGGGGGTGGGGAGACGGCAGGAATGTTCTCCTGGCCTGCTGGTCTGTGCCGGCGAGTGTGCTGAGAGGAGGGCCTCTGGACATCAAAGGTTCCTTTTGTCCCCTTCCGAGTGGCAGGGCAGCCCGGCCCGGGCTGCTGGCGATGACTCAGGCCTGGCCCTGACGTCACCCACGCCCGGCCACTGGCCTCCCTCTGAAGCCAGGAAACTAGTTGGGGAGTGGCACTCGCAGCTGCAGCAAATCTCAAAATAAAGAGGCAACGGCCTTTCTCTTCCTCTCCATCTCCCTATAGCACACCTTTTATTTCTTTTCTTCTTTTTTTTAAGCCTCACGAAAGATTTTACTTGTAGATCAACTTTCAAAATGTAGGAAGTCAGAATGGGTGACATCATCAGAAAAATATGTGGAGCTGATCACAAGAAGTGAAGAACCCAGAGCACGAAAGCGGTTGTGACTCCTGGGCCCAGGGAGTTGACAGCGTCTGGGTTTCAGAGGAGCCAGCGCCTCCGAGTAAGTGAAGGCCCACTTTTGGCCCCCCCTCACTCAGCGCCCTTCACCGTAGGGCGCCATCTTGTTCCCTGACGCCTACAGCTTGCCAAGCCCCAGCCCAGAGTTGGGAGTAGGGACTGCATTTGGGAGACCCTCTAAATACGGCCCCAAAGGGATCTGATATCTCTCTCCACAGGATCAGAAAAGAATGCAAAAAAAAAAAAAAAAAACAATACTAAGACGGAAACCCTGGGGAGAACAGCCCAACTGATGCCTTTCCCTGTCAACCCTCTTGTTTTGCCTCCTCTTCCTCCCCTCACCTGAGTATTCCGTTTCAGGCTGTCAGAATGTTTGTTCAGAGTTCTGGATTGTTTGCTTCCTAGATCTTATACTGAGCGATCAGACATAAAAATAAACCCTGTTCTAGGCAAATACGTGTCCTGTGCCATCAAATGGTATTTTCACACTTAACCTGGTAAAATATGACAGCCCTGGTAAAAAGATGTACATAATTGTGCTGCCTTTACTGAGCACGTTTCTGATTGTTCTGTGTATGAACCTCCATTATCTTATCGCCCTGTTTACAGAGGACTTATTTTCATTCCTACTTGTGCCATCGTATCTGGGATGATATTAAGCACAAAGACACAATGTGTCTGTTTTAACTTTGTCTAAAAACTCATAGTTCTTTACAAAGCCTATAATTTCACGACCTCTGGAAGTTCCTACCCAAGAAAGTTAAGTTCCCAAGAGAAAAGTTTTGACACATACATGAGAACAGCACGTAGGCATAGAAATCATACCCTGATTTTCCCGGCTTCTAAGTCATCCCCTGAGTCAGCATCTAGTCTTCGTATAGCTGACGTACCAGGGGAGATCTGTTCTTCAGAAATTCTATGTTAAAATGACTGGGAGCGGGGAGGCGTAAGTCTCATTTTAAAGGCAGTAAGGAAGCTTGTCATTTACTGGAAAACAGTGGCATATTCCTTTGTAAATGGACAACTCCCTTTGGAAATTAACTATCACACACTAAAATATCTGTTTTATAGGCCTTATGTTTTACTTTTTGTTTTACTTTAATATATTAGGTTGTCTTGAAGTGAGGCTCTGCTGTAGTCCTGTTCTTCTGGCTCTAAGATCTGAATGTTGTGACCACTAATTTGGTAAGTGTCATTTGTCCCCAACAGCTACTTAAATTTAAGTCTCCCAATTCTCCTTTTTTAGTTTGTGGTAAGATTCAAAGAAAAGGGGAAAGGGCACAGAGATTTCTGTACACAATGATTACAGCTATATTAAAAAGGATATTAGGATAGGCTAATTGTTATAATAGAACCCCAAATCTATAATGGCTCAAACACAATAGTTTATTTCTTGCTCATGTAACAGTACAGGTCAGTGGGGCAACTGTCTTTCATGCATTCATTCAGAGACACAGGTAGAGAGGGGCTTTGCCTTCTGCAGCATGTGGTTTTCAAGGTCGCCTAGGGGTGTCTCCACTCCTCAGTGCAGTAAGAAAAGAGCATGAAAAAGTGCACATGGGAGTTTTTTATGGGCTCTGCCTAGAAGTGGTGCGTGTTACTTCTACTCACATTCCATTGGCTAAAACTCCATCACATGACCACAGCTAACCACAGAGGAGTCTGGGAAATGTAGTCCTTGGTGGAGCAGCCACTTAGCAGTGACAGCTCTGGAGGGGTTTCTGAAGAAGAGGTAGTTCTCTCTGGCACAGCACATAAAAGAAACTTGGAGATACTCAAGGATAAAGTTGCATAGAAACAGTGGGAGAAGTAAACAATTATCCACATTTAGGTTTTCCTGACTGACACTCTTAGGTAACATCTGGCCATGAGGGCAAGATGCAATGGATGAGATTTCTCAACACCTCTGTCCATTATGACCCTAAGCATCATGTTGCCCATGGCCAGTGAACCATGAAGGACATTTTCCTTATTTCCTTTTACTTATTTTTCCTCTCAGGATCCTCTTGGTCTAGGACTATACTGGCTTTCTCTTCTTCCTGGATCTAGTCATATTAGTTGGAATTGTGACAGAATTCTGCTCCCCCAACTATGAGCCCCAGTGGTCTATAGGAAAGCTCTTGACTTCCTTAGCTCGTAGTTTTCTCTGCTACTGGAGGCTTTGGAAATGTATCCTACAGGATCTGCTCCAGGTCTTGGGACATTTGATCAGGGTGAAAATTCCCGAAGGTTAGACCTTTAAACCAAGTTATTAAACTGTTTTTTCTTTTCTTTTCTTTCTTTCTTTTTTTTTTTTTTTTTTTTTTTTTTGAGGCAGAGTCTCACTCTGTTGCCAGGCTGGAGTGCATCGGCATGATCTCAGTTCACTGCAACCTCTGCCTCCCAGGTTCAAGTGATTCTACTGCCTCAGCCTCCTGAGTAGCTGGGACTGCAGGCACGCACCACCACACCCAGCTAATTTTTGTATTTTTAGTAGAGATGGGGTTTCACCATGTTGGCCAGGATGGTCTCCATCTCTTGACCTCGTGATCTGCCGGCCTTGGCCTGCCAAAGTGCTGAGATTACAGACATGAGCCATAGCGCCCAGCCGAGAAACTTTTTTTTTCTTTGAGACAGGGTTTCACTCTGTCACCCAGGCTGGAGTGCAGTGGCACGATCATGGCTCACTGCAGCCTCAACTTCTCAGGCTCAAGCGATCCTCCCAAGTAGCTGAGACTACAGGCATGTGTCACCATGCCTGGCTAATTTTTGTATTTTTTGTAGAAACAAGGTTTCACCATGTTGCCCAGGCTGGTCTTGAACTCCTGGGCTCAAGCAATCCACCACCCACCTTGGCCTCCCAAAGTGCTAGGATAACAGGCATGAGCCACCGGGCCCAGCCGAGAAACATTTAAAAGTAGACTAAAAAGTCTCAGGCTGGGGCTATTAATGCTACCCCAAAAGATGTGATATATATGTCTAGCTTTTTATTTTCAGGAAAAGTTTCAAAACATTTACTGAAATAATAAGTGGTAAAGTTGTAAGCTCTGTTTGGAGAACTTTTAATAAGTTTAACATTTTATGTAACCTTCTAACCATTGTTGATGTTGGTGAAGTATTCCCCTCATTCGTAAATATAAACCATATGATGGGTGCCTTGTGATGCCCCAGACTTAAAGGTGTGAAATAAAAATGAACTCAAGTCTTTGCCTGAGGTGCCTGGTACCTAGTTCTCTAGTTTTGTCAATATCTGACTAAACACTCTGGTTTCTGATTGACTTTTGCCCCTGGACTTGACCTTTCTGGCACCCACATCCACACCCTGAAGAGCATGTATTGTCTGTTGTGTGGGGATACCTGTTACTGGCCAATTTGCCACAGCTTCTCAGATATCTGACAGAGGCTGATGCCTGGCCTACTCTCCTGTTATGGCTGCCTAGCCTCTGCCCAGTCCCCTTACATTAGGATGGAGCTGAGGAGGAATGGAATAGAATAACAAGATGAGTTGCTGCAAAAATACTTCAGCCTCTGAAAGTCTGTCTTTCCAAGTTGTTAGGAACTGAAAGTGTCTATTGATCGGGGAGCTGGCTGGGCTAGTGGTATAAGCTAATGATAAGACCAGGTTGGGCTGGGCATGGTGGCTCATGCCTATAATCCCTGCACTTTGGGAGGCCGAGGCAGGTGGATCACTTGAGGTCAGGAGTTCAAGACCAGCCTGACCAACATGGTGAAACCCCATCTCTACTAAAAAAAAATACAAAATTAGCCGAGCAGGGTGGCGCACACCTATAATCCCAGCTACTTGGGAGGCTGAGGCAGGGGAATTGCTTGAACCTGGGAGGCAGAGGTTGCAGTGAACCGAGATCACACCACAGGACTCCGGCCTGGGCAACAAGAGAGAAACTCCATCTCCAAAAAAAAAAAAAAAGACCAGGTGAATGGGGAATACAGTGCCTGCTAGAAGGGTGCAGTTGAAGGAATAAGTTAAGAATATGTGCCAGATTTCAAAAGCTGGAGCCAAATGGGGATGATGTGTTGCTGGAAGTCCTAGCCTAACAGAGTCTTTCAGGAAGGGCAGAGCCAAAGGTCTCAGTCAACATCAGGGTCCATTCATGTGGGAGAATGGCTAATCACAGCTTGCTAATTTCAACTACCATCTGTTATGACTCCTCAAAGCACTAAGTATGCAGTAGTTGACATATGAATGGTGTTAGGGTTGGGGGAGGGGGCCAGCCTCCTGATTTCTAATTTCTAGCTGCATATTACTACAGGAAGGGGAGTAAGACCACCACATCAGGTACCAGAATTTCACTACTGTCAACACTTTGTGTTTGAAAGAAAGCCATAGATCCCTGTGACCACTGGATGCTGAGTGACCTCACAGACAACATCAGCAAAGCAGGATTGTGTACAAACACACATTTTGTAAATATTTTGATATTTGACATTTCAAAAAAAGCATCAAAGGAGACAGCCTGGGAAAAGTTAGACTTTGTTGAGCTTTCTCAACCTTAATTTTGTATTTTGTTATTTTTTTCTATTTTAATTTCACATGGGAGTAATAATTCAAATTTGAGGCACTATAGTCTTTTCAGAGCTTAGGTCATCTAAAGATCTGAGCCTGGCCTTGTTGAGCCATGATGAGCAGATGTGGACTGAGCACACAGTCTCACACAGGCAGCTCTTACACTAGTTGAGTATTTTAATCCCTGAGGTTTTAGAATTGTCATAGCACAGGTGTGCAAGCTCCTTTCTCCCCATGGGTCAGCATCATGAATGTTCTGTCACTCTCCTTAGAGAGTTTTGCAGAAATACCACATCATATTCACCAAAACTAAGAATTCATAGTAATAGGGCTTTATAATTTCTCACACTGAAATCCCCTAATTTCTTGTCAAGAACCAAGTTGGAAAATACCACACTTCAGGGTTTTGTTTTTAACTCAAGAAGCTTCTGGTTTTCATCAGAACTTTAAAGCTCCCTCCTACCTCCAAAATAGTATTGTTAGAAAATGTAATGCTGAGACTCTGTCAGAATAAGTAGGTGATATATGCAAAATGATATGGGCAACTTAGAAAAGTGCATGTCAAGGTAAACTGCTGATAAAGGCCGGGAGTGGTGGCTCACACCGGAAATCCCAGCACTTTGGGAGGCTGAGGTGCGCAGATTGCTTGAGGCCAGGAGTTCAAGACCAGCCCAGCCAAAATCGTGAAGCCCTGCCTCTACTAAAAATACAAAAATTAGCTGGGCTTGGTGGCACATGCCTGTAATCCCAGCTTCTTGGGAGGCTGAGGTATGAGAATTGGTTGAACCCAGGAGGCGGAGGTTGTGGTGAGCCACGACTGGGCCACTGTACTCCAGCCTAGGCAACAGAGGAAAAAAAAAAAAAAGTGTTGATAAAAAATAATCATCATAATTATGGTCAGTATTGGTGCTTTGACTTTTGATATTGTTATTATCATTATTTTAAAGATTTTTTTGTCTTTCTAAATTGACTTTCATCTGGGAGCCTTAGCATCACTTCTAACTAGCCAAAGCATGTTTGATTGTAGGCCAGACTCCCCATGGAGAGGCTTCTGATCTTATTCACAGGGACATTTAACCTGGGGTTCACTGAAACCTTTGAGGAATGATGGATGAGTCATCTCTCTGCCAAAAGAAGATGATTCCTGGCATTCTATGGGGCTCCCAGTGCATTGGGATAAGGAGGCTTGGAAACTCCTCCACGGAGGCATTGACCTTGGGTAGTGCCTTCCAAGCCAGAGTGGAGAGAGTGGACCCCTCATCTTTGTCCAAAAGAGCATTAGTATAACCCCTCACCCCAACCCCACCCCATTCTCTCCTTTTTAAAAAGAGAGAAGAATATATACAAGAAAAAAATTGGAAAAAATACATCAAAATGTTAAAAATTGTTGAGATGGTATTTTATGTGGTGTTTTGCCCCCATTTAACATTATGTTGTAAACATTTTACCAAATCACTAGATGGTCTTTGAAAACATGATTTTTAATGGCTCTATTTCCATTGCACTGATACATTTTAATGTATCAGTTTTTTGTTGTTGGACATTTTGATTCACTTTAGTGTTCTACTATTTTTAAAGTTTCTAATGCATATTGGTGAATTGGCCCCTAGAAAGGTACGAATGTCTATTTCAAAACCTTGGTCTTTTTTAGTTTCTCACATTAAAATGCATGCTGCTAGGCCCCAGTGGTATTGGAAGCTCTGAGGAGGAGCCTGGGGATATGCATTTTAACCTGCCCTCCCAATTCTTCTGCATTAATGCCTGAGAACTATTGACATGCTGCATTCAGTTCAACAAATATTCAGTTGGCAAACATTTATTAGACAAAAAAAATTAGGAAACTCTGAGCTAGTATGTCTATGCCAGAATTTAACTTAAAGTCTTTTTTTGGCTTCTGATTTTTAGATTTTCCTTTAACTGTAATATGATGTAGTAAAAAGATTATTAGCTAGGGAATCAAGAAACCATATTGTACACATGAAATCACTGAGGCCCATAATGGTTCATTTACTTCCTGGTGGTCACTCAGAGATTTAATGGCAAAGGTTGAACTAGACAAAGGGCCCAGAGTCACCCAACCTTTAGGTAAGAGACAAAAGGCGCCAATGAGAAGATTCACTCCTGAGGCAACGCCCTGCCTCAGCCAAGGAGCTCTTACCTGCCCTCAGATAGGCATGCCCGTACTTCAAGACACTCTTGGGCAGCCTAGACCTAGCAAGGGGCCCACGTGCCCATCTTGGTCACCTAATGGGGCCAGACTGTGGTGTGCCCTGATCCCTGAGGTGGTAGCACTGAAGAAGCTGGACCCAGGAGGACAGAGGGCAGCCGTGCAGGCAGCATCCATGTGATCAGCATCACAAGAGCAGAGTAGGAGGTGGGATCTGGGGTCAGAAACCAAGACAGCGGAGCAGGGTCAGGGCAAGTGCCAGACTAAAATATGTGGGCAAATTTGAGGTCAAGGCAGGGATGAGTTGAAAGGAAGACAAGCAAGAGCTAGAGGGGAACTGCTGAGGATTTGGCCTCAAGGATGGAGTCCCACTGTGTGACCTCACAGTCAGGGGAGGTACCTGCCCCAAGCCGTGCCTGCCTTTTTAAATCTGAAAGGTGCTGTGTGCTGGGCTGCCTTCTGACAGCAGGAGAGTAGGAGCACAGCCTGAGAGGCGGCAGGCCAGAGCAGGAGGAACCTGAAAATGGAAATTTAGGAAACAATGGAAAAAACAATTATAGCAACAAAAAACCATTTTCTTTAAACTCTCACCATCCTCTAAGAGGAAGTCTGACTATTCATCCTGCCTGCATAACCCTGCTGAAACCCATCAACCCACACCCACTGATCACCTGACAGTGTCTGACTGCCCGGCTTCCTCTCATCCCACCACCTCAATTTCCAGAGCCCACCAAGGCATCACTTGACTTTCAAGTTCTGCCTGGACAGACTGCTCAGCTCCCTACCCGCCCCAGTTCACGTTCAGGTTCTTGAAATCAACTTTAGTTTCCTCCATGCCTACATCTATGCTGATCCCCTGCAAAGGCACCTGGTGACACACAAGAGCCAGAACCCAAAGGAGCTCCTCCACAGGATCCTCCCAGGGCTTAGCCACCAGGGAATTTTGTTGATGATCCCCAAGCTTCACTGCCCCATGCAAGTCTCCATTATCTCAAGGTTATCCCTGTTCAGGATCACTACTCTCCTGATTCTTGGCCTCCTAGTCCAAACTCATGGCTCCAGGGTCATGATGAGTAAGAGTTCTGGAAAAGTCTACAACCTCCCTTGAACCAGAGGTACCTTGAATCAGATGGAGGGTGACTTTCCAAGAATGCCTGGGCCGGTTCAAGTCTTCACTATAATGTTTGCCTTATGTAAAACCCATCACCTTGTTGTCCTGCACAACTTTCTTGAGTGAAGCACCTCTGATACTCAGATGACATTCTAATTGCTCACGAGACCTGGACCCCTGGGCCAGGAAAGCCCATGTGGTGGTGACAGCAGTGCTTCCAAATCTCACCCACAGGAGACAAAAATAGGAGTTCCATGGCATCCAGACAAGGTGTCCACATGCTGCTGGAGAGTCTTGGGTGGTCACAGAGTACAAAGTTCAAGGGCAAAGATTGTTCAGTGGGTCCCAAGATTTGACAAGTGCTACTGGTGGTCCCACCCTTGCCTCTCTACATTGATTCCATGTCCCACTTCCTCTCACACTATGCTGATAACGATCTAACCTGAGAAATTAAAAGTATTCACACAGCCTCTGGCCAAAGCTACAGGAAGACCCTGGCCCAGGCAAACTCTGTTCCTGCCCCACAGCTGTCATTTCACCTGCCCTACCCCATGGGAGCATGTACCACTGGTATCAAGTCTTCCTGCTGGGCCAAGAGGCACTGCCTCAAAGAGGCCCAGCATCCCCAGATAGCAATGTCCCACCACTGCAGTCAGGAGCAACTGGGCAAACCCAAAGACTCAGCCCCCCCATCCAGAAAGACCATCCCATTTTCCATCGCCTAAGTGCCAGACAGCCCAAACTGCTGTGTAGACAGCTACCAGGAAAACTGGAGCAATGAGAGACATCTGAGGTCACCCCAGCTAAGCTCAGAAGGCCACAGAGCTTAACTGCCTTCTTGACTGTGGCCCATCAAAAGGAGCCCGACACATCTAGTAGATGGCTTAAATAAAAAATACTGAGGTTACCAAATGCTGGCAAACATGTGGGGACACTGGATCTCTCCTACATTGCCTGTAGGAATGTAAAATGGTACAGCCACTCTAGGAAACTGTTTGGCAGTTTCTTATAAAAGTTAAACATATACTTACCACGTGATCCAGCAATCCTACTCATGGGTATTTACACAAGAGAAATGAAAACTTATGTTCACGCAATAAACTTTACATGAACATTTATAGCAGCTTTATTTGTAATACCTAAAAACTGGAAAATAGCCAAATGTTTTTCAGCAAGTTAGTGGGTAACACACTGGTACATCCACACCTTGAAATACTATTCAGCAATAAAAAGGCATGTGCTCTTTACATACAATTCAAATGGATCACAAGGGCATTATGCTGAAAGCCAATCTCAAAGAGTTATATGCTACATGATTCCATTTAGAGAACGTTCTTGGACTGACAAAATCACAGTGATAGGCCATGCACGGTGGCTCATGCTTGTAATCCCAGCACTTTGGGAGGCTGAGGCAGGAGTGCCCAGGAGTTCGAGACCAGCCAGGGTAACACAGGGAGACCCGCATCTCTACAAAAATTTACAAAACTAGCGGGATATGTGGGCGTGCACCTGTGGTCTCAGCTACTTGAGAGGCTGAGATGGGAAGACTGCTTGAGCCCAGGAGTTTGAGGCTGCAGTAAGCCATGATTTTGCCATTGCACCCCCAGCCTGGGTGACAGAGCGAGACCCTGTCTCAACAAGCAAAAAAAAAAAAAAATTACAGTGATAGAGAACAGATCAGTGGTTGTCAGGATGGGTGTGATTATCAGAGGAGGAGCACAGGGAACTGTGGTGGTGACTATTCTCTATTCTGATGGTGATGGTCATCACTCCAGCCTGCACATGTGATACGTTGCATAGAACTGTAGACATACAGGTACACACACACACACACAGAGTGCATGTAAAAACTGGTAAAATCACATAAGACTGTATCTGCGTTTATTTGAACTATACCAGCATCTGTTTCTTGGTTTAGCCCAAGTACTACAGCGATGTAAGACAACACTGGGGGAAGGTGGAGAAAGTAGACACTGTATAACTTCTTGTACGTCTTATGCTATTTCACAAAAAAGGTATTAAAACTTTTTAAAAGTTGTTAAAACTATGTTTAAAACAGGGTTCTCCCACCTTGAGGAGGGGGATTTATCCCCTGGCTTCCCCTTTATGAGCAACTCCTACTATTTATTTTGCCGCCTTCTAACTTGTGGTTTGAAGTCTACAATGTCCTGCTGGCTTTGGCCGCACCCTCTGCTTCTCAGAGACTGACAGCCCATCTCGGATGGAATCAAAGCTCAAGTATGCCAGCAATGAATGTGAATGTGCCCCATTTACCCCTCCCTGAGACCATAACTTCAAAGCTAGGTAGATTCAGATCTAAGAAATGGTCTCATGGTGAAAATCAAGGACAAATCATCCTTCTCGCCCCTGTGCAGTAATTTCTTTTCTGGAATGGCTCTTTGCTCTGCTCTTCATACAGATTACACTCTTCACCTTCACCAAATGGGCCCTCCTTTAATGGAAGGAGATTAACCCTTCTTTGCCCCCTTTCAATCTCATTCAGCTGAGGGCTTTCTTTTAACAGCGCTGCTGTCTCTGGGCCTTGTGCCACAGCTGAATGCTACAGAGTGAGATGGCTGCCTTCTCTTTGAAGCATTTACGTCCCTGTCAAATACCTTTTTGCCAGACTTGGCCCTGGAAAGACAGTTTTGAAATTAAATTTATTGTGAGCTGCCTGGGTTGGCAGTATGGAATTGCACAAGGCCATGGGCATTTAGGTCAAGAGGGACTTGCTGCACTCACCACCTTGGGAGCCCTATCTTAATGAAACTCGAGCTGTATTTACTCCCAGGTTCTGCAGAGGAGTCCCCAGCATCACCTAAGATGGAGGCTGAGCATATGGGCTGAAGTCTATGCGGCATCCTGTCCGGATGTGACAATACACTCACAATCCACTGCTACCCCAGGACTGGCCTCAGCCTCCAGCTTCCAACTGTGCCTTAGTTATTAGAGGGACTCAACTCAAGAGACCATGATGAGAGGGACAGCGGTGCTCATTTCTCGGGCCTGGCTGTGAGTTGGCAACCAGGATCGTGTGCTAGAAAGGTGACAATTTTAATCGCTGACTTTCCGTAGTCGTTGGTGAATCTCGTAGTTTTGCACCTTTTAGTTTCAAAACCATACTGAACAACGGAAAATGAAACCTGCAGCTTATTTTTAGCCGTTCATGCTAAATCATGAGATTTTTCTTTGCAAACCAAAGAGGATAAAGGCTACTTCAGCAGGCTAAACTTAGTCAATTGACTTAATATAGCAATCAAGTCTGGTTCTCTGACAAGTCTCAAGTGACATTGAGAAGTTTCAGGTGATATTTTGGCCAACATTGACTATTTTGCTTAAAATTATATTTAGTTGAGTTTTGTTTTTAGTTAAACAAATGTAGTATGATATTTTCATCTGAGAGGAATTGGAAAACATATTATAAACCCTCCATTCTGTCATTTAGTCATTAATTCAATTAACCTATAACTATTTTTAAGTATCTGACAGCTTAGAATTTTTTTTAATTGAGTCAGTGTGTTGAATTACAAAGAGCAGAATGCTAGAAATTAAGGAATATGGCTTCTATGCTCATTGATGAGGCATTTATGTAAATATGACACTTACTCTCTTTGAACCTAATTTTCTTCTCCCTCAAAGAAATGGTTTAGATGGCATTTTCTAAAGCGTCTTCCTTGTCCTTTAATTCTGTGAAACACGCTCTGCCACTGAGGGCCTGAGGAAATGTTGAGGTATTCTTTGGGGGCTGTGGCAGTGTTGTCAGGCCACTCTTATTTCTGTCTCCTCTTTCCCTGTTCTAGGAGAGACAGGTTTACACAAAGCACTGTGGTCTGCTTGCCAGACAACTTGTGGCTCCCCTTGGTAAACAAGTGATTAAGTGCTTGAAAGATTTTCATAGAGATTTTCAGCCCCCAAGCCCATTCCTTAACTCCTGAAGCAAGTACTTTAACTTTAGGAAGTGGCTTCATGATACAAAGCTGAGGATCCCACTGGTAGTGGTAGAGAAAGGACTCCGGAGTTTGATGTTGGTGAGTCCAAAACATCCTCAGTGAGCCTCTCCATGGTGTTAGGAAATGCTCTAGTGCCCTGGAAGATACAAAGATCTTGCAGGAAGCAAGCCAGAGACGTGGGCTTAGGTAGATAATTCAATACAACCAAAATGCATTGTGTTTTTTTCTTTAGTCGAAAGGAGTTAAAGACTCACTGAGGTTTGTTAAGCTTCTCTGACTGAGAAGAGGTGCATTGTTGTGGCCCTTTCTGAGCTGCAATGTCATGTATCTGAGAGAAGAGAAAGCAAGTAAATTTATTCCCAGGTTTAAGTCTTGAAATATTTGTTGCCCAGGGTGTGAAGAAAGATATAAAGAGAAGATTATGCTCTCACATGAGGTGGATTTTTATGGATCTGTAAGAATTCTTACTTTTTTACCTTCATTTATATCCCCACCTTCCCTTTTCAGCCTAGTTGCCAGTCTCTCCAAAAAGATGAAACTCTACTTCCTTGCTGAATGTGTTTTGCCAATTCAGAATCTAGAAGGCCCTGTTGTTTCACTTGCTCTCCATCTGGTGCGTGACAAGCAGTCATGGCAGAAAATGAGCATGTGATTGGGTAGTAGGAATGGGCACTCAAGGTCATTACTCATGCCATGTTTCAAATGCACTGATGCACTGAGAAATGAAAGCAGCAACTATTCAGTTGCTAAAGCCGAGGTAGTGATTTCCATAATGGTGGTGACACCTGTTGAGGATGCTCCCACCAGAGGATTTGAGTTGGGTTAGGATGGGTTGAGATGTTGTCTACCACAGTCTGCCTTGCAGCCTATGTCATTTGCCACTTTTCCTTTGTTAAAAAACACATGGTTTACAGTTCCCTTTTCCTTCCAGCTCTTTCCTGGAGAGTAACCCCAGTTTGGTCCACAAGGCTTGCTGCCCAATCTTTGCCAACAGGTATGTACTCCTTTCTCATGTCCTACACAGATGCTAATGGATGGACGTGAGGATGCTCATGTCTAAGAACTGGAGAAGGTTTCCTGGAGTTCAGAATCCTCAAGCATATCATTCACCCAACCCTTCATTCTACTACCTATGAGCGTTGAGCAAGATAGTCTTCCTCTCCTATTCCCAGGTAGGGTGGAGCTGGTGGATTAGAAAGCCCCCTTTGAGAGCCATCTTGTTGGCATATACAATTACTGCAAATGAAGCAGGATAGTCAGCTGGCCACCTACACCAGAAGACAGGAGACTTGGAGTCCAGCTCTTGGCCTACTTGACCTAGAAAACAAGCTGGGCTTGATTTTTTAGAATCACAAACTTTTAGAACTGGAAGGGACCTGAGACAGAGGCAAAATGAACAGATGTTAACAAACAGAGTCATTAAAATGATTTTAGTGTTTAAATCATTTTAATGATAAAATAAAGCAGTAAATTTGGTTGAGGAAAATCTCTTACTTCAAAATTAGGCTTTTTAAAATTCCATTTAAAAATATGTTGGAAAAAAATCATAATAGCTACTTAGGTTATCTGTTCAGGAGAAAAATACTATTTGTGAGTTGAAAGTAGGTCAGTTTTAGCCGGGCACAGTGTTATGAGCCTATAATCCTAGCTACTCAGGAGGCTGAGGCGGGAGAATCGACTGAGAGTTCAAGTCCCACCTGGGCAACATAGCGAGACTCTGTCTCAAGAGAACCCAAAACCAAACAAACAAAAGAGAACAGGCTACTCTGATTGTTACACTGATTTTTCTTTAACTGATCATTTAGAGTAGAACACTCTAACAACCTGATAACAAATTTATTCACAAATGCTGAATACATTGGGTGTAAAAGGAAACTAGCTATAATTTTTAATATAGTGAAAGGCTGCATTAATAATAAACTCACTTATGAAGTGTGTGATCTTGGGCAAATCGTTGTATCTCTCTCGGCCTGTTTGGTCACCTGTGAGAGGGAAAAAACTAGACTCCACTAGGTTTTAATAAATACATTTCAAGTGGAAATGTATTTATTAAAATAAACATTCCATCTGAAATATATTTATGTCATTTATTTTCATTTATTTTGCCTCATAAAATATTTTTTGAATTATGGCAAATCTCCCACTAAAATATTTACTCTGCTTTCTACACTTAACTTTCCAACATGGTCCATCTGATTCCTCCTCTTTCATTGTGTCTTTTCCACCTGCTGGGCCCAGCCTGTCTCCAGCTGGTGGCATCCTAGGTTCCCACAGTTCCCAGGGCCTGGAGGGTAGAGGCTGATTCATATGAACAGAGGTAGTCAGGGCTCCAAGGAGATAGAGTCCTCTACCAGGTGTCTGCACAATAATAAGATTACTGACATCAGGGATGGAGTGTGGACGTAGGAGGAAGTTTTATCCTCTTAGGACTGGTGGAAAGACGTAGACTTTGCAATCAATCAAACTTAGGTTTGAATCCTAAGTCTGCTATTTACTGTGTGTAATCTCTATTAGTTCCTCACCTAAAATTGAAGGTACTCAGTTTGCAGGATTATTGGGTTAGAATGAAATAAACATTGGACGTGTAGCTAAAATATTGAGTATGTAGTAGGTTCTCCATAAGGGCAGCTAGTGTAGACTTTTTAGCTCTGATCAATGTGGAAGGCAGAAGTTCCTGCCCAGGTCTCTAGGCAAGATGTAGATGTTCAAAGTAGCTTTGAACTTTCTCAAAAATCCAAAGGCATTTTTGGTCATTTGTAAATTAAATCACCATGTTGTTTCCAGGACTAAATACGCTATAGACAGATGTAATAACCAACCTCATTAAAAAATCTTAAACTTTTTAAATATTAAGAATTTAAACAAAAGTGTATTTGGTAAACACTTTTATTTTTCTTTTAATTTCAATTGGAATAGCCTAACCTGACAACAATGTACCCACAAATGTTGACTACCTCTATTAGGTGTAAAAAGAACCCAGCTGTAATGTTTAATGTGGTGAATGGCATAAAGGAACATGCAAACTGATCCAAATGTTTATAAACCAAGTATTCCTCTGGGACTCAGTGCCCTGACTTTATGTTTTTTAAAACATAGAGAGTCAAGCTTTGTTCATACTTGAATTATGTACATTGCATTAGCCGTGCAATTTAACTTTAACCCACAGGACTGCAAAGAAAATTAGCTCAGCCTGCAGAACAACGAGACCACGAGCAAGTAAGCACGTTAATCAAAGTGAAAGGCTCACCCCTCACGTCTAGCTCCGTCCTTCTCCAGCCTGTGCCTGCCAGATTATTTCGGGTTCCTCGTGTTTGACTCGTCAAAGTGGCAGAAACAGGCTAAAATGTTCACTGTGGAAAAGGGATTTGCCTTTTAAATTAATGTTTGTGCACATGCCCCGAGGAGGCTGATGAGAAGCACGCAATTTTTTTAAATCATAAGTGAATGCATACCCTTGCCACTAGTAATCATGACAAAGCTTAAGTAATTCAGGCATGGGCATGGTTTTCTGAAAGTATAAAACAGGATTTACTAGTTGAGAATGTCTGCCTAAACAAGCTCATTGCTTTGAATATTTTCAACTATAGTTCACATTTGTTTAACCCGAGCAGGTCTGGTAAACGTACCACGTTTACTGATTGAGTGTCTTGGAACATCACAAAATAAACCAATACATGGCTTTTAGGCTAGTTTTGACAGAGGGTGGACAGAGAACCCCACAGGGGGTTTGGAAACTGCCCTGGCATCTGGCTTACAAGTACCAGTAGGGGACCTGACCACATTCACCACCCTTCCCTGTAAAGGGAATAGAACACTATTTACTCATCTCCTGGGAGCCTAATATGGATTACTGTTGTTGTCACTGTCATTTATTATTCCCGACAGAGGAGGCAGATGACTTAGTTCTATGTGGTCAGAGTTGATTCCATAACATGTATATTTAGCCTACATGATAATAATTTGCGAGTATTTTTAAATGAATGTCTAGCTTTCAAACGTCATTGATGGGGAATATCTCAACAGACATGAAGAGCATTCAATGCCTAGGTGTTTGCGTCAACCTCCTCCCACCCCACTCTAAGGACTCTGCTTCACAGATGACCGTATATTGAATTGGTGCCTTATAACTCAGCGTGATCATCTCTCTAATTCTCGACCCCCATGGTAAAGGAGGAATTGGCCTAAGGACACTCCATTCTAATTTTCTGACGCTGTCAATGCTAACCAGAGCTCATAGAGCAATGATGTGGGGGTGGGGAAGATGGTTCCACCATTGGTGTGAGACCAGGAGCTACTGTTTTCGTTAGAGCCACATTTATTTCTGGAGTAGTTGTGGGAGAGAGATGTACTCCAAAGAGAAGAGGACTCTTGCTATGGTTCAGGTATGACCCACCATCTGGACAACTCAACTCAGAGACTTTAAAGTGTATAGGATATAGGAGGGCAGGGTACATTCCATACACTAAGCTAAAAATCACTTATGCTCTGGGGCAGGAGATAGCATGAGAGCTAGAAACAAAAGATCCAGTTGTGAAACCTAGTACCTCAGCTAAGGTGTTTGAACATATTTTCTCTTTTAAAAAAATTCTGGGGAGCTTCAATGTGTTGCTAACCTGATTATTTTCAGCCAGTCCTTACAGAAGATTGAGGTGCTGGAAAACTAGCAACCCCAGAAAATATTAATTCATTTTTGCAAGCGTTAAAATTAACAACAGCATATTCAGTGATGCAATAGGCAATTAAAGACTTTTGGAGAGATAAGAAGAAGAAAACTATAAATATTATATATTCAAAATCAGTCTCAGCATTTTATAAAAATGTTGGCTTATGTCCAGGATCTAAGGGTGGGGGTGGGTATGGTTTCTTTGTAGCTATAGAGTGGAAAAGAATCTGTTCTATTTCCTTAAAAATAAAAGACTTCTTGTTTTATACAGCATGGCAAATAAAATGCTTTTTTGTTTTTTTACCTGCCGGCAGGATCTGGAGGAAATTTTGCTAGCAAGCTATGCTGTTTTCCTCTTTGGGGACCTGGTGACACTGGTTTTGCAGCAAAACCGTATTTGCTTATTAGGCATTTCTTAAAAATCCTGAATAAGCAGCTCTTTCAACAGTTTTTGTTCCACATGTTAAACATTTCATTGCAATTCGAGCTTTGAGTGTGTGTGTGTGTGTGTGTGTGTGTGTGTGCGCGTGTGTTGATAGGAAGGAATGAAAGGGGGTGCATAAGAATTCTTGAATGTTTTTTATTTAAAAAATTAATTCCTCACCATTACATATTGAACTATCTGCAGAAGGTGATTCCAATTTATTACATACCACCAAACTAGATCCCATCAATCTTGAGCAGTGGGGGTAGGGAGGTGGTTTTGAAGATGACATGAAATTTGGTGTTTGAGTAGATGAGATTTAATTTTCGGAAAACATTTCACTCATAAAACGGATATCAACCCAGTGTCAGCACTGACCTCCTGATGTCAATGTCATCATGCAAGCATAGCTAAAATAAGCCTCAAAGTAAAACAAAGAAACATTGCATCTCAGCACAACACGATTTCTTCTCTTACAGTATGTACTATCTATAGCCTTTTGGTATTCCTATTAATGGCTTGTTACTTTAAAATTTAGCTTTTGGAGGGGGAGGGAGAAGATAAATCATTTTGCATTTTCTGTGTTCTGAACGCATACAGTATGCTGCTGTAAGTCTTAGTATTATTTAGGTCAGTATCCTAAGGATAGCTTTAATCGTTCATGATGGTCAGCTATACAGCCAGAGGAATTCAGCATCAATTTATTTTTCTGTTCTGATTTTATTCTGCTTCCAAGTTTTAAAAAATCCATTCACATTTTAATAAAATTCTGAGGCGGTATCTGCCGCTCTGTACTGCAGATACATTTAGCAGGATACATTTACACTGCTTGTGGTTAAAGGTTATAGCACGGATACAGACAGCTGATCATGCATTTTTCTACAAGCCTGCCGGCACCATTTAGGATTTTGAAAAATAATCTAGAAATGCTATACCCTTTATCAAAATTATTTTTTACTTTGCAAGAGCTTAACAGTTTTGGTTTTTTCTTAGCAATTCTATAAAATTAACATCTATAAAATGCATCCCGGACCAGATACATACTGTATTGAAAGCTTTCTTCAGGAAGAGAATATGAGAGTGTTCTTTCCAGCTTATTTTCTTCCTTAGCAAAAGGATTGTTTGATTCTCAGAAGCAGAAGGACACATTCATTGTGGAGCAGCTCTGCTTAAGTGTATGAAATGCCTTCTGTCTGGTTGCAGAATTTGGAGTTTACTAAACAGTGTTTAGTGATTGGGCTCATCTTGCATCACCAGTTGATGACATTTTTCTTTGTTCCCTCCTACCCAGTTGAACCAAGACTCTGAGGCTGATATGCAATGTCACTTACAACATTAATCAGATACTGCATTTAAGGTGAGCTGTCCCTTGCCTCCTCCTTCCCCAGTGCTCGTGTGCTGCATGCAGTGCGTATCTTGCTTCTGCGAGCCTAAGATGGCAGGCAGGATTAGCCGTGCTTGTGCTGTGTGTGCATGCTGTGTCTAGAATTCATTACACGTTGCCTAGTATTTCAGATGTGAGTATGTAAATGCTCTGTATGCCATATCATCTGGTAGCGAAGACTTGTTTTTGCCTCATTACAGCCTTAGATATTTCAACATCACCTTTCATTTCCAATTCATTTGCTTCTGGATGTTTGTTTTTCATCACATTCAAAATATGATTTTACCTTTTTTTTTTTAACAAAACCAAAACCCCCCACAAACCCTAAAAACAAAAACAACAACAACAAAACTCTGCTACCAGATGGTGTCTCTCCTTTCTTCGTGCATTTGCTGTCTTTTAAATAATGTATGTTGTATTGTTAATTAATGTGAATATCAAATTAAACACTTGAAACTTACATGTTTATTATGCAGGTAGGAGGCAAGGTGGATTCTATTTTTAACTCTTATGCACTCCATCATGTGCAAGCAACTTGGGTTCTCAAATTTGTATTTTCAATGCTGGTATCAGTGGTTTGATTTTCAGCAAATGTGACAGTGGCCTTTGCAGTGGTCAGCTCCGAGCTTTGAACTCTCAGAGGAGGAAGGGGAAAAAAATTCAACACACCACCTCCTTGGTTGCAGTCTCAGAAAAACCTTGGATGAGAAACTTCTTTTTTCAATCCTGTTTTCCTGTTGATAAATTCAGTTCTGTGATCACAGTTCATTCAAGCTGTTCTGCGTATGATTTTTGTGTGTATGTGACAATTGCATCTAAAACTTGTGAGCAAGAAGACAGAGAAATCAGTTGGTCTCCATCGCTTTACATAAAAATGGCTGAGTGTCTTGTCATGCTAGCACTGCATTAAGTGATGCATACAGGTAGGTTGAAATTTGCATGTTTTTATAGTTTTTTTTGAGCCATGCAGCAAGAACATTAGATGCATTAGAATATGACTTTTAAAAAAACAAAAATTAAATAAGACAGCTGTAATCTTTTGGGGGAGGGTTTTTAATTGGACAGCCTCTGCTATTCAGATAGTATATAAATGTATAGCTTTTACAAACTTAGTAAATGATTCTGCCATAAAAGGGAGATTTTTTTTAAAAAAAAATCATATATATGATAGGTGTGGTGCCATTAGACAACAAAAGAATTTTTTGAAAAGAGTGATGATTCAGCTCCATTTCAGCTTGAAACTAAAAATAAATGGGTTTCTGGAGATGATTTCAAAGAGCGTAAACAAGCTTAATAAGAAACATTAAAAATATTTAAATTTTAAGAAGCGGTCTTTAAACGTGTTTATGAAAGATGAAAATAAAAACTGATATGCTTCCAAAATTAATTTTAGGTAATATACAAGAATACATTATATTATGTATATAATTTGGGGGGATGAGGAGTTACAATTTTTAAAGAGGGAAATATTAAATATAGATGGCCCTCTTAAAAGAAATAGAGCTTCACTAAATGAAACCGAGCCCCTAGAATGGTTCATTGCAGACCATATAGCTGTGGTTCTGGCACTTTTCAAAATAATTTCATGAGCTCTTTCTTTTGAACTTAACTTCTCAAATATATTTTAGTTTCAAATTTAACACTGGGCCAGAACCTGTTTCCTTGGTAACCAAATCGTATTTAAACATGTAATAACAGATATGCAAAAGAATGTCTTTAAAAAGGAAACAAATGTTTAATGAAAAATTTACAGTTCTTTTTCCTCTCATATAGAATCTGAACTGGTTTTAGATGGTTTTTAATGCGGTCTTCAAGCCTTAAAAATTAAGCCATGTTTCTAAACATATAGAGAAAGCTTGCACAGTGACAGCTTTTCTCTCCCTCCTTTGTGCTCAGTACTTTCAAAATTAAGGTTTTCTTTGCAGTATGCTCCAGAATGCAGGTCAAGGTTTGTGTACAGAGGTGTAGTTTCATTATCACAAGTTCACCAGCGCCACTGAAACAAAAGGTATTTCAGAAATTCTGAGAATCAGAAAATGCTTGTACTCTTGCCTTCCCTGATCCCTCCGTTGGTAACCTCAGTGCTGTCGGTAGAAAAGGACCCACATCCAAGCCTACCCCTCCAATGACAAGTGCACCCTGAACCTTTGTGGAAATATCTCTATAGGTGTGTTAGGAAGATGGTGCTAAACCTGAAACCTCCCCGAGGTTTGCTTCAATGTGAAGAACATTGAGATTCAAAACCATCTGTGTAAATGGCTGCTTTATTCTAGCAGTTTAACTAATATTCTATTCCATAGCACTATCGTAGAATTGAACCTCTCTAATGGGCTGAAGGGTGGTGGTGGTTGTTGTCATGTTGTTTTGTGGCCAACTAAAATATTTTGCTTGGAGTCTTTCTCTGGTTCAATTATTTTGGAACGTGATTCATCTCATACTGATTTTGTTCTCCAGGCTTGCCATGAAATACCCTTCCTGCAACACCTTTTTTTTTTTTTTTTTTGGCTGTTGGGAGCCATTTTCCTTCTTGCCTGTGACTTTAAATGACTAAGTACATTTTGAATATAGTATCAATCAGAAGATTGTAAACTGAAGGGAAATATCAGAAACCTGATTCAATATTGCCTATTTTTTTTAGTACCAACAGCATTAACAGTTGCAATAGGATCAAGCTAATTGTCATTCGCTCTTGAGCAAATAATGAGCCAGGCATTTATAATTAAAACACTACTGCTAGTCAGAAAGCTTATAACTACAATGTCTTCTATTTTGATAGGCCAGTACAAAGTAATCATTTTGCACCTATTTGAATCTTAATTACAAGATTAGATGGATGCAATGCAATTGTTTTACCATTAAAATGAATGCCTGATAGATTCAACAGTGTATTTCTTCTTTATAGAATGTCGATTCTTTTGTTTGTGACTCAAGCATGGTTGCGTCATCTTGTAGATTTTCATACTTAATGGCGTTTTTTTGTGGCATTATTCACTTATGTTGCTCTTAGTCTTGCCTAAAAGAATTTTAAACCCAATTCAAGGATCTAGAAAGCCAAATAAGATTGTTGGGAAGTGTATCGTACCATCGTCATTCTAATAAATAAACCAGTGAATAGAATAATAATTACTATATATTACTTCGTTGTGTTTCACCTTAATACTTTGCCTTCATATTTCACAGCAATCTTGACAAGGCACAAAGCTTTCCTAAACTTACCCATTTACAATTATTATTGAATTTCCAAGATTAGCTGAAAATGCTTCTTGATGATTGTAGAGGATGGCACTTACCCCATCTCATTGTTTGAAAAGCTATCCTGAACCCATTTACACTTTTTGGCTCCGGTATTTTTACTGGGCAGGCCAGAGCAGGTGTGACAGCAAGACTGTGCAAACAATTGCACTGTTCTCACCAAAACAAAATGGGCAAATATGTGGTTTTCTGTTGGAATGATTTATAATATAAAATACTATAATATTTATAATACTATAATACCAAGATTGCATCTCTTGCCATAATACTAGAGTGGTATTGATCTACCCCATCCATTTCCATGGATCCCCCGGAGATGGACTGGGAATCAGACTATGACTTAGAGCCTCTTCACTGTTATGTGAGAAGAATCTAGAAAGAGATCTAGCACTTTCTCTTTAGTACTAGGTCATGCTAAGTCTTTAAGTTCCTGGTACCATGTGGTTCATTCTAACAGCTCCTTTCCAAGGGAAATCCTGTTCTTAACAGCTCTCTTGGTAAATAAACAGTCAACACATTTATTGAGCATCTGCTACATGCCAGGCATATTCCAGAGGACGGGAGGGTGCTTGCAGGGAGGGGAATAAGCAAAAATATAGATGTAAATAAAGAAGGCAAGTGCACAGAGGAAAATTAAAAATTTTAAAATGAAAGTGGGCCAGGCACAGTGGCTCATGCCTGTAACCCCAACACTTTGGGAAGCCAAGACGGGAGGATTGCTTGAGACCAGGAGTTTGAGACCAGCCTGGGCAACATAGCAAGACCCCATCTCCACAAAAAATTTTAAAAATTAACTGGACACGGTGGCTGGTGTGCACCTGTAGTCCTAGCTATGCCGGAGGCTGAGGTAGGAGTATTACTTGAGCCCAGGAGTTCGAGGTTGCAGTGAGCTAGAATCATACTACTGCACTCCAGCCTGGGCAAAAAAGCAAGACTCTTTCTCTAAAAAAAAATTAAAATTAAAAAAAATAAAATAAGTGAGGGTTATGTGGTTCTAGGGAGGAGAGCCACTTTAAAATGGTTGATCAGAATGTTCTGAGGATGTAGCATTTAAGTGAAGATCGTGTGCTGAGAAGGATCTAGTCAGGTGAAGATCTGACGTGGGGCATTACCAGGAGAGGAGTGCTCATGCTCAGCCTTCAAACTTTCCTTTCTTTGTGTAAATGTTGCTATCTCAGAGCCAGGTCTGACAGTTTCAAGGACTGAGGCTTAACTTAGGTAAGCTTCCCCTACAGTAAGAGGATGGCCCAGGTCCCTGTGACTGGTTTTAGCCAGTCAAACTCCCAGAGTCTGGTACTCATGGGGTCATTGCCTTTGACCCCGTCACGACCCTGAAACTGCTTCAGAAGGTAGAGTACATTGCAGTGCTAGGTGGTGATGAAATTCTGGCACAGATTCAGTGTCAACCCAAGAAATGCACAGAAGAAAGACCTCTCAGAGTAGAGAAATTTCTGAGAAGCCTCTTGCTTTATTTTTCATAAGAATTCTGGAATTTAAACCAATGGCAAAACATTGAGATAGTCATTGAATTTTTTTCAAAGGCAAAATGGTGGAAGGGTTTGTCTCATCTCATCTCATCTGGCCAGTAGATTGTCTTAGTCCTAAAATGCCTCCCATCAGAGTGAAGTTTTTTTCAGGTTTTGCTAAAACGCTTCAGCTCTGCACACATCTTTGCCTGTTGGTGGCTTTCTAAAGAACTAGTGAGGTTTTTTTTCCTCTATTAGAGCAAGTCATTCTTTAAAAAATTCTTCTTAAGAACCAGAACTCTTTCATGCTTTTCAGGTTATTCTGTTGACAAAGGTCAGGGAACAAAGGGAGAAGTTTGCTATGTGAGTTAGAAACTATAAGGCTCTTTTGAGCCTTCTAAACATTTCAGAAGCACCGTCTAAAATTGATTCATTACTTAGCTGACTTTGCTTATCACAGTAGAGGCGGCCTGGCTGGCATGTTATACTTCGTTGGGTTTTGAGAGGCCCTGAAACATTCCACAACATGAAGACAAGCTTGTTCGGTTCCTTTGTAGTAGAGTGGGGAAGGGGGCTGGTGGTAAAGGGGCTCTCTGCCCATTAGTGGGGAAGGGGACTGCAACAATTCAGTTTACTTCTTTGAGCATTTGTTGAGCATCTGCTATGTGCCAAACACTGCTATAAGCCAAGCAGAATGAAATATGACATAGTCCCCCTATGAAACTGCAGTCCAGGTTCCCACACAAGGGTAGAGCATTGTATGGACAAGTACAATTGTGTATCCTCCCTGTTCCAGGAAGAAATAAATGGCATGCTGTTCTCTTAATGGCCTTTTATACTGTTCGCTAGAGGCCATCCCTCAGTTTGGGGCATTTCAGCTGATGACAAGGACAGTTCTTCACTTGGACTTTGTGTCTTGACCTCACCACCTTCCCGAGATGTCTTGGCTCCTAATAAGCCACCGTATGTCTGGCTGCCCTTCTTCAAGCTGGTCCGCCTGCATTGCCAGGTGACCTCAATAACGGCTGCCACTTTTGCATTCATGAGCAGATGTTAAGTTGAGAAGCCCTCAAATGCAAAAATTTGAATTTGTGATGTAGGCAAGATGTTTTTGCTTTCTTACCTTCCCTGGTTGACAGTGGGGGGTCTCCATGCTGGCTGTTCTGCAGAAGGCTTTCCGGGCAGCAGGTAAATCAGAGACCAGTTGCAAAATCAATTGTCTTTGTTAGGTGATCCCAGCATGCCACTGCCTTAGCCTAAATGTCTCATTGACCAGAAAATTGCTCTTTTGATCTCATAACTCATTTTGCACTTTTTCCCCCTTAATGTTCTCCTTGCTTCTGCAGCAATTCCTGCTCAGGGTTCAAGACTGAACACTCCCTATGTTTGGCCTGTGGAGGGAGTTTGTTTTCTGGTGCTGTTTGGTTTGAAAATTGCCAGTGTAAATATTCTTTCTGTGCTCATGAAAAGCAGTGGAGGCTTTCATTATATGCTTTCTACAATAAAACAATCCTCTTCCTTACTCTGTGGTCATTGCTGCCAAATGGATATTTTGAAATTTCTTTTCCTCTTGCTTGCTAAAATCTCCCACCCTGTCTGAGGCCTTGCTCTAATTAAGGCCTGACAGTCCTGCCGACCTTCCCCAGCGCTGAGCATGACGTAGAGTCCCTGCCCTGAGGGCCTTACAAGCCAGTGAAGCCAGAAAACAAAAGCCACCAGCTGAGAGTGTGGTTAAATCCCAGAAGGGCAGTGCCCTTGTCATTTTTTTTTCCTTTTCTCTTGTTTCTTGAACTGAGGAAGGGAAGAGAGGAACCTGGAGCAGGGAAAGGAAGGAACTACACCATGGAAAGATTCTCTGAAGTACTCAGGGTACTGGGGAACAGTGCGGAAGAGAATGGGGTGGTCATCTGGGAAGCAAAATGGGGAGCTGGCTGTAGATAGAGAGGGCAGCATGGGGGCAGGGTGAGGATGCAGAAGATAAGAAAGAGGGAACAAAGGAAGCAGTCAGGAGGCAGCCAGGGGGACAAAAGGAGATGCCGCTCTGCTGCGCCATGGAGCTGGGGGAACAAGGTACCAGGGAGAAAGTGGGAAGGGGTTGCAACTAGAAAAAGAAGGCTCAGGAGAGACCTTAAATGCAGGTTGCAGGCCTACGGCATACAGACTGGGTGCTATGATGTACTCTCTGGCTTCGCTCATAATGTTGGCCTTGCTACTTAATGGCCCCACGTTGGCGATTGTGAAGCGCCTACAGATTGATGTCCTTAAAGGTGATTTATTTACTACAGAGTCATAAGAACTTTCCATTTCTTTTTTTTTTCTTTCTTTCTTTTCTTTCTTTTTTTTTTTTGAAACGGAGTCTTGTTCTGTTGCCAGGCTGGAGTGCAGTGACGCAATCTCAGGTCACTGCAACCTCCGCCTCTTGGGTTCAAGTGATTCTTCTGCCTCAGCCTCCTGAGTAGCTGGGACTACAGGCATGCACCACCATGCCCATCTAATTTTTGTATTTATTTTTTTTAGTACAGACGGGGTTTCACCATGTTGGCCAGGATGGTCTCAATCTGTTGACCTCGCGATCCGCCCGCCTCAGCCTCCCAAAGTGCTGGGATTACAGGCGTGAGCCACCGCGCCCAGCCTGAACTTTCCATTTCTCTCCCAAGTCTCCTATTCTACATGCTGAGGATGCCAGAGGGTCCCCTTACCACCACTCCTCACCACCCCCTACCACCCTCCTCCCCATCACTGTACTAGATCTGAATTAAACATTAAATGAAATAAGCAGACTTTTTATTCATGCTATGTGATCAAGTGCTTTTGGTCATCTACAAAGCACAGACTGAAGACCTACCCAAAATACTTGCTGTACACTGCAGATTTTAGAAATTATTTTCCCCAAAGTCAGGTTGCCCACTGCAGGCATGCTAGTTTGCTCTGGGAGCCCCCAGAGCCTTCCTCTTCCTTCCTTCACCAGCCTATCCAGCCCCTAGTCTGAGTGCCTGTGGAGCCATCCTCAAAGGATATTCTGATTGTTTGAATCGCTTGGTCTCCAGGAGAACCACACCTGGCTGGCATACCAGCATTTAGCACTGCATCATCCCTGTACTTCCTGCTAAGCTCTTATGGGAATCTGAACTACACGTTTCTGTTGCCTTATTGATTTTAGACTCTATACTCTATCTTTGAGGGAATCATGGCCCAGAGAAGATGGGACTTCTTAAGGTCTCTCGGAGAGTTAAGTGGTGGAATGAAACCAGGCATGACTCCTAGACCAGTGCTCTTTTGACTAAAGCTGCCTTGAGGTCACAGGGAAAGCCCAAATTCTAAACCAGAGGCTGACAAACTTTTTCTGTAAAGAATCAGACAGCAAATACTTTAGGCTTTATGGCATGAAAAAACAAATTTTCAACAAATTGAGTTTAAAGATCTACTTGGTTTTTATTAGCAATTCGTGAATCAGGCAGCACGCTATCTATAACAAATAGGAAGGTATTCTGTTGGGCATGGCAGAACAATTGGTTTTTATAAGGTAGCTTAGGCAGGAACAAGGAAATAACATAATACAAAAAGCAGATTGGTTAACATCAGGTTACTGCAGGTAATTTTCCTTATAAAGGTTAAAGCAGAGGGGACTGCTTTATCATTCTGGCTAAAATTGGCCTATTATCTCTCTCCTAATTTCTCAAGTCGGATAAACAACTTCATTTCAGTTTGGTGATGTGGAACTTTAGCGTGAGTGACTCCATTTTGGTTTGGTCTCTTGGGGCTTAGTGCAGGAGCCAGTCTAAATCAATGGCCTTCTATACATTTAGTTTAACAGTGGGTCAAGACAAAACTGAAGATACTTCGTAGGTATTTATATAACAAGTGACAAAGCAAATTTTCATAAATTTTGTATTATGAAATTCAAAATACAATAATATATAATATTAAGTATAGTAATAATGATATACTATCATTCACAGATACAGAAATGAATGAATGTGACTGTGTCTCAAAACTTCACTTATAAACTCTAAAATCTGCATTTCATATAATTTTCACATCATGAAATACTGGCATACCTCAGATGTCACAGGTTCGGTTCCAGGCTACTTCAATAAAGCGAATGTTGCAATAAAGCAAGGTGCACAAACTTTTTAGTTTCCCGGTGCATATAAAAGTTGTGTTTGCATTATACTGTAGTCTATTAAGTGTGTAGTACCATTATGCCTTAAAAATGTATATACCTTAGTTTAAAAATAATTTGTTGCTAAAATATGCTACTGATGTCTGAGCCTTCAGCAAGTCATAATCTGTCTGCAGATGGAGGGTCTTGCCTGGATGTTGAAGGCTGCTGACTAATCAGTGTTGTGTTGCTGAAGGTTGGGGTGGCGATTTCTTAAAATAAAACAACAGTGAAGTTTACTGCATTTATTGACTTTCACAAAAGATTTCTCTTTAGTTTGTGGCACTGTTTGATAGCATTTTACCCACAGTAGAAATTTCTTTCAAAAGTAGAGTCAGTCTTCTGAAACTTTGTCCTTGCTTCATCAACTAAATTTATGTAATATCATATATCCTTTGTT
The DNA here is from genome assembly GCF_000001405.40 of Homo sapiens. NCBI lineage: Eukaryota > Metazoa > Chordata > Mammalia > Primates > Hominidae > Homo > Homo sapiens. The sequence continues at coordinate 141,396,245 of NC_000003.12, forward strand.
GTCATTTCAACAAGGTTCACAGTGTCTTCACCTGGAATAGATTCCACCTCAAGAAACCAGTTTCTTTGCTCATCCATAAGAAGCAACTCCTCATCTGATCAAGTTTTATAATAAGATTGCAGAAATTCAGTCTCATCTTTAGGCTCCACTTCTAGTTCTTATGCTATTTCCACCACATCTGCAGTTACTTCCTCCACTGAAGTCTTGAATCTCTCAAAGTCATCCATGAGGGTTGGAACCAACATCTTCCAAACTCCTGGTAATGTTGATATTTTGACCTCCTTCCATTAATCATGAATGTTCTTAATGGCATCTAGAATGGTGAATCCTTTCCCAAAGGTTTTCAATTTGCTTTGCCCAGATCCATCAGAGCAATCACTGTCTATGGCAGTTATAGCCTTATGAAATATATTTTTAATAAGACTTGAAAGTCAAAATTATTCTTTGATCAGGACTACAGAATGGATGTTGTGTTAGCAGGCATGAAAACAACATTTATCTCCTTGTACATGTCCATCACAGTTCTTGGGTGACCAGGTATATTGTCAATGAGCAGTAATATTTTGAAAGAAATCTTTTCTCTGAGCAGTAGGTCTCAACAGTGGGCTTAAAATATTCACTAAACTAGATCTGCTGTCATCTAGTCATTGTTGTTCCATTAATAGAGTACAGGCAGAGTAGATTCAGCATAATTCTTAAAGGTCCTAGGATTTTCATAATGGTCAATGGGCACTGGCTTCAACTTAAAGTCACCAGCTTCATAAGCCCCTAATTGAAGTTTTGAAGCCAGGCATTGATTTCTCCTCTCTATTTATGAAAGTCCTAGGTGACATCTCCTTCCAATAGAAGGCTGTTTTGTCTACATAGGAAATCTGTTGTTTAATGTAGCCACCTTCATCAATTGTCTTAGCTAGATCTTCTGGATAACTTGCTGTAGCATCCACATCAGCACTTACTTCACTTTGCACTTTTATGTTATGGAGACAGCTTCTTTTTCACACTTCATGAACCAACCTCTGCTTGCTCCACATTTTTCTTCTGCAGCTTCCTTACCTCTCCTAGTCTTCCTAGAATTGAGGAGAGTTAGGGCCTCACTCTGGATTAGGCTTCGGCTAAAGGGAATGTTGTGGCTCGTTTGATCCTGTATCCTGACCACTCATTCTTTCTCCAGATCAGCAATAAGGCTTTCTTATCATTTCCGTGTTCATTGGAGTATCCCTTTTAATTTCCTTCAGGAGCTTTTCCTTACAACTTGGCTAAATGCTTAGCACAAGAGGGCTAGCTTTTGGCCTGTCTTGACTTTCGACATACCTTCCTCATGAAGCTTAATCATTTCTAGCTTTTGATTTAAAGTGAGAAATGCTCAATTCTTCCTTTCACTTGAACACTTAGAGGCCATTGTAAGGTTAATTGGCCTAATTTCAGTATTTTTGTAGATGAGGAAATATGGAGGCCCAAGGAGAGGAAGAGAGGTAGGGAATGGCCAGTCAGTGGAACAGTCAGAACATAAACATTTATCAATAAAGTTCGCCATCTTATATGGGCGTGGTTCATGGCACCCCAAAGCAATTACAATAGTACCATCAAAGATCACTGATCACAGATCACTATAACACATATAATGATAATGGAAAAGTTTGAAATATTGTGAGAATTACTAAAATGTGACACTGAGACACAAAGTGAGCACATGCTATTAGGAAAATGGCACCAGTCAGACTTGCTTGACTCAGGGTTGCCAGAAACTTTCAACCTGTAAAAAAAGACGCAGTATCTACAAACCCGATAAAGTGGAGTGCAATAAAACGAGCTATGTTTATATTCTCCTTTTGATTTTTTCCCAATAATTAAAAAATGTATAAACTATTCTTAGCTTGTAGGCCACACAAAAACAGGTATCAGGCCAGATGTGGCCCGAGGGACCAAATGGGTTTTGCAGGCCCATTTTCTAATTGGAAACCTGTAAACTGGGGCCCTATTGGCCAGATTCAGTCCACCTGTGTGTTTGTTTCACTTCTAACAATGTTTTTAGTTGAATGAGTCGCCAATATTTTTGTTTCTTGGTTTTAAAATGATTATTACCTTTTTTTTTCAAATTATAAAAGTAGTATATCCCTATTATGAGGTAATTTGGAGTGTTGAACATTTTGGCCTTTTATCTACGCATGGTGCATTTTTTAATTGTTGAGATAGTATTTTATAGACAAACTATGTATCTTCTTGTCTACTTAACATCCTAGCAGAAGCATTTTATGTCATTTTAAATACTTTTATTAACATAACCTTTTAAAACTTTATGAAAATCTTAAACATATGTAGTAGAGGCTAGTTTAATGAACCCTCAGTTCTTTGACAATTATCAGCTGCTAGGCAATCTTGTTTCATGTAAATCTCCTTCTGTATTTTTTTTTGCACTGTTCTTGTAACACTTCTATAAGTTTGAAATATTTTGAAATAAAAGTTTTAGAAATGTAGATTACTTTTAAAATATATTTTTTAAATGTGGATTACTAAAAAAGAAAAATAACCACAGTACTAGACCACACCAACAAAGAACAATAATTCCTTAATAACATCAAAACATCATAGCATTCAAAAAATGAGAGGTCATCTTTTAAAAAACCAATTTATTTGTTCAAGGCTCAAATCCAAAGAAAGTCCATACAGTGCAATTGACACTATTAAATTTCATTTAATTTATAGGTTTCTCTCCTCTCTTTTTTTCCTTGCTATTGCTGTAAAATTTTGTTGAAGAAACTGTAGTTTCCTCCTATCTGAAATTTGGTGATTACCTCCCTTGGTGCTGTTCTGTGTGTTTCTCTATCTCAGAGATTTCCTGTAACTTGGGAGTTACATCTAGAGCCTTGATCAGATTTATATTCCTTTTTTTTTTTTTAAGTAGTCAACATTTCATAGATTTTATATAAAAATCCTGATTTAGACTCCCTTAGGAAGTGCTGCAGATCTGGCATTTCCACCTGGCAACAATTGGTCGGGGTTGGGTAGCCACCATCCCCATTCCCCACCTCCCAACCCCATTTAGGTGGGACTTGAATTCTCCTGCAGGCCAAAATTCATGCCACTTCCCATAAGCAGTTTCACACATTTATCTGCCTGGCTCCCACGGGCATGGGAAGTTGACACCTCTATTCTAAACATTGCCTCTTCAAGGGCTTTGGTAGATTTACTACCAAACACACACATCACACACAACAAGTAGCCTTTCAAGAATGTAGTAGAGATGAGAAAAAATGATTTGGAAAGAGACTTCCTTAAAGTGCTTGAAGGGAAAGAGATAAGCAGCCAAATTAGGGGAGGCCAAGTTATAGAATTTGGTGAGAACCCAGGTTGAGGGAAAGAGGAAAAAAAGTAAAACCACGAATTAAATTAACAGAGTGCTGCTAGTATGAGAGTTGGAATGAGTTAACAGATTCCTAACCAATAGTAGGAAACAAAGACAGCAAGCAGGTTTAAAAAAGATACTTTAGTCTTTTAATATATTATAATATTGAAACCTTAAAGAGAAGACGTTAGTAAGTGTTAAACTGGCCAAGAGTCCTAGTCAGAAGGTGCAAGCAGGCAGTTGTAGGATAACAGAAACCTGTGTGGAGATTAAATGAATGAGGTAGGAAAGCCTTCTAGAAAAGGCCCCTGGAAAAGGATAAGGAAGCATATTGTGGGAATAGTGAAGAACTGGTGGAAATTTAAGAATTTAAGAGAGGAGATAATCTTGAAAGTCTTGCTTTTTTTTTTTTTTTTTTTTTTGCAAATGTATTGAAATGAGAAGTATTATAAAGATAGAGGAAACACATCATGTTTAGTGGTCTTGAAAATGATAAACTTTTACAGAAAAGAAAATAATTATGACAACTTGGGCCCTTCCTGGAAATTTCCAGATAGTTCCCCATACTCAGAAGAATGATTAAGAGAGAGAATCTGTGACTGGTTATGAGGAAGGATGGAAAATTTTGAAGAACGGGTTGATTATGTAATTTTTAGACTGTGTTGTTTAAAACTGTTGCTGTGATATTTTAGTTATTAATAACAATTTGGGGAAATCTAGCCACTTCTGGAGAAACATTTGGCTCTAATAAGAAAGAAATGCCACTGTTTGTGAATTCCCAAGTGGATGTAAAGACCCATTCACTTGCTAAGCCTCTTAGGAAACCCAGAGCCGGTTTTACCCTTAACAAGCTGTTGACAGAGTCTGGTCAAGGTACCACCTGGAACATGTTAACAATACAAAAAAGTGGATATGGATTCAGACCTGTGTTTCAATCCCTTTATGTCACTCACCATGTGACCCTGGCAGATTACCCATGGAAAATTTCTAGGGTGTAAAGGTTGTTTTACACACAGTAGCTATGATTCTCACTGTTTGGATGGTAGGAACTTAGAACTCTGAATACTTAACTTCCAGTACTAACAGCAGCCACAACAGCCTGCAATCATAGCGTGCTTACATAATACCAGGTACTCTTGCAAATGCTTCATATGTATTATCTCATTTAGTTCTTAAAAAGCCCTACAAGGTAGGCACTAATATTAAAATTAGTCCCATTTTATAGATGAAGAAGGCACGGGAGTTGAGCTAACTTGCCTAAAGTGGCCTTGTAAGCAACAAAGCTGGGCTTTAAACCCAGGCAGGCTGAATCCAAAGCGGAATTGCCTTGCCCTACCACCTCCCACCTTCCAGTCACAGGGAAACACAGAGAGCAATACTGCATACTAGCACTTCCCAACCCTGGTTCCTAATCCATGTGCCTCAGTTTTCTTGGAGGTCTTTGAGTAATTTTCAGAGTTTCCAAAAGTTTCAGTGGAAACATACAAACATGCAATTATTAATAGATCACAAATTTTTTAGGTTGGAATCCACTATTAACAACAGGTTAGCTCAGGTTTTGAGAAAGCTCTGATTGGTAATTGCATATACAAAAACATTGCAGGTTTTTGTTTTTGTTTTTTTTAAGTGGGAAGATGAATCATTACTTAATAAATGCAGTTTAGTTGAGTAGATCTTTCTGAACACATGGCATATGGAGGAAGAATAAAGGGTGCTTGGCTTTGAGGAGGTTGGGAAATGCTAATATACATGTGTATGCATGTTGCCCAAACTGTCGGCCTTCAAAACTCTTCCTTTTATTTTTAAATAACATGATTATTTAATTTGACCTGGAGTCAATATATTTTTCCCTCATTATTTAAAATGTTTTGTTGGCTTTATATTTAATATTGGAATCTATTCATCAAGTGATCACATTCTTAAAACATGGTCAGGAACTGGGATGCAGAATTGCAAGTACTGTAGATTCCTGGCTGAAAACGTAAAGAATTGACTTTTTAATCCTTTTAAGCTGTGGCCTTGAATTTTTTTTTTTTTTAAGAAAATTTAAGAATAAGACTCTACTGTCAAAACACAGGGAACATGGACGATTTAAAAAAAAAAACACCTGTCCATTATTCGTGCATTAGCTCCACATGGCCAGCTTGTGGCAGGCCCTCTCTGAATACTTTTTCAATGAGCAGCCCCTGGATCTTGGAAGAAAGATGCCAGCGGCCAGGGCCCTTCATTTAAAGAAGAGGACTGGGTCTTTTGCGTGAAATAGTTTCTGTGCCACGTTGGGAAAAATCTATCTAGGCCTCTCTTGACGGCCATGGAAAAAACACAGGTGACTCCTTATTCCTGAGAATTTGATGCAATTGAAACAGCGACTTTCTGCGAATCCAGTGTGCATAGTCTCGAACAGGAGCCCACGGACCCTTCTGCGGCCCGAGGCCTTGTTCTGACAGTCACCAGGCTCTGTGGCCCAGAGTCCTAACTGCGTTGTCCTTCGGCAGGTTCTGAATTGTGTCCTCCCTGAGGAGGCTGAGGCCGCTGCCTCCTTGGTGGGGGGCCCCGGCTGGCCACTGGGTCGGGCATGGGGCCTTACGGGGCCCTCACGGGTCCCGCCGCCGCCCTCCTGAGGCCTGGTCCTTGGCGCCGCAGTTACCCCAGCCCCGGGCCCGCGGGGCTGCGGGTCGGGCCGACCTCCTCCCGGACGGGCTGCGTCCTCTGCCCCGCGCCGGGGGCGGGCCGGGCCGGCAGAGCCGAGCCGCCGGCGTCCATTTTCTGGGCGGTGCTGTGCAGCGCTGCGGCCGGACTCACGGGTCCGGAAGCACCATGGACCCCCGGGGAAACGCGCCGGCGGCGAAGGAGCCGAGCCCCGTAAGTGCCCCTCGCAGGGTCTTCGCGGGGCCGGGGGCGGGGCGGGGCGAGGCGCGGCCTGCGGGCGCGGCGCCCGTGGCGCCGCCAGCCCGATCGCTCCTCGCTTCTGGAGGGAGCCGGGAAGCCGGGCTGGGGAAACCCTCGCAAGGGTTGAGCTCTGCAAACGCAGCAGAACCGAGCTGCCCGCGGGGAGGAAGCGCCCGCAGGTGCCCGGACTCCGGGGCCCGCGCCCGGAGCGGGGCGGGGCGGGGTGGGTTCGGCTGGAGAGTGCGGGCAGGTTGCGCCGCATCCCGTGGCCCAACTGCGCGGCTGTGCTAGAGGGCGGGGGCCGAGGAGGAATGCGCTCCCGGGGCTGGGGACGTGGTGGGCTCGAGTCCAGCGGGCTCGGGCACTGCTTTGACAGTCACACCTCCCGTCTCCTGGATTGGGAATCGGACCCTAGTCCTGACCCTATGGGAACTTGATGATTTCCTTGATGCAACACCAAGCCCCTGGAATTGAAAGGGACGTGCAAAGGCAGGGACCTGCCCCCAGGGGTTTGCAGTCTCAGCCGCCTACTTCTGCAGTAGTAAGGTCTGCTCTGTTGGTACAACATACAACACAACCGCCCGCCGTTAGCCACTTTTTTTATAGGGTACATCATAAATCACCTGAGATTTTAGTCTGTCCGCGGTTCCACTTTATAACTCCTGCACTGCGGTAGGTAAGTGCCTAATTCCATTCTGGACGTTGGCCCTAATTGAGTATCCCTTCTAAGGATCGATTATAGGTGATATGTGTTATGGTGCCTTATACATATTTTAAAGGTTAAAGACTTTTCTTCTGTGAAGCTCAACTACTTGGTCAGATTCTCATGGTTACAAAATGTGGAAGAGTTTTGTCCTGGTTTCAGAGAAGCAGCTAGTGAGTCGCTATATCTAAGTGTAGCGTTTTTCAAGAGTGGGGGACCCATTCTAAGATTGTGGGATCAGTTTAGCGGGTTGCTACTGGAAATCTTCTTAAAGATATAGAATATATAGTACAATACAGAGAAGAATAGAAAAAATAACGTGCATTGCACATAGTAAGGGTAAGCATTGTTTTATGAGACTTTTGGTTTTCGGTTTATATAATGTAAATTTTTAAAACCGTGGGTCACTGTCTGAAATGTTTTTAAAACCCTGACTTACTGGTTAATAGCCCAGGCCTTGGAATCAATTGAATCTGGATTTGAGTCCTAATTGTCACATACACCAGCTGTGTGACCTTGAACAGGTTCCGTGGTCCATTAGAGTCTCCGTTTCTATAGCTGTAAAATGGGGGAATGTTCCCTACATCTGAAGGTTGTTATGAAGACAACACGAAACCACATATGTCAACCACTTTGTGGGTGTTTGACTTATGTGTTCAATATGTGCTAATTGCAGTTATTATTGTTGCTAAAAGATGAAATCCTAGCAGCTAGTCATGGGACACTGCACTTTTTTTTTCTTTTTAGATCTTGATGTGGAAGAAATGGAGGACTCAGAACCAAGGATTTCCAAGTGATTTCTTCCAAAGCACAGGAATCTCACTCTGTTAAAGCTGGTCTGTTCTAACTGAGGTAACTAAAGTCGCGTCTCTCCTTAGTCTACATGAGATAGGAAATGGTCTTTCTGAGGGACTCCCAAAGGGTATATGATTCAAGACAGCAATCCACCAAGTTTTGGGGTTACAAAGTGACCATGACACTCAAGTGATATGTTACTGGGAGACCGGATGTGTGAAGCCCCCGTGATGAAGGGGAACTAGGAGATCAAGGCTTTAGGACAGCTGGTTTCTTGTTCCAGTTCTGTCAGCAATTGTCGTGGGGTCTTTTACATGTCTCTTCACAGATCTCTAGTTTCCCTAGGCTGGAAGGATGCACTGACATTGCTGAGGCCCGGAGAGTTTAAATGACTCTTCAGGGTTACCCAGTGGGTTGGGGTCAAGGCAGGACTGGACCTTGAATCTTCGTTGCTCAGTCACATAGCCAGCTTCAGGGCCTCTGTGAGGTGAGCGCTCTGCTAGGCACCGAGTATACAAATGTGAAGAGACCATCCCCGGGACACTTGCAGCTGTCGCAGACAAATATTGACGGCCCAGCACACTAAGCTCTACCTTGGAGCCATATACAAGGTCCCAGATGGTGACAATAACAACTACCATTTGTCGAGCATTTGTGTGCATGTGTACGCTAGGCAGTGTGTGAAGGGCTTTAAGCACAGTATTTTTTATTTACCCCTCACGATAGCCCTATGAGGTGAGGAAGAATAGGCGTAAAGGATTGAAATGTGAAAATAGAGACAGGTCATGGAGAGCTTTGCATCTCATACTGCATGTATGAAGACCCTTCTGTGGGCACAGCTCTGTGCCAGGACTGCAAAGTGCCCGTCCTGGAGGAGCTTGCAGCCTGATTCCAGAGAGGCACAGTAGGATGGACGGTGCTTGCCATTCACCCCCACCTTCTTCCCCTGCTTCTCCAGCAGTTGCAGAGTGGGGTCCATCGCAGGGACAGACCAGAGTCATAGACACACCAAAATTCCTACTTCTAAATTCAATTTTTCTTTTTTCTCCACTTAAATCTATACTTCCACCTATCTATTAAAACTTATGCCCTCAATTTATAAATGATAGTAAGGCCTTCTCTGAATTCATTCATTTATTTTTCATCAACAAATGTTTATTGAGCTTCTACAAGGCACTTGGGTACTCAAGACCAGACAGATTTGTTTTTACAATCATATTAGTCATTTCCAGTCTCTTAGCAAAGAATTTGTTGTTCAACTGTTAGCAATTTTCTATTGTTAATATGCTAGAATGTCAGCTCCACGGATGTTGGAGATTGACCCATACGTAGAATTCCAAATGGATATATAGGAAAGCCATTTAAAATGTCTTAATATCTTCAGAAAGGAATTTCACACTTCTCTTTAAAATTTTGATTTTGTCATTCTCGTTACCTGCTTATAGAGGCCTTTTCATTTGTACATTTAACTCATAATCCAAGAAAAAGCAGTTTGGCAAGGGGGCTTTGTTTGGTTTGAAATGTTCTCTTTTTTTAGCTTTGTAGGCCACAGAAGACTGTGGGTATTCAAAAGTAAAGTAATTTAAGAAATATGTTTGTTTAATTTATAAGGTAGAAAATTAGAGATAGCTCTAAGAATTGCAGTAAGCCACAGAAATCAAATCGCAAGACTTGAATACTACCTGTAATAACTTAATCCCCAAATAAAACGAATGAGATGTTGAATGTGAACATGCTTTGTAAACTTGAAGGTGTTCTGTGAATGCTGTACAGCATACTAGAAGTATGACTGTGCTAGAGAGAATGGAGAATTCAGCTGCCACAAAAATCTGGTCTCTTCGCTCTCAGACTCTGTTGAGGAAAGAAGATATGCAGAAATAACCACGTGATAAATGCAAAAAGAAGATATTTTGGTAATTTGAGGAGGAAGGGGTCCCTTTTATCCCTGGCAGTCAAGAGACTCTTGAGAAAAAGCATCTAAGCAAGTCCTTGAATGATGTGGCATTTCAATAAAAGAGATGGAGAGGAGGCATTTGAGATAGGAGGACTAGTAGGAGATGGAGAAACTTGGAGCATATTCAGGGAAAAGCATCAAGTCCAACTGAGTTAGAACTGGTCTATATACAGGCATCAAAACTGGAGAACATTCAGTGCCAAATGATACAGTCTTGAATGCCAACTAGGAATTGTGAATGCATTAACCAATAGGTGTCATTAAAGGTACTTGAACAGGGGAGTGTTGTGGCTGTGCTTCAGGACCAGGCTCTTGTGAGTAGCTTGGGGGGAGATCGGGAGGAGAGGCAGGGCAGAAACTAGAGGCCAGAAAGCCAGTTAAGCTACTACAACCCACCAAGGAAAAAGAGGGGCAGAAAAGGCCTGAAATGGATGATAACAATGAAATGGGAAAGGAATAGATGCAAAGGGAAGAACTGACAGAATCTGATGTCTCAGTGAAGGAACAGCTAAAGCTGACACTGCGATTTCCAGAGCAGTGGTACCCATGGAGGAAACTCAGAAGGAGGTAAGGAGCTACATTTTAGAGGTGCTGTGTTTGCAGTGTTGAAGCATGCTGTCTCCCAGGCAGAAGGGGGCTTTGCGCTCCACAAGAAGGCCAGGGCTCATTTGGGAGTCTTTGGTTTATAAGAAAAAGTCAAGAGATGGGAAAAGAGATTTTTGAGAGAGAATATAGGGGAAAAATGGTTGAGGATGGAGCCTTTTGAGAAAAGAAAGGAAGATCTAGGGAAGCAGATAGAAGTCTGGCAAGATAGTAAGGAAGAACCATGGAGGAATGCAACTCCAGAAGCCAGCGGAAGGGGGTTCCTAATGGAGGGAGCCAGGCATGTCAGACCGTGGAAGGTGAGGGATGAGCTTAGGAAGACTGGTGGATTCACAAGTGCAAAGTTACATTGTTGGTGTTTTCCTTTTTAAGGTAATATGACGTGTATGATGAATATTAAGTGGTTTAATTTACACAAATTAAACCACTCAAATTTACACAAATCAAGAATCACTCTTAAATTTGTCCCCGGCAAGTCCCAAAACACATTTCTGATTATGAAAATTCAGGCTGTTAAATGTGGTTTTGATAGTAGTCATACACTGTATTCTGTTGTCAGCATACAAATTAAAGAATATCCCTTAATAGAATTGAGTCCTTTAAAAAATACATTTCTGTTGACTCAAAAAGTTTCTAACAGTAATGTAATTCCATTGCCTTTTACCATATGGCTATTGTATGACATGTGCGTGTCTGCGCATTTTCACGTGCATATGAGCTTAGTACAATGGAATGAGGAGACCGGGGTCAGATAAATCTAGTTTCACAACCTAGCTGGGCCACTTTCCAGACTTGTGACTTTAGAAGAGTTTCTCTCTAAGCCTGACTTTTTCCATGCATAACTCATATAGGATTATTTGGAAGACTAATTAATACATAATTTGGTCAGGATTTCTATATACCATAGTAGGTAATTAATTAATATTGGTTCCCTTCCCCTCACAACCTTGTATAGATATGTAAATTTATATATTGTGCATCTACACGTAAAGCCTTATCTTTAAGACTCATTTTAATTTTTAATTTTATCACAGAAAGCACACATCTCCTATTACCACTGATTTATTCTGGGTTAGTCCCAGTGATCATCAATTTAGTATGGACAAGAATCCACCTGGGGAACTTGTCAAAATGTAGATTCCCAGGTGGGGCAAGGGAATCTGCATTTTAAACAGCACTGTCATGGCTGGTGACGAAGATTAACAATTGCCAATTTCTGCGAAGCAGAGGAAGAGATAAACCTGAGATTTGAGATGCTAGTTTCAACTCCTGTTTCTACTAGAGATATGTCTATACTCAAAATTTTTATATCATTAATGTTAATGGATTATATGCATAATCAGACAAAAACAAATACGTTCCAGAGAGTCAGGGAATGGTGGTATTATTGCACCCTCCCACCCCGCATCATCTCATTGCTCTCTGCTGTGTGATCACAGTACTGGGTAACAAGCTGCCTGCAAACCAGTTTCTTTTTCTGGGGAATAAGTGATGACACCCTGTCCCCATGGCCAGAGTTTGCAAAACCATTGTAACTTGTTTGTTAGCAATATGTGACAACACTACAGTCATGCCATTAAAGTATTCTACATGACTCTGTCTTCTGGTGGATAAACATCTCTGTCATTGTATTATTTCCCTCAATCTCTGCATCTTAAAGTCACTTAATTTTTAGGCTAAAGTTCATATTCTTCATCTATCCCAACTCCATTTTATAGATGAAAAAATCATTTGGCTGGGCACAGTGGCTCATGCCTGTAATCCCAGCACTGTGGGAGGCCAAGGCTGATGGATGACCTGAGGTCAGGAGTTCGGGACCAGCCTGGCCAACGTGGCAAAACCCCATCTCTACTGAAAATACAAAAATTAGCCAGGCATGGTGGCGCACACCTGTAGCCCCAGCTACTTGTGAGGCTGAGGCAGGAGAATCACTTGAACCTGGGAGGTAGAAGTTGCAGTGAGCTGAGATCGCACCACTGCACTCCAGCCTGGGTGATAGAGCAACACTCCATCTCAAAAAAGAAAAAAAAAAAGAATGTATCATTTTTTTCTTCCTAATTCTAGCTTCCCTCTTTGTTTATTCACAACAAAGGATTGAGATATATAGACATGTTTGGTGTTTAACTTAGATATGGAAAGTATAAAACATTTGACATGTATATGGAATTGCTCTTTATGTTCTCTATACATAGTTTAGAAATCAGATGACTTATTGGGAATATATTTATGAAAACTATATTGAGTCATTTTAAAACGATGTCAGCATCCTCTTGCTGGTTTGCCTCTTTGGAGGAGGATGCTGATGGCCTGGAGCCTTTCCTAGAAACAGAGTTTCTCTCTCTATACCCACAGCTCCCAAGGAAAGAGGATGGAACTGACATTCATGGAGTTAGGTCTGTACCTTATATGCATTATCTCAGCCATCTTTTAGAACCTCAGACAACATGGTGTGGCAAGTGAAGCAAAAAGAAACTCAACTACAGCCAAGATTGTAGAGATGGGAGTTTATTTTTTTTTAATTATTATTTTTTAAGACGGAGTTTTGCTCTTGTTGCCCAGGCTGGAGTGCAGTGGCGCTATCTCAGCTCACTGCAACCTTTGCCTCCCGGGTTCAAGTGATTTTCCTGTCTCAGCCTCCCAAGTAGCTGGCATTACAGGCAACTGCCACCACGCCCAGCTAATTTTTGTATTTTTAGTAGAGATGGGGTTTCACCACGTTGGCCAGGCTGGTCTCAAACTCCTGACCTCAGGTGATCCACCGGCCTCAGCCTCCCAAAGTGCTGAGATTACAGACGTGAGCCACCGTGCCCATCCTGAGGTGAGATTTTTACACCCTGGGGTCTGTCTGACTCACAAGGCCAGCCTCTTCTCTCCACACTCTGGGCTGCCTCCCCAGCCACATAGTGAGAGTATGAAACAGGTATTTGTTCCTGATTTTAACTGAGAGGCTCAGAGATCCTCATCCTTAATATTATTGTAACCTCAGAATTTTTGACAAGAAGCAAATGGAGCAGAGATAATGTGCAAACTTGAATTTGTTCAGCAAATATTTACTTAGTATCAACTACGTGCCAGGTAGGAGATCAGGACCCCACCCTCATGGAGCCTCCCTATATCCCTAACCTATCCTTATCTACTGTCTGTGCTGCTGCTGCAAGCCTTTCTTTTAGAGTAAAACACCAATGGAGTTCCACACTGATCAGATCAATCAATTTGTGTCTTGCTATAGCTGTCACTGTCACTGTGCTGGGCTAAATGTTCCCAGAGCCTATACCAGTTGAAAGTTTAAAACTGCTCCTTGGGGGATTGCCCAGAGGGCTAAGTAAATGTTTGTTGATTACCCTCTGAGGCCCTGAGGAACTCTACAGGGGGCTAGGAAAATTGCCCAGAGCCCCTGCAGGGCTGGGTTGGGGTGAGAAGAAAGACATTCGTGAGAATCCAGAGGGGAGGCCTAGGAATTGTTCCCAGCATGACTTTGCTTGTTTGGTTTCCTCACCTATAACCAAAGAAGGTTTTGCTCAATGGTGGCTGTTTCCTTCCGGCTCTAAGGTGTAGTACTTTATTTTCTTTTGAGCAGAAAAGCAGAGGTGCTGGGACAAGCAGGGGCAGGGACTCAGTCTGAGGTCTCCCAGGGGTCTCAATGTAGTAGCTCCCTCCTGTCCTCATAGATATGCCGATATTAGCCAGACTTTGGGTTCTGCCTTTAACCCTCTACACTTGAGGAAAGTGCATGAATTTAAGGGTGGGAGATTGTCCACTTTTGAGGGAATGAAGACTCTTACAGAAGGATTGGGACAGGCTGGTAATCATGGTTTTCAAATTTAATGCTTACAAGGAACCTGGGAAATAAACTAGCCCGACCTCTTTGCATTCCAGATAAGAAGAGTCCAGAGAAGTCTTAGGACTTGCTCAAGGCCACATCATTAGTGGCAAAGTGGGAACAGAACCCACTGTCCTAGGCCCAGTCTGCCAGAAAAAGGCAGGTTATCAGAAGAGCAGGAGATGGCAGTCAGCAGCAAAGCTTAAAGAAGGACTGGCATTGTCCCATGAGAGCAAGCTGACCATGACATCTGCTGGGCTTCCAGCAGACACACGCAGTAGGACACCGTGATGCAAAGCTTCCGGTCCAGTTGGAGCCCTTGGGTTTTTGCCAATTAAGATAGTCAAGCAAATTTATTTTTGACCTGGGAGAGACAGAAGGCTGTTTTCCATCTTACAAAAGCATTTCTCCTCTCTTATGTAAATGAAAATTCCTAAGCTGTATTATAACTTAATATTGAAAGAAATTAAAACATTTACGCAGGGAGAGAGGAAGACCCAGCTTGCGCACCCCTATTTTTCTGGCCACTACTGTGAGTGTTCATACCAGGATGCATTTTCATGAAAAATCCAGTGGCTGTTTAAGTCCTGGAAGGGTATCTTGGGATTATTTCAGCAACCCGTGAAGGCAGGCTTTGTGCAAGGTGAGACAGATATGAGCTGTCACTTCCTGCTTTGTGAGTTGGATATTGTTTCTAGGCCCTGTTTTATTTATGTTATTTTTCCTGTTCATGTGTTAGAACAACTGACTGTTTGTAGAGTTGATGACAATTAGATAATAAGACCACCAATTCAGTCCAAACAAAGATGAATTCATTATCTTGCCAGGCAAGGGAGACCCACATATTCAGATCAGTCTCCCCATACTTTTGTGCGTTTTCATGTAAGCATGGAGATTTCCGATTAGTTTTAATAGCACAGTGATTGGCTCCTAGACACCTAAATGAGGATTTCCTTTTTGAAAAACCTACTCAGCATTCTGATCTGTCCCTGCTTAAACCTATTTAGTCTGGTCTTATAGTCCCTGACTTGAGCCCAAAGAGCAAGGTTTCTCAAGGTCTCTGTGCAGGTCTTTGATGCTCTTTCGTGGAAGAGATTTACAGTGGTTACAGCCATAACCGGTGCCTGTGGCTGAACCATGCCTTCTGTAGTGTGTTCAGCCCTTCCCTTGAATTAATGCAAGTTCCACCTTTGCTTTAATGGGAGGGGACAGAAGGACCACTTTGAGGAAGCGGAGGCAAGAAGATAGTCTGCAAAAGCCATGACGTGGCACTGAAATGAAGCCCTGTGTAGGGTTTTACTCAGACGTTAGAGAACTGGCTGCCCCTGAGTGCTGTGCTAACTAGGGAAAGAAAAAAAACCCTGACCTTTAAAATTTTTCCTGTGAAGGTCTAGCAATTCTGGAGTGTCTTCAGCGACTACACAGTGTAAAGCAACTTTTTGCACAGAAGCACCATAAATTACCTAAATGGAAATTTGCTTCTAAGTGAAGTTCTTACCCTGTCTGTTGGATATTTAGTATTGTCAATATTTGTTTTTGTTTTTGACATTTTCAGGAAACCAAGAGCTTTTTGTCACATTTGAAGAATCTCTTTTAAGAGTTTCTTTTCTATTTATAATGCGTTTCTGATAAGAAGATTTGCACCTTTCTCTATTTTAGAAAATACTTTTTGAGGTCTTTTGTTTTTCCTTTTATGAAGTTTAAATAGTTGTCTTAACCTCCAATCCTAGCAACTCCCTTACATTAAAAATGACCTATATTTTTTTTCTCCCATGAGGTTCCTTTGCTCAGAGAGAATAAGAAAAGTTCTGGTAATTAGTCACTGTGGTATTCTGTAAACAAATACTTTGGAAGCTATGATTTATGTTACTGGTCGGGAAGAAAAAAAAATGGTTTTGTGTATCTCTAGACGATTACCCTTGTGAAAGGCAAGTGCCTCGTATTCCCAAAAGGTCTCTTGGGTGCCCTGTTTGTTGTGTTAAGGTCTCTCAAAGCCGGTGGCCATTTTCTGCGAGCTGAATCCCTGTGTGAAACTCCTCCCACTGTGAGGTCTACGAGCATTTGTTTTCTAAAATGAAAGCACAGGCAGAAA
The DNA here is from genome assembly GCF_000001405.40 of Homo sapiens. Classification (NCBI taxonomy): domain Eukaryota; kingdom Metazoa; phylum Chordata; class Mammalia; order Primates; family Hominidae; genus Homo; species Homo sapiens. The sequence goes on from NC_000003.12 coordinate 141,412,444, forward strand.
CTCAAGCTATTCTACAGAACAGTCTGTTCTTTTGATTTTTTTTTTTTTAGATCAGTATATTTAAAGCATAATTTTTCTAAACAACATATTGCGAGTGTTTACCTGCAGTGGTTTGGAGTTTGTTTGGGGAGTTTTAATTATTTTTTAATGTAGACAACTTATTTACCAACATCATTGCTCCTTCTGCTCAGATAATTCTACCCTAAACCAGGTGAATAGGGGAACTATGTAGGCACCTGACTACTGCCAGAAACTTTCCTTCTGTTTCTATTACCTTTCTTTTGGGGTGAAATTGGCAACAGCTCACTGGAACTTAGCTCCCTTAATATTCTTTCTCCCTCCCACAATTTTTTCCACTCGGTTTTTTTTTTTTATCTGAACCATTGTTCATCCATTTGAAACACTGGCCAGAGTTTTTGTCGCTTTTCCATAGTAGGAAAGCCTTTGTGCCTCTCTTTGTACCTCAGACCTACTGGTGGGCTTGCCGGACAGCTCTGCCAAGCGCCTGCGTCTCCTGAGCCTATGAAGAGGCGACTTTCACAATCCTGTGCTGCCTTCGAGCTCTGTGCTGCCAGGCCTGGCCTCCCTCCAGAGGTCGTAGTGTTGCCAGCAGTGGCTTCAAACTGGAAACATGGGAGGAGGAATTGTGGGAAATGGGGAAGAAGAAAATGTTTGTGCAGGGAAAGTGTGTACGTGGACTTAAATAAATATCTGAGGGCCCAGGCCCATACAGATGATCTCTGTACGCTGGTATTTTGCGCCTGGAGCCAGGTGTCTGTTGACAGTGGGGAGGAGGTGGGGAAGACCCAGCCGGCCGAGAGCCTCAGCCACCTTCCTGCAGGAGGTCCTCACACCCCAGACGGTCAGAATGCTCCCCAGACTGAGGAATCAGCTGCACATCCCCCTGATGTCTCTAAAGCTGAAATCTGCTTCCTGGGTTTAGCCACCATTTTCATTGAGCAGTTCTGAGGATTCCTTGTGGGTACTTGTGATCTTGGTGGAGATGCTTCATGGTGTTGACCCTATTGTTTTGAATACCTGACAGCTGGATGGTCCAGGCCCTATTTCTATGATCTGTTTTTTGGAACTGTTGTATTTGTGTGACACAGTGATGGAGCATGATGTCAACTCCCACATACTGTAACCCAGGAAGGAGCATGATGTCAGCTCAGGATACCGGAACCGATAAAAACTCAGTGAGTGTTGCTTCCCCCGTTACACACCTGCTCATGATGACTTGTGGGATGCTTGTTTTAAAGGAGAGCTGAGTGCCTCTGATAGAAAATCTGATTTCATGAAATGCTTATTAGGAGTTAAGTACCCCTTTTTCTTGAAGCTTGAACAGACTTTATCATTAATGTGACTGACTGGAGCAAAGTGAAGAGTTTGATACCTGCCACTCTGTCTCTGAAGATTTACGTAGAGAAATTTTCCCCATAGGAATGGACAAACTAAAGGGATCCTTAAGAAATAGTATGTCACCCAAATATATTCTGTGGTAAGGCTTCTCAACACCTGTTCTTCATTAGGACGGAGCACTCTGAGAGTTTTGAAAACTTGAATACTGACATCTCATCATTTAAATTTTAGAAGGACAATGACTCACAGTACAGAGATTAAAATTTCACAGGCAGAACAAAACCTACATGTGATTTATACTTACGTTTTTATAGACTAAGATCTAAAACTCACATACATACAGGAACAGGAAAGTAATATGAACATCAAATGTGGGCTTGGTATAAGAAGGTAAGCAAGTGGTTAGATTGTGGCAAACTGGAGGTTTGAAACTTTTTCACACAGATAGGGGCCTGATGAGAGCGTCTGCAGGCCGAATGGAGCCTATGGACTGCTTCTTGCATGCCAGTTGCACGCCATTTGACTCAGTCCGCTGATCCGAATTCCCTCAGTGGCAACCTGCCCAGTCTTCTCCTGCAGAGCGTTGGGCTTGAAGCTGTCTAAGGCCCAGCCCAGGGAAAAGTAAAGACCATTGAACCTTCTCCATGTCACCACAAATAAGTCAGCCACTTCAGATATAACTATGTCCATTTCATACAGGCAAAGTAATTATGTCAGTGGGGTCAGTAGCAGAGCATAGTATTTGTGTCCAGGGACATCTGGAAGGCATCAGACAGAGCAGCCCTGACTAAGTTGCCCAGTGCTCGGTGTACTGATCCCAGGGTGAGACAGGAAGAACATCAGAGGAAGCCCCTCTGTGTCCAGGCATGTCCGTCTTAAGGCAGCCAGATGGAACCAAGCCTGCAGAGGCTAACCTGGATGGCATCAGGTGATGGATGACAGCAAGGGACAGCAGATACGTCCTGGTGTACTTGGTCTTTGGTATGTTTGGTCCAAGGATGTTTTCTGAAATATCAAACAGTGACTCCTTAACTAGGCCTAGACTGGGACAATCTGAGGATTGTCCTCTCTGCCTCTGTTGACACTTTATTGACCTTCCACACACCCTGGAATTTACAGTGCTTTCCCTCTTTTCTGCATATCTTTTAACCCTGCCCTTTCTTTCTCGGTGCTGAGTCATAATGTCTTTGACGCACATAGCACAGGGCCTGGGATGTAAAAGGTGCTCAGTCAATGTTAGCTTTTCTTGTTTCTGGCATCATCATCATCATCTTCTCCATTCTAGCTATTATTTCACCAGAGGTCAGGGAACTTGGTTTCCCTACACTCCATTTAAACCACATCTTCAGGGGTACCTCAGCCATCTCCACCCTGACATAGATGAAGACGGACCAGACATACAAGAACCTTTTCTGGAATCTGTCCTGTTTACGTCACCCATTTTCGTTGTAGGAGTTGGGCTTTTATTAGAAATGCAAGTTTCTGCCATTATAAGTCAAGTTGTAGGGCTTATGCTGTGTGGGCTGGACTCTAGGGGGGCCAGGGTGGAATCATTCTAGAAACTTGTTCCAGGATGACTTGACCAAAGAAAAGCCATCAGATGCTGTTGCAGTGGAGTCCTGACATTTGCTACCCCCAGTGTGGTCCTCAGACTGGCAGCATGGACATCCTCTGGGAGTCCGTTAGAAATACAGAGCCTCGAGCCCTACCCCAGACCCGCTGTGTCAGAAAATGCACTTAACAAGATCCTCAGCTGACTTACACACATTGACATTTGAGGAGTGCTGCTCTAGACACTCTGGCGAAGCACAGAGACAGACTGACATAGAGATTGGCCTATGTAAGATTGTGGACTTGCTAACTAGGAGGTGCATTGGAGGCTTTGGTCTTAGGCGGTGGGGTTGAGGGTTGTGCCTTTTAAGCCCTGCTGTAGAAATGTATGATGGGGTGATTGACCACATTAAGAATCTGATTCTGAAGACTCTTGTTGTCCCCTGGTTGTGACTTTAATCTTATAGTGCCTCATTCCTTTCCACCATCTCCAGCCCCCACTGACCTTCTGGCCTTGGAAACCCTGTTGCCAAGCAGGGAAGGTCCTATTTTAGGGGACAGAAAACCTTTGTGTATCAGGGAACTGACATAAATAATTATAATGTAGGATTTTAATGGTGGAACGTGTATCAGTATAAAAACGAGGGGTGGTCTGCTCTCAGTGAATTTTTATGGGACCCTTGTAGGTGGTGAAAAGGGAGGTGTAGCTGAACTTCTTTAATGTTCATGGCTGAGGGCATTGCCTGCTCCTGAGAAAACAACGGGAAAGACAGAAATAATTAATCCCATGCTGCCATGGTGACCTGTCTGGACTGGAAACTACTAGGGTGGTGAGAAAAGGGCTGCAGAATCTTAGAGAGGAAATTCCAGCTTCATATTACATTAATCTAGTTTAAAAATGAATTAAAAGCCTTTTCAGCCCTTCCAAGTTCTTGCCTACATTTTGAGGGCAGCATGGCCTGGCTTTTTGTGAATTTATGGTTGTTGTGATTTTTTTCCATTCCGTGGAGTACTCTCAGGTGGTCCTTTGCCCTGGACTCACAGTGGCCTGGGGTCCCTTGAGCAGAACACAACTTGGGAGTGCAGCTGGATATCTTAGGAGTCTCTGAGCTGGCTCGCTCTCCCTTCCTCTCTTCTTCCTCTTCCTACCACTGTCAGGAAGCTTAGCGTGGAGTTCTGGATCCCAGCTCCCTCTCACATTCATTCATGTGAGCTACTGCCATGGTGTCAGTAATGGGTTGAATGGCTGCACCCCAAAAGATGTGTCCATGTCCCAGAACCCGTGAGTGTGACCTAATTTGGGAAAAGGGTCTTCACAGATGTAATTAAGGATTCTGAGATGAGAGGTGGACTCTAAAGCCAATGACAGGTGTCCTTATAAGAGACACACAGTAGAGACACTTGTAGAAAGGAGAAGGCCATGTGCAGATGAAGGCAGAGGATAAGCGTTACGCAGCCACAGGCCAAGGAGAGACTGGAGCCACCAGAAACTAGAAGGGGCAAGGAAGGATTCTCCCCCTGCAGCCCTCACAGAGAGCACGGCCCTGCTGACTCCTTGATTTTGGACATCTGGCTTCCAGAATTGTGAGATAATGAATTTCTGTTGTTTTAAGTCACCAAGTTTGAGGTAATTTGTTACAGCGGCCCCAGGAAACAAGTACAGTGTCCAAACCTAACCTTGATCCAGCAGCACAAGGGAGCTTGTTAGAAATGAGATTCTGGGGCCTTACCAGATTCAGTCAGTCTGGAGTGGCACGAAGAAATGAAATCGCAGTAAGGGTCTGCAGGTGGTTCTGATGCACCAGCATCCATTGTTCATGCTCCCCTTTTAGCCCTATTTTCTTTTCATCCAATTTACTTCAACTTGGGCAAAATGCATGCTCACGTTTGCAACCACCTCCCATATGTCATTGCACTGTACATCTGAATCTTCACCCCAGCTCCCTTTCAGCACTGAAGTCCATTTTGGATGTCTGTTGATTGAGGGAGCCACCTGCATTTTCCTCAGGCTTCTCAGAGGGAGCACAGACTTCACAACCTTCATTATCCACCTCCCAAACCAGCTCTTTGATCTGGGCTCCTGACCTGTTAGTAGCACATCTAAACGCAGTAGAACAGGCACGTCAGTCATTCTTGCTCCACTGCCTTTCCCCTAATTTCCAGTTAGTCGATTCTTCATCCAAATAGCTTTCAAATTTTTCCCCTCTCTTTCATCCCCACCTGTCTCTTTGCCTTCTTTCAGACTTTCTCCAGACATCCTTCTAGCCAAACTGCTTTCAGAGTGACCTGTCTGCAAATTTGTCAAATCATTCCTATATTAAATCTTTTAAATGACTTGCCATTGCTCAAGTTGTACATAGAGAGCTTATTTTAAAAGCCCAGGCTGTGCGCAGTGGCTCACACCTGTAATCCCAGCACTTTGGGAGTCTAAGCAGGCTTGATCACGAGGTCAAGAGATGGAGACCACCCTGACCAACCTGGTGAAACCCCATCTCTACTAAAAATACAAAAATTAGCTGGCGTAGTGGTGCATGCCTGTAGTCTCAGCTACTCGGGAGGCTGAGGCAGGAGAATCATTTGAACCCAGGAGGCAGAGGTTGCAGTGAGCCGAGATCGCGCCATTGCACTCCGGCCTGGTGACAGAGCGAGACTCATCTCAAAAAAATAAATAAATAAAAAATAAAAAGCCCAATACTCAGGCCCCACCCAGGACTAAACACATCAGAATCTTGAATTGGGGCCTGAGTATTGGTGTTTTCTCAAGTTTCCAAAGGCGATTTCAGTATGTAGTTAGGGGGTGAGAACTATGGGACTAGAGGATAAGGCCCAAACTCATCCAGTATTGGAAACTTTTCATGACCAGGCCCCACCAGGGTTCCTCCCCATCTCCTAGCGCAGCCCTGCACATGCCTGTGGGGCAGCCATCCCACCTGTTTGCCCCTCCCCAAGTGTGTCATTCTATTTCATACCTTCCTGCCTTTGCTTAGACCTCTGCCTACAAAAGAATGCCTTTTTCCCTCTTGGATTCCAAGGAAATTCTCCCTATCCTTCAAGAGCGAGCCCCCCCTCCCTTGCACTGACTCCTGTTCCCCAGTTTAAGGCTGCTTCCTCCAGAGCCCTGGATGCCCCATCAGTGAAGCACTCTCATCATCATAGGAGCTGTCTGCACGTCTCTCTCCTCCATTGGAGAGTGGGCTCCAGGAGGTTGCTGAATGAGGGAAGAAATAAAAGATTCAAAAAGGCCAAGGAGAGGAAATCATTCTGTTTCTTAGAATTATTGTACTGATACTGCATTATACCTCATCAGATACTTGTTAAGAAAACAAAACTCTGCTTGATTTTAGTGAAAGCATTGAAAATGTGTTAGTAGTAGTAATATTGTGTACCATTAATTGAATATTTGCTAGCTAAGGTCTCTATATTCACTGCCTTCTTCAGCTATCACAATAATCTTCTCAGGTGTTATTCTCATTTTAAAGAACAAGTTAAACAAAATACTGTGTGATCAAGTAAACGCAAGATGGTAGAAAATACAAAGTAGAATATTTACGTGATCACCTGGTCAGCAGTGTGCTAATGGCATGCTATAGACTGATCAGGAAAGACTGGTTTTGTTGGTAAAGATAGCTAACCATATTGTATTAGTCTGTTTTCACACTGCTGTAAAGAGCTACCTGAGACGGTAATTTATGAAGAAAAGAGGTTTAATTGACTCACAGTTTTGCAGGCTTAATGGGAAGCATGACAGGGAGGCCTCAGGAAACTTAATCATGGCAGAAGGTAAAGGGGAAGCGGCATCTTCTTCACATGGCAGCAGGAGAGAGAGAGCAAAGGGGGAAGTGCCACATACTTTTAAACCATCACATCTTGTAAAAACTCACTGTTCAGGAGAACAGCAAGGAGGAAATCCGCCCCCATGATCCAGTCACCTCCCACCAGGCCCCTCCTCCAGTTCAACATGAGATTTGGGCAGGGACACAAACTCAAACCATATCACATATGTAGTTTTTTTGAGTGGCAGATACATGTATGACACTGAATTTGGCATAAAATAAGCACAACTGTTAAGCATACCAACCAAAAGATGAGATGGTGGTTTATATTTGCTAATGTTTAGAATCACACAAATCTAGTCTTCCATTTAAGTACGTTAGAAGTTAGTTTGAAGCTCAGAGTCACAAGATCAGGACTGAAAACCCGACCTTTCCAGTGACATGTGATGTGGTGCTGGGACTTTGTCTTCATTTTTCTGAGCCTTGGTGTCCCATCTTTGAAATAGAAATACAATTTCCCAGCCTGCAGTAGCATCGTAAGAAGGAAAATAAGGAGGGGTGTATGAAAGAGATTTGTAGGCCAGGCACAGTGGCTCACACCTGTAATCCCAGCACTTTGGGAGGCCGAGGCAGGCAGATCATCTGAGGTCGGGAGTTTGAGACCAGCCTGACCAACGTGGAGAAACCCCATCTCTACTAAAAATACAAAATTAGCAAGGCGTGGTGGTGCATGCCTATAATCCCAGCTACTCGGGAAGGCTGAGGCAGGAGAATCGCTTGAACCCAGGAGGCGGAGGTTGCAGTGAGCCAAGATTATGCCATTGCACTCCAGCATGGGCGACAAGAGCACAACTCCGTCTCAAAAAAAAGTGATTTGCAAATGGTACAAGGCTACACAGGAATGAGGCTGGGTGTTTTTGTCTTTGTTCTGTGTTTGGGTTGAGAAGGTTGGTCTTTGGGAGGAGTCAGGATGAGGAAGGTGGTGTTCTGCTGGGTAAGCGGATATGGGCACTGAAACAATCGCAGGCTGCCTGAATTCCAGGCAGGGTGGGGCACGAGGATGCTGGGATGTGAGCCTGAGAAAAACAATTGGAATGAGCTACTTAGGGAGAATGAGGGAATAGAGAAGAACAGTTGAAAATTAGAGTCTTGCTGTGGTTTTGAAACAGTGAAGCTGAGAGAATGTAATTGGTTGGAGTTTTGCACTGGGTCACCTGTAACCAAAGACCAGCCCAGAGACCACAGATCAGTTCCAGGGAGCTTGATATCTTGATCTTTTATTCTTAGGTTATTCCCAACAATTCTGCTCCCAGGAGCTCTGAAACTTTCTGGATCTGAGTTCAAGAGCTTACTTGCCTTGTGGCCTCAGTACCTTGATTCCAAACATATTGATGGATTAAGCTGTTCAGAACTGCTTCCTACAGGGTCACATCCTAATGATGTGTGCTCAGTTTCCTTCTTTAAAGATGAAGCCAAGGCTTTCTCTTTTTTTATTCTAATAGATTTAAAAATATTTTCTAAGTATAACAGTACTGATCTCAAAATATGATTTTTGGGGAAGAAGAATGATCCCTTTCTGCTGCTCTGTGGAGGTGAGCTAGAATACAGTCATGTCTTTTTATCCCAGTCATCACCGTCCTGAACTTACTGAAAGTTTCTAGAGCAGGAATCAGTAGAGCATGTTTAAGTGATCAGTAGATGTATTTTAAGATAGAATTGATGTTCTAAAATACCTCAGCAGGCAGAGAAAGGATGGATAAAACAAACACAATTAAGTTTAACCAGAATAAATAAGGGAAATTTTGAGTTTCAGTTAAAAAAAAAATCCAGTCCTGGAGGTTTGGAAGCCATAGGAGAGGAATAAAACAAGGGAAGAAAGGAGAAGTTCAGGAAAAAAAAAAAAAAAGTCTGTATATTATAAATAAAATCAATTATTGAGCACTTACTACTTGCTATGTACTTGCTGAGTGCTCATATACTCTCAATCCTCCCAGAACTCCATGATATGTATAGTAGTCACTCCGTTTTATAGATGAGGAAACTGAGGCTTACAGTGAGGTCAACCACTTTAATAAGTGGGGTCCTAGCATCTGCCATTTGAGGAGTATGGCATAATAAGCCATGTGGAACCAGGAGTCTAGAAACTTCTCTCTTTTTTTTTTTTTTTTTTTTCTGTTTTTAACTAAGACTGGGTCTTGCTATGTTGGCCAGGTTGGTCTTGAACTCTTGGCCTTAAACAGTCTTCCCGCCTCAGCCTCCCAAAGTGCTAGGATTACAGGTGTGAGCTACCACACCCACCGGGGAGTCTAGAAACTTCTTTTGGTCACACTATGAGATCTTAGGCTTTTCTGTAGAGTTTTTTGGGTTTTTTTGTTTTGTTTTGTTTTGTTTTTGTTGATATAAGGGAGTAGCTGAAGAAATTGGAGATGTATAGCCCAGGAAAGGGTAAACATTCAAAGGGCTGTCGTATGGCAAAGGCTACAGTTGAGGGCCCCTCAGTTGCTCCCTCCCTGGTGGGGACTTCTCTAACAAGGAGATTCACACACTGGCTGGAGCCGTCCTCAGCCCCTCACCCCACTCCCCATCTGAAGAATCTCTAAAATCCATTCATGGCAAATAAGAATGAGTCAGAGTGCGTGTTCCACTAAGCATCATGCCCTCTGTGCTTTTTGTTATCTAAAACATCCCAAGCTCTGGTCATAGTGAAGTGATGCTTACTCATCTGCCCATTTTGAGAAAGGTCTTGGGGCTGGATGACTGGCTACCTGGGACCCAGGAGCATTTCCTTGAGTGGTCTCAGCACCATCTTGTGGACACAGCACTGTGAACTGGGGATGGGCTGTGGTCATCAAATCTAAAGGAACCCCAAAACACAACCCTGAAAAAGCTGCCGCTGGGGAAGGGCTCTGCCCAAGGAATCCTGTTTTTAAGAGGGACTGCCTGCCCTCAGAGCTAGGAACTGCCTTGGGGCATTCACTTTTATGACTCTAGCCTCCTTACTAAGCCCATGACACCTGAAAGCAGAATGGGCAGGCTCAGCAATGCAGAAAGAGCCCAGCCTTTCCAGGAGTATGCTGCAGTACTGGGCTACCGTTCACTCAGGGGGACAGCAGAGGCCTCCTGGGTAGGGGGAGCCCCATGCCCCTTTCTCTCTGGCCTTTCTCCTCCTGCATCCTGCCCCACCTCTCGGGCCAGGACACCCCTGTACCCTGCCTCCCCTCCTTGCCTGGCACTTATTGCCTCTCAGAGCATAAGTCACCTTACTGCGTTTAAAAGGCCCCTCGCCACCAAGGCAAGGATGGACCAGGATGAAGCTGTGAAGGGAACAGAGTGCTCCTATGCTGAAATTCTTTGGCCTTCTTAGCCTAGTCTCCTAATGCTCTGGTGAAGCTGGGTGCCCTGATGTTTCTATGTGTGAAGAAACTGAATAATCATCTAATTCAGGGTAAAGTGATGCTCGGAGGGCAGATTTGCTCAATCTCTTTACTTGGACGGGAAGGGGCAACGTTTAGGCCTATAGAAGCCACTCAAGGGGTAGAAGCTCCCCTCTGGTTGTTTGAACCCCTAACCTCTTCTCTGTTTATTCTTCACAGTGGGGCTGTGCGGGTGCCTTATCCTTAATGGGCATGCAGGGCTCCCCAAAACAATATAGTCACTTAATTTTGTGTCTGTTAACACACAGTTATTGACTGTATTTATCACAATATTGCATCGTGATGCATGTATCTATTCTTTCAAAGTATTATAAAAATAATTTTTTATATAATTCTTTGAAAGTATCAAAAAATAGGTTTTTTTCACTGTACCAAAAATATTAACATATTCTCCCAAAGTCTTAATATATGAACTCTTACTGTATTACCTATAATCCCGTATTTTGTTAAAAATTTGGTTTTGCATGTGCCTTCCACAAGCACTTTTTCCCTGGCTTCCCTTCTTTTGGGGTCAGCCTGGCCTGAGCCCTTCAGCTCCTGACGATACGGCCTGCAGAGCTGATCTTGCCAGGACTTAGAGGAAGCTCTTAAAGCCTGAATCTCTCCAGGCCACTCAACTCTCCACTTCAGCACTAGGGAAATCTCCACTTACAAACTGACCCTGCTTCCAATACCTTTCAACTGTCGAGCATTTAATTGGTTGCTAGTATCATAATGAGATGGACTGGAGAAAAAAAGCTGTAGTTATAGGTTTTTGTTTGTTTGTTTTCTGGAATTTTCATGGAAGATTACGAGAGTGAAAAGCAATAGAATGAGATACTACATTTTATCTGTATTATCTCATTTAATCCTTATAAGAATGAGGTCACACTGCTGTGTCCACTTTATAGTTTTTTTAAAAACCAGGTCTAGAGATGCTAATTAACTTGTACATGTGCATACAGCCAGCAAGTTAGCGGAACTGTAATTTAAACCCAGGAGTGGGTAACCAGTGCTCTACCTCTGAAGACAAAGATAACTCACTATACGGGAAGAAAAAGGATGCCCCACAGAAGAGGAAAGGAAAGCTTGGAACTATCAACTACATTTGACAGTTCCCGGTAATTTAATCAAGGACTTCAAGGGAAGCTTGAACCAAAATCTAAAATAAAGCACAATAAACATGCCAAATCCCAAAGTGAACCCAAATTTTTAATTATTTTTTACTGAACAAAATACAAACTAATGAATCCACTAAACTGAGACTTAAATGAAAAAGATTCTAAAATCAAAAACCCAAAACACCAAAGTATTCTCTAAAATAAATTGTAACCAAACTGATATGTTATTAAAAAATCCCCTTTGCATCAAGAGAAAGGAGCAGATGTGATTTGTCAAGTCTGTAAACAGATCGGAGAGGTAATGAGGCCCAGTGCAGGAGAGGCTTCTTTAGGAAGGTGAAAGAATGTCACTATCCAAAACAGACAATACACAGATAAAACCCTAGCTTTGTTTTTATTCATCAATTTATACCCAAATTTGAGTGACCTTCTGATTTAAGAGGATAAGTCCACATAATGGAAATTTATTGATGATCTAAGTATTTATCTTAAACACCTTCCTTTCTACCAAGCTTTTTACTGGAACAGGTAATAAACAGTGAACTTGAAAGACTTTTTATTTAAATAGTTACTGCCAGCTTGGTGTGGTGGCTCACACCTGTAATCCCAGCACTTTGGGAGGCCAAAGCCAGAGGATCACTTACGCCCAGGAGTTCAAGACCAGTCTAGGCAACATGGCAAGACCCTGACTCTACAAAGAAATAAAAAAAATTAGCTGGGCATGTTAGCGGGCACCTGTGATCCTAACTACTCAGGATCTGAGATGGGAGGATCACTTGAGCCCAGGAGTTCCAGGCCACAGTGAGCAATGATCAAGCTACTGCACTCCAGCCTGGGTGGCAGAGTGAGACCCTGTCAGTAAAAAAAATAAAAATAAAAAATAATAATTCCTTTTTCCATTTGCTTAGAAGAGATGCTAACAATGCAGCTAAAGAAAGAAAATTATTTAAATGATAGTTATAATTAAATGCCTGTATGTGTGTGTGTGCGTGTGTGTGTGTGTGTGGTGGCCAAAGCTCACATGTAACTGCTGTCTGAATTAAGAAAGAATAATTAGTTAATGAGCCCCTATGGGGTATCAAGCACTGTGAGGGGGTCTGGGGAACTCTGGACACACAGTGAAATAGGATATTTGTCCCTGCCATTGAGGAATTTCACATTCCCTAATTTGGGGCCTGGGGCCAAGGCTTAGCTAATACTTGCTCCTGCTGACATTTTTGACTAATAATTAATTGGTAATAGTAATAATAATAATAGCTAATGTTTATGAAGCTTGATTTTTATGCCAGATACTATACCAAGCACTTTAAAGGTACCACTTAGTCCTCATGTTAACCCAAGTATCTTCTATTATTAGCTCCCATTTTGCAGAGGAAGAAACTGAAGTGCAAGGAGTTTTTAAAATTTGCACAAGGTCACAGCCAGAGCATGACAGAGCCAGGTCCCCCAGATACCAAAGTTCAGACTTTTAGCCACTGTACCAGACTGGACATGGTGTGCCTTATCCTAAAGTATCTATCGTAGAGCCCTGTTTTAAGAATGGAATAACATGGAAAGAGTAACAATGCTTTGCGAGTCTCTCAGTTCTTTCAGTTCAGCAACTTTAGTCTCCCCACCATTCCTTTTCTATGCCCCCATCATATGGTAACTCTACGTATACATTCAATATTATCTTGAAATGGGAGTGGATAAAAATCAAAATCAAAATAAGTCATATTCATAAGTGCCATATATTACTTTGAAGTTCACATTTTTTAAGAAAATGAATTAAAAGTAGAATTTATGGAAAATACTGAATTTCCCTTAAATGTTCACCCCAGGGCCACCTGGTGGTCCCATATAGCATCTTTGTACATAGTGAGAAATGGCCTTCTTCTGGCAGGCACTGCAGCCCTGCACCGAGGGACATGCCCAGCCAAGCAGAGCCTGGGCTGCCTCTCAGCCTACCACAGGGCATAGCCTGTACCCCACACGTGGCAGCCCTGCTCCAGGCCCAGTTACATTTTGCCAGATGTAAACTGGTCAGTAGGCTAGTGTGATGCCCTATGAGCCTTCAATAGTTTGGTCGCTAAATGAAACCAAGAAAAACATGGACAAGCTAAGTTCTTTATGTTTTGGTGCTCCTGCACCTGAAATGGAAAGTGTGGTTTTGAGTCATGCTGCCTGGGTTTGAATCCCAGCTCTGCCACCAATAGCTAAACAATCTTGGCTGAGTTCCACAGCCTCTCTAAACCTCACTTTTCTCATTTGTAAAATGAGAAAGATTGCTGTGAGGCCTAAATGGAATGATATAAATGCAGTGTGTAGAACGGTGCAGAGCACACAGCACATATATGCTTGTTAGGTGTTGGGACACAGCTTGGATGACATATGTAGGTGACTTCCTCCTGTCAAATGATGTCACAATGGGGACATTGTTGCATTTGTTTGGAGTATGGGCATGTCACTTTAAAGCAGTTCTCAGACAGGCTGCCCAGAGGGGCTCCAGCATAAGCAGGAGACATGGTAAGCTGTTCCTTCATAGTGTAGTCAGAAGTCACAGGCCAGGTCGTGCGGACTATATATCTTGGTAATTTTCAGCAGGATGCAAAAGCACACCTGCCCAGACCCTGTCTCCCAAACCCTGGCTCAGTGTCAGTGATATCATTGATCTCAAATTCTTTTTGTGGTTCCACAGGTGAGTCTGATATGCATAGTTCTGAGAACAACCGTTATAAGTACACACGACCGTGCCTTTTCCATCTACTATTCATTGCCTGATGGGGGGCAAGTGCTGGGATGCAGAGCATCTACAGTTTCATGACCCAGCAGCAGGCCACAGACCCAGCACCGTCTCCAGATTAGCTCCTTATGAGAGGAGGAGAGGAGGCCGGGGGAGGGAGCAGACGCCAGAAGGAAGTGACCGGTGAATGCAGGGTGGAAAGCTGCCAGAGTGTGGGAAGGGAAGATGTCACGTGGAAGCTAAGTCCTTTACAAACACCCAGCACCAAGGCCTCACACGACACTGCCATGTCGCCACCTTTACAACTTTTTTAGTATTAAATTTTAAAGAATTTGTTGCCAATTCAGCCCAGGTACTCAAGACAAAGGCCAAATTCCTGGACTTTGAACAAAGCATGTCGGTAGTGCTTGAAAGATTGCTCTTTTTCTTCCTTTTGGCCAAAATGGTGATAGTAAGCAGTTTTTCAGTGTTCCAGAGCTGTGGTTCAGTGTTTTAACTTGTTTGGGCTGTAATAGCTTTGTGGGCAGTGGATAGCTCTGTTTTATCTTATGCAGCTCAGCTTTAGGCCAGCAATGTCGATTTGTGTGTGGGGTGGGTTCTTTTTCCTTTTTCATGTCAGAACAACCTTCTTGGCTTTTTTTTTTATGACCACCCATTAGCATAGGTGGGAAATAGCAGGGCAGTTCAGGTTGACCTGACACTGGGTCTGGAAAGCTCGGTAACAGTGCCAGGTATGATAGGCTCTATAAAGCTTAGTTTTGGGTGCTTTCTGTTTTTCATTCATTCAGTAAAGGTTTATTAACAATTATTATGTGGCAGTTGCAGGGCTGAGTGCTAGGAAAACTGGTCAACAGTCTCAGCCCTCATATAATTTTTACTCTGTAGTAAAGGCACAGACTTGTCAAGTAACTTTTAATTACAATCATAATAAGTACTATGAAGGAAAAGTATGCTAAAAAATATATAACAGAGGCACCAGATGGGAGGAGAGAAGTGGGTGGTGGATGGAGGTGAGGGTGGGCTGCCCAGGCTAGAAGGACATTCCAGGCTGCAGAAGCAGCATGTGCAAACGCCCTGGGCTGGGAAGGCCCCAGGCACACTCAAGGAACAGAAGGGTGGCTAGTGTGGGTTAGAATGGCAGGAAAGGAGGTCAGATCACAGGGGACCTTAGAAGCCTTGGTAAAGCAGCTGAGATTTGGATTCAGGGTGTTGACAAGCCCTGCTGACCAGTCTCCACTCTGTATTGGCCAGGAGACTCTTGCCTCCATCATGGAGGAGGTTCACACCAGAAGCCAGCTCTGCCCTTGGAGACTCTCTTCCCCCAGTGCTCCCCTGAAGCTTCACACTCACCAGTCTCATGCTGCACCCTGACCGGCAGGTCCCTAGCATGAGCCCCATAATCCCTGGGGACTGCATTATCACAGACCAGTAATAAGAAGGTAAACCTACATCCTTGTGGTGGGGGAGGGGAGGCAAATGAAAACCCATCTTCCTGAGGCATTTACTTTAGATTAGCAAATCCTGGCTGTGCCAGTGTTTTCTGGGCTGTGGGGCAGACACAGATTAATTACATGTCAGGCGGCACCTGGAAAATGCCTACCGGACAGCTGTTGTACACCTGGCCAGCCATGAAGGATCCCAGGCCCAAGGCCCACCACCCAGCAATGCTCAGATCATCCTGGCAACTGCCACCCGGGATCAAGGGGCTGCATGCCTTAACTGCCATCCTCGGCTGCCCTGCTTGGAGACCTCTCTGGCACATTCCTTGTTCTCTCTGTGATTTCTTGGCATATGACTCAGGCTGGTTGCCCCCAACTGCCCAACCTCTTGAATCCCATTCTGGGTCTTTTCCAGCTGCCAGCTTCTTCCATGGGGATCTTGTATAACAAGCCTGCAGTTTGGACTCACTGCTGGGCCCTTTTGTGCCATATAGAACAAGTCACCTGCTCTGACTTAATTACTGCTGTATGTGTACACATTCATGTGAGGCAAGTCACTTCTCCAGGCTCAGTTACCACATCTGTACTATGAGCATGTTAATAATACTAGCTTCCATATTGAGCACTAACTGTTAATTCATTGAATCCTGTGAGTACATACTAGTATTTGCATTTTTTTTTTAGACGGAGTTTTGCTCTGTTGTCGCCCAGGCTGGAGTACAGTGGCACAATCTCAGCTCACTGCAACCTTCACCTCCGGGGTTCAAGCGATTCTCCTGTCCCAGCCTCCCGAGTAGCTGGGATTACAGGCGCCTGCTAATATTTTGTATTTTTAGTAGAGACGGGGTTTCACCATGTTGGTCAGGCTTGTCTCAAACTCCTGACCTCAGATGATCCTCCTGCCTCGGCCTCCCAAAGTGCTGGGATTACAGACGTGAGCCAAGGCGCCCGGCCAGTATTTCCATTTTTTATGTGCCGGCCTCCACAGGATTGTGGAAGTGATTAAATTAATTAATATGCAAAGTGCTTTGCAACTTGAAATTTATCTGATAAAAGCAATTTTATTCAATATTGGGGAATTCAGACAGATGAAAATTGTAATTGGCAATATTTATGGTGACCATCCTCATGTAATGTTGATTTATAAACATATATCTTTTTATAGTATAGATTGTTCCTTTTGTAAATGAATACTGAGGGCCTGTTCTGTGTCAGGCACTGTTCCAGGTGCTTAAGATATGTCAGTGAAGAAAATCAAAGATTGGTACTCTTATGGGGCTTACATTTTTGCAAGCAGACAGACAATAAGTAAGTCCATTTTGTATGCAGTATATTGGAATGTTGAGGGCCGTGGAAAAGTCAAAAAGCAGAGCAGGGCAAGGGGGATCGTGAGTACAGGGGAAGGCGGCAGGTTGCCTTTTGGGGGATGGTGAGTGCAGAGGACAGAGGCATATTGCTTTTTGCGGGGATTGTGAGTGCGGGGGACGGCGGCAGGTTGCCTTTTGGGGGATCGTGAGTGCAGGGGATGGCGGCAGGTTGCCTTTTGGGGGATCGTGAGTGCAGGGAATGGTGGCAGCTTGCTTTTTTGGGGATCGTGAGTGCAGGAGACAGCAGCAGGTTGCTTTTTTTAGTCGGGGTGAGCCTGGTTTGTGTTTCAAATGCATGGTCATGTCACTTACTCGCCAGACATTTACTGCGTGCTCCTGCCATGTGCTGCGGCCTGGAGATACAGCAGTGAACAGTGAGCAGCCTAGAGAAGCAGCTCCTCCTGGAGCTTACTTTCTGGCGGGCAGAGTGGACAGTAAACAAGCAGGCAACGACGGGTGATAATTGCAGGTTGAGGTAAGCAGTATGAAGAAATAAACAAGGTGATGTGAGGGCAAACCAAAGGGGCAGCAGATAGAGAGATGGGGTGGCCCCTCCGAGGCGACATTTGAGCTGGGCCTGAAGCACGAGTCTGAGCCAGCCATGGGCAGTGCCGGAACCGTGTGCATCAAAGGCCACAGGGCCAGAAGAGACTGGGCAGGTAGAGTCCGCCCAGGGAGCCTGTGTGCCTGAGCAAAGGCAGCGCAAGGAGTGCAGTGGGAGGGAACGAGTGAGTCTGGAGAGTGGACAGCACAGGGCCTTGCTGGGCACTGGGAAGGGTCTGATTTTATCCTAAGATCAGGGGAAGTCCGCTGAAGGGCTTTGAGCAGGGCTTGACTTGATCTCATTTGTGGGTTTGTTTTTTCGTTTTTTGTTTTGTTTTGTTTTGTTTTTTTGAGACAGAGTTTCGCTCTTGTCACCCAGGCTGGAGTGCAATGGTGTGATCTTGGCTCACTGCAACCTCTGCCTCCTGGGTTCAAGTGATTCTCCTGCCTCAGCCTCCCGAGTAGCTGGGATTACAGGCATGCACTACCACACCCGGCTAATTTTTTTTGTACTTAGTAGAGATGGGGTTTTGCCATGTTGGTCAGGGTGGCCTTGAACTCCTGACCTCAGGTGATCCACCTGCCTCAGCCTCCCAGAGTGCTGGGATTACAGGCATGAGCCACCACGCCCGGCCTCATTTGTAGTTTTTAAAGATCACCCTACATACTGGATGAAGGATAAGCCGCATGAGCAGTTCCTCCATAGCCACCAATTAGGCAGATGCAGTCAGTTCTCAAGCTAATTCCAGCTGACATTTCTTGAACCCCCTGCCAGGTGCCATGGACCACACTTGGTGCTTTTCAGGCGCATCATCTCATTCACTCTTCACTGCCCAGTTTCTGATTTATCCAGGAAGTACCAATGTAAGCTGTGATTCACTGTCTTGCAGGAGAACCCAGAAACCCAGGGTGCAGAGGGGCAGGGAGTGGGGAGCGGCAGTGCAGTGGGGGAGGCGGATTTAGATTTAACACCAGAGCAGCAGCTGGTGCCTCGTCCATTTTAGGACAACTCATTCTTGTGATTAGCTGGAGGTTCACTCTTCTTCAGAAGCCAGAATGTAAACGGCTCTTCCCTGTGCCGTCCCCCAGAGGTAGCAATCAACTGAGAGGTACAGAGCCACCTTCCATTCAATCAGCCAGCCCTTTGGGTTCACAAGGAAATGACGGTTGGCTTTTGAAACCAATTCTTGATAAGCTCACCCCTAAAATGAAAATTTTCAGGGAACAGGAACCCTGTCCTGGGGAACTCTGGGACACATCATTCCCCACAGCATTCAGATTAAAAATACCTTCTATTAATACATTTTGGGGCCAGGCACGGTGGCTCACACCTGTAATCCCAACACTTTGGGAGGCCGAGGCAGGAGGATCATCTGAGGTCAGGAGCTTGAGACCAGCCTGACCAACATGGTGAAACCCCGTCTCTACTAAAAATACAAAAATTAGCCGGGCATGGTGGCAGGTGCCTGTAATCCCAGCTACTCCGGAGGCTGAGGCAGGAGAATCGCTTGAACCCAGGATGTGGAGATTGCAGTGAGTCGAGATTGTGCCATTGCACTCCAGCCTGGGGGACAAGAGCGAGACTTCGTCTCAAAAAAAAAAAAAAAAAAATATATATATATATTTGGGGGGGACTCTGAGTGTCAGTGGAATTTGGGTAAAACAAGAAATAGAGACACGGCACTCAAAAGGCTTCAGAGAGATTCTCTAAGCCTGTTTGCCAGATTTCTTAAGCAAGCAGGTGCCCAGGCAAGCTTGATCCTGAGATGAACCCAAGGCACACGAGCTACCCTGAAACACTGCTGCATTTCAAAAAGAAAAAAGAAACCCAGGACCTTTTCCCCCTTTCATCTTTCCAAACAAGCAACCTAAAATATTTAACTGGGCCCATTGCATCATTCATGAATCTGACAGTACTCGTTCTCACAATCCTATGTGCACGCAACTGCAAGTCCAGGGCCCTAATGTTTACCTTTTCCAGATAATAGGTGAGGTTGTCCAAGCTGGCCTCCCTCTCTGCTGAGTGCACTCCAGCAGCTTCCCGATGTTGGCCTTTAGAACAGCCTGAATTTCAGTTAAAAAATAAGCTTCCCCTGTCACACGATGCCTTCTTGAATCTGATAGCTTAAGTGCAGTAAAATCTGATAAATGTAGCTTTTCTGTGCCCGTTTCAGGCCACATTTAGAAGGCAACATCAACAGGATTTTCCTTTTCCTAGACACAGCTCAACTCCATAAAGGACTTCTGTTTTGTAATCTGTTTTCGAGATCTGATGCGTGTGTTTCTAACACCCCGTCACGTGAGGAGGTCTGACGTAGTCACCCAACATGACTTTGAGAAAATATACTGTAAAGATGTGTGTGGGATGGTACAGCCAGCTCACTGAAGCAAAATATCCTTTGTCGGAAAACTTTCCGCAGGGAATAACAGACCTGCGCAGTAGATTTCACTTTGATATGGCCCCTGTGCTGGCCCAGTATGGACTGCAGGTTTGACTTTTGCAGGATTCCAGGTCAGTATCCTAATACAGTGCGTTCTTTTTTTAGTTAGGTTTTATTTCTACGTTTCTTTTTATAGAAGACAACTTGCCATAGATGGAGGAGAAAGTTGCTCTGTCGATTCTGTTGTTATTATGTACGTTAGGAGCTGCGTGGCCAAGGGCTGGCAAGAGGGCTCTTGGCCTTTTCCTCTGATTAGAAGATTAAAAAAAATGGGGTTCAGTCTGGCCCTGGAGAGTGGCTTTGAATAAGTGACTTGTAGTTCTCACTAAGAATGTGGACTGAAAAGGTTTACTTAACTCTCCTCTCTGTAATGTCTTAGAGCTTTACTAATAAAAATATACCAGATTTTACTAACAAGCCCTATAAAGATCTGCATAATAGGTGCATTAGTTAACAATTTAAAGAGATTTTTCAAGATTCGTTTTGCATTGTAAGAATTAGAGTTTATATGGAAACTATCATTTTAAGTTTTCTTCTGTGCATTTCAGTAAGATCGCCTTAACTAATTGAAGGGAGAGAAGATTTAATTAAGCTGGAAATACTGGGAAGTAGTTAAAGTCAGATTATTGCCAAGAATTGTTTCCCTTATTTTCAAATTCATTCCCAGAATGAGTGAACCAATACTTAAAAGCAATATCCAGGATAGATTACTGTGATCAAGCTAACCTTTGAGACTTGGAAGGCAAGGATGCAAGCAATGATAGATTGATTGTATAAACAAATTGTAGGTAGCAACCTCAAAGAACAATTTTCACCTGTGTATAGTGTGGACCGGACTGTTGGTCCGCCTGGTTTTTCAGCCATGTTCAAACTCAAGAAATAGTCATTGCCTCAAACTTGGAAAATTAAGGACAGGTATGGAGAGTATGCATATCTGCATGACTGTGGGTGTGTCTATGTTTCTGTATTCCTTGGCCTCCATCTGTCTCCTGAGGATTTCTGCTTTGTGTTTCATCACATTTTTATTCACTGTCTCTTTAGTCCTTTTAGGCTTATATATATTTATTTTATTGAGTAAAATAATTTTTAAATAATTTCTTAGAAAAATTATTTAATTAAGATTTTTAATTAAAATTGTTTTGACTTTTGTTTTGTTTTTTTTTGTTTTTTTTGGTTAGCACAGCAGTTCTCAAACTTTTTGGTCCCTAGACTCCCTTACACTCTTACAGTCATTGGGTATGCAAAGAGCTTTTGTTTATCTGAGTTCTTTCTGTCAATATTTACCATATTCAACATTTTAAATGAGAATGTAAAGAACTATTAGATTGATGCAAAAGTAATTGCAGTTTTTGCCACTACTTTTAATTGCACCTACCTAATATTTATTAACTGATGGAAAATGACTGTGATAAATCCAACTGAATAATAAAATAACATTTTATTAAAAGTAACTATTTTTTAAAACAAAAAAATAATGAGAGGACTAGTACTGTTTTACATGTTTGCAAATATTTTAAAGTCTGGCTTGATAGAAAGACAGCTAGATTTTCATCTCTGCTCCTGCCTTCAGCCGTGGTATGCTGTTTTAGTTGAAGTATATAAAGCAAATCCAGCTTCTCACAAATAGGTAGTTGGAAAGGGAAGGAATTTTTTAATAGCCTTTTCAGCTAATTATGGATATTCTTTGATACTATACCAAAACTTGACAAGTGATAATCTCCTAAAAGTGTGTTTTTATTAGTAAATCTTTAAGAGATTGCAGAGAGAACTGTGAAGCAATCCTACATTCTTAGAACTCGAAGGCACTTTCTCAAGGCCGCTCTCTAGGGCCAGTTCCCCTCTGCTCACTCTCAACATCACCAACAACGGATTGTCATGCCTACAGGTGCAGGGAGTACAAAGATGAATCAGATTGTCCCTGTACTCAAGGAGCTCATAGGGAAGATATAAATGTGAACAAATGCATGATACCGTACATTGTAATGATGGGAAACCAAAAACTAGAAATTCCAGAGGAACAAGGCTATGCAGATAAGACATCAACTGAGACAAGAACAAATGAGGATTGCCAGGTAGGGGAACTAGGGACTGGGAGAGAAGGATAATCTTAAGAGGAAAAACAGTTTCTCTCCTAAGGCTTTATTCAGGCAGAATGTAGAAGTCTTCCAAAGTTATAAGAAAAGGGACCTATGACGAGGGAGAGTGTGTGCTGTGTGTGCACTGGGGGGGCGGGGGGAGTATGGTTGTAGGGAGTGGGGAGGCTAGGATGGAGAAGGGGACTTCTGCTTTTTACCTTAATGCATATCTGTGCTGTTTCAGTCTTTGACCATGAGCATAGATTCATTTTCTTTTTCTAAACCTAGGAAATTCTAAAAAGCAAGTGAAGAAAGTTCATTTCAGTCATCAAAAGTATCTAAAGTGCCTCTATTTACATTATATGTATGTGTTTTTATTATATAAGGCTGAAGCATAGCAGGAGACAAAAACAGAAAATTCCAAATATGCTAATTTACTAGAATTTCCCAGTGGCATTTATATAAAGTCTAATTATAAAATATGTTTATCAGATATTTATATAATTCTTAAAAGTACTTTACATATTCGTACAATATACTTTATGTAAATAAACACAAATGTCCTTATAAGTATAATATATAATTTTATATTTAATTTATATAGGCTGGCTGTGGTGGCTCAGGCCTGTAATCCAAGCACTTTGGGAGGCCAAGGTGGGAGGGTCACTTGAGCCCAGGATTTGAGACCAGCCTGGGCAACATAGTGGGACCCCGTCTCTAATAAAAAATTTAGAAATTATCCAAGGATGGTGGCACATGTCTGTTGTCCCAGCTACTGTTGAGGGATGGGGGAAAGCTGAGGTGGAAGGATCACTCAAACCCAGGAGTTCAAGGCTGTGATGAGCCATGACAGCACCACTGCTGTCCGACAGCACTCCAGCCTGGGTGGCAGAGCAAGACCCTGTCTCAAAGAAGAAAAAAGATAATAAAAGTAAAATAATTTATATAGAGATTTGTTTATATATAAAATGCTGGATGACCATTCATCCTGATTTTTTAAGGTATAATCCCAATGTATACCTATTTCCCTGGCATTAGTCTTACCTCCTTTCTCTCTCAAGTGTCCTGTTTTGGATGCTGAATTATATGTTCATCCTATTTCTACATCTGTGCATATAAAATGTATTTAAGTATAATATATGTCAGCATATTTATATATTCATGCTTGTATTTGCACATACATGTGGCTATATACACATGTGTAATATGCATTTTAAAAATATACTTTAGGCCGGGCACGGTGGCTCACGCCTGTAATCCCAGCACTTTGGGAGGCTGAGGTGGTGGGCAGATTACAAGGTCAGGAGTTCAAGACGAGCCTGGCCAACATGGTGAAACCCCGTCTCTACTAAAAATACAAAAATTAGCCAGGCACGGTGGCACACACCTGTAATCCCAGCTACTTGGGAGGCTGAGGCAGAAGAATTGCTTGAACCCTGGAGGCGGAGGTTGTAGTGAGCCAAGATCGCACCACTGCACTCCAGCCTGGGCAACAGAGTAAGACTGCCTCAGAAAAAAAAAAAAACTAAAATAAAAATATATTTTAAAAGCTATTCCAGCTAAAATGCAAACTCAGGAAAATAATGACATTAAAGTCCGATGGCCAGTTATCCAATTACAAATTACTTTATGTTTTTAAAAATATTGACTCATCTACAATTTCATATCTAGAATATTTTTGTTAGCTTTTTTATGCTTATCTATTCCATCTCAGTGAATTTATTGCACAAAACTTGCTTTTTAGAAAATATTTTAGAAAGTTACATGTAAATTAAACCTCATCTTCTTTCTAACTTATATTTCTTTTTCTGAAATCTATTGGGGGCTTTCCATTGGCAGGAGCTCCTAAGACTTCTGTTTTAAGTTACTCTTTATGAAGAAATGTAGTGGAGGAGGTTGCTTTAAAGTAACTTTAAAGTCAACGAATACTGTTTTTGGTGAAAATGACTGTCCCCCTCCCACATGAGCTCTTTTAAAGTCTAAATTTTCATCCTGGGGATATCCTTCAAGTAAGTATGTCTAAGATCTGTGGGTCCAATGTTATTTTACTTACTGTTCTTATCAGTTACACAAACTGAACCTGCCGAAGAGGCCAGGCAGGCCACATTACTGAGAGAAGCTGCCTGGTGATAAATCCTTGGGCAGGCAGTGTGTGTGTGTTGGGGACACAGCCACTTGGCACCAGTCCTTTTTGCCAGGCAGGCTACAACCCCAGTGTTGCCTGGTCTTCCTATTTTTCAAAAAAAGCTATATTGATTTTTTTTGTGTGTGACTGAGTCTTGCTCTGTTGCCTAGGCTGGAATGCAGTGGCGTGATCTCGGCTCACTGCAACCTCCGCCTCCCAGGTTCAAGCGATTCTCCTTCCTCAGCCTCCCGAGTAGCTGGGACTACAGGCACTCACCACCATGCCTGTCTAATTTTTGTATTTTTAATAGAGATAGAGTTTCACCATGTTGGCCAGGCTAGTCTTGAACTCCTGACCTCAAGTGATCCACCCACCTTGGCCTCCCAAAGTGCTGGGATTACAGGCATGAGCCACCGCGCCCAGCCAGCTATCTTGATTTTTATGTTAGAGTTTTTCAACATGGTTAACTAAGATTTTCAAAAACATAGTTTTAAAAATCACATGGGTCAAACAAAACCTGTGGGGACCGGATTTGCTGCATGGCTTACAGTGGGCCTCCTTTGGTCTGCAGATTTAGAACTCATTTCCTTGTTGCACTTTGGACCTGTGAAATAGCTTTTAGCCGTAGCACTTTCTGAGATCATCCAATGAGCTGGATAACTGTGCTCTAAAGACAGTTTTGACGATACTTGGTGGTTTTGGGAGCGGGCACTGTTAAGATTGGAGAGGTGGATACTAGAGTCTTAACTTTAAATTGCTTCTCCAACAAGTTTCACTGCTTTTTTTCAAGTTCCATTCGCAGATTTGGACTCTTTGTTTTAAGCAGTTGCATTGACTCCTGGATTATAAACTTCTTGAGGGCATGAAACTCTGACTCTGTCTCTTTCTGCCTGAAGTTCCCTTTTCTCCTCTTGTCCATATCTGCAGCACTCAATTCCAGCAGCAGGATCCAGTACATACCACGTCCTTCTGCCTCCCTTACTCTCTGTTGAACTCCCATACCTTTTCCCTGCATGCCTGATCCTGGATGTTCCCTGGGTATCTTTGTTTTGCAGTGTTTCATGAGCACATCTTAGTTCCCCTGCCACCCTGCAAACCTTTGAGTGTAGAATTTTTGTTTCTCTTATGGCACTGAGTTTTAGTGTCAGCCCTTAGAACGGTTCTGGCTGGTTGATTAAAAACTACCTGAAATAAGGTGCTCCTCTGGAACAAGGTGGGAAGGAGACTTTCCAATGTTTACTTTGTGTGCTTTTTCAATTTGATAATTATATGTATGTATTACTTATTCACAAGAGAAATTAAGGTATAAAAATACATATGGATTCCAGGGTCTCACTCCAGCTGTTCTAAACCAGAATCTCTATAGGAGCAGGGGAGGTGGAATCTGTAAAGCTGTACTATCTGAATACCTCCCAGGTGATTTTGATGCCTGACCAGGTTTAGGAACCAATGTCTCAAAGCACATAATAGGTATTCAGTAAGCATTCGTTCAAAGGAGGGATGAACGCTTGCCTTTCTTTTTTCTTTTTCTTTTTCTTTTATTTATTTATTTTTTTTGAGATGGAGTCTCGCTCTGTTGCCCAGGCTGGAGTGCAGTGGCGCAATCTTGGCTCACTGCAATCTCTGCCTCCTGGGTTCAAGCAATTCTTCTGCCTCAGCCTCCCGAGTAGCTGGGACTACAGGCGCACGCCACTATGCCCAGCTGATTGAACGCATGTCTTTCTATAGCACTTAGCTGATGCCTTCTGCCTAGCAATTGTTCAATAAATATTTGTTAAGAGAATTAAATTTTGAATTCAGATGCCATCACCACCTCCAACACCCCATCCCACTTTCTTTCTTTTTTTTTTTTCTTTTTTCTTCTTTTGAGACGGAGTTTCGCTCTTGTTGCCCAGGCTGGAGTACAATGGCGCAATCTTGGCTCACCACAACCTCCGCCTCCCGGGTTCAAGCAGTTCTTCTCTCTCAGCCTCCCGAGTAGCTGGGATTACAGGTATGTGCCACCATGCCCGGCTAATTTTGTATTTTGAGAAGAGACGGGGTTTCACCATGTTGGTGAGGCTGGTCATGAACTCCCAACCTCAGGTGATCCACCTGCCTCGGCCTCCCAAAGTGCTGGGATTACAGGCATGAGCCACCACGCCTGGCCCACCCCATCCCACTTTATTAGCTGGGAAGTGGAGTCATCTGTTCTTCCCCAGGCTCTCACTCTGTCTGGGGTGGATAGCTACTTTTTACCTGGACCACTGTGATGGCCTATTGGTCTCCTGCCTGCAGCCTGCCTCCCTCTGAGCCTTTCAGCATACTGCAGGCTGCGTGATTTTTTTTTAAAAAAGCTCAAATTTCATTATAACTCTCAATGGTTCCCTATTCCCTGCAATATAAAATTTAACTGTAGGGAGTCCTTTAGGGCCCTTTATGATCTGGTCTGACCCTTCTTTCCCAAGCTCTCTCATTCAACAGATACATGCTGAGGCCTGCCATGTGCCTGGCCCCACATAGACGCTGTCGACTGGGCTGCACACACTACTCCTGCTACCACTCAGACTCCCTCATTAGCCCCTGAGAACAGTACCCACTTTGATCATTTTTAATTTTTTTTTTTTTTTTGCCTATAGTGTTCCTTCTGCTTACAGCATCCTTCCTATACCCCTGTTTTACTTATTTATGGAAGTAATCCAGGGCCTCTGTAAATAATTGTACTTACTCTTCTAACATTTTATACTTATCTCCAGTATATGGCCTGCCATCATGGATTCCAATGATTAGTTGACAGTTCTCTTTCTTCCCCTAGACTCTGGGCTCCTTGAGAGCAGAGACTTGCCTTCCTCCTGTTCATATCTCCAGTATAACTCTAGCACCCAAGTACTGTGTCTGACCATATTAACATATTTGCTGGATAAAGTTGTTAAAAGGTGTGTCAAGAAGGCAAATCAAGGTGCTACTTATTAACTATGATTTTTAAAGGCTTTCTGACACACAAAGGTAGATATCCCCGCTGAAAAATGTCATGCTTGGATTTTGCAAAGTTATGACAATATTTTAATGACATATATAATGATATTTATTGTATATGTTGTTCTGTTAAGTATGACTACAATATTATTCCATGTTAAGAGTTGGCCTTTTGCTAACCATCCTAGTTGAACAATCTGAGAGAAGAATCAGAACCCCACAGAAGTGGTTGGGGCTTTGTATATTATAAATCTGAGTCAGGACACCCTAGAGTGTTCATTAGCCTGATTTGAAATGCCGTATTCCGCAAATGGAAGCAGAGCCTAAAGGGAGGTTCAGGATGCTGTGAAGCAGAATGTTTTGGAAGAAGCAGTAGTTTTGAACTGGAAAGACAAAATAGATGATGTCAGCATAGACCTAAGCCACCTTTTTGAATCATATAGCATGTGTTTTGTCAGATCTGAAGCTATCTAGTCAGGCTGATAAAGAATTAAAATAACATGTGGGCTTCCAAGAAGCCAAACATGATAAAAATATATGAGTCAGGGGAGAAAGGAGATCCTACAGGGGCCCAGAGCCGAGAGACTTGAAAGAAGGCAAAAGAAACATCAGCAAAGTATGCTATTGATCTGTGACCCAGTGAAGGACAGACTCCTTCACTCCGGGGTCACCCTTTCTCCCTTCAGGGGCAAAGAGGAAGTCATAAGATTCCATTTCATTTCATTCTAGTTTTATTTGTAGAAATAATCCCCCATACTTCTAGAAAAGATTCATGGAAGATTACAGTTAAAGGCAGGGTAAACAAGAGCAGAAGAACTAATGTTAAATAAAGAAAATGAAACAATAGGCACACCAGAAACCCAGGCCAAGAATAGCTACAACAATTGATGATAAAAGTTAGTTCTGAGCTTCTTTGTCTTGAGAATTAAAACAGAAACATGGTGAATATAGTGTTCTCATTATCTGAATTGAAGAATTTGTTAGTAGAAAGGTACTTTTTTCCTATGACTGGATACAATAAAAGAATTTATCAAATGGATCCTTGTATAAAGGACACTAAATAACATAATAGTCACAGCTTATAATAGCAGCTTTACAAAAAGGTAGAGAGGTTCTTTGTGTGGCCATCTGGTCCATCCAACTAAATAAATGCCATGAGCTAAATGTTATACTTTACTGCTAGGAAAACATTGCCACTGAGAGTTAAAGAAGTATCATCAAACTGTAAGGCTTTCTGGAGACGTCTCTTAATACAGAATAGCACAGAGAGACTGGATGAATCTCTGGTTAGTATGTTCTGTAGACCAGAGGGTTTTTTTGTGTGTGTGTTTTGTTTGTTTGTTTTGCTTTACTTTTAACTGCATGTGGTGATCTATTACTGGGTAGTGAAATTAGTGAGTTGCTGTAAGCATTCTTTAAAAGAAAAGGCTGGGTGCAGTGGCTCACACCTGTAATCCCAGCACTTTGGGAGGCTGAGGCGGGCAGATCACGAGGTCAAGAGATCGAGACCATCCTGGCCAACATGGTGAAACCCCGTCTCTACTAAAAATACAAAAATTAGCTGGGCGTGGTGGCATGCACCTGTAGTCCCAGCTACTCGGGAGGCTGAGGCAGGAGAGTCGCTTGAACCCTGGAGCCGGAAGTTGCAGTGAGCTGAGATCATGCCATTGCACTCCAGCCTGGTGACAGAGCGAGACTCAATCTCAAAAAAAAAAAAAAAAAAGAAAAGAAAAAGAAAGAAAAGAAAAATACTAGAGCAGAACAGAATGCATCACACCTAGTAAGGGTGAGTGTTAATTTCATTTGTGTCTTAGGTCACTATGTACTGTGTATCTCTTACTGTGGGAAGTATGAAAGCTGCTACTTTTCACTGCCCCTCACTATAATATCAGTTAGTAAGCTTTAGCACACCAGACTCATGGAATAGGACTTATATAGAGAATATAGAAAATACAGAGAAGAATGGAGATGGGATCCTCAGACCAGAACAAGAGCCACTGTGCCTTGAAGTTGTGCTAATTCAGGAATCTATGACTAGATTCATTCTTGTCCGTTCTTGTCAAAGGACTTAGAAATGTCCTTTCCTGGTTTTACATTTTGTCTCCTTTTTAGTTGCCTTCAGTACCTGACAGTTCTTTTTGAAAACCCTAGTCTACTTTGTCTCTACTAAAGGGGAAACTAGAAAAGGAACCTGATGAGTCACCATAGGGCCAATAGCGCAGAGAGGCGGGGGTGCCCCTGGTGGTCAGACTTGGTTACACACCCTGCAACTCTAGAGATTGACCCTTATGAGCCACAAATTAGGAAGGGCTCCTTCAGTTCTTGCTTCTTCTCTGAGTGGGCAATAGCTTTGCATATAGGTACCACTTAAGGAAAATTCATTTAAAAAAATAGCCTGGGCAACATAGCGAAACCCTGTCTCTACCAACAATACAAAAATTAGCCGGGCGTGGTGGCTCTCACCTGTGGTCCCAGCTATTCAGGAAGCTGAGGTGAGAGAATCGCTTGAGCCGGGGAAGTGGAGGTTGCAGTGAGCGGAGACCACACCACTGCACTCCAGCCTGGGCAACAGAGCGAGACTTTGTCTCAAAAAAAAAAAAATCATTTTCCTGCTTCATGGTTGTGACTGGATCATCAGATTTCTCTTTGAAAATAGGCAGGAAGCTTCTGGCAGGACCATGGCATTGCCCAGCTCTAGTAGTTCAAAGCAGCAGCCTTGAATGATGATGAGACCCTTAACATTTCAGAAAAAAAAAAAAAACCTCCTCCCCTCCCAAATTTGGACATGTATATATAGCTCCAACTTTGGAGAAAAGGGGAAGGAGTTCTGGGAGGATTTCCAATGATAACAACTATTAGCAATGGTATGAGAAACAGGCTGGGGCAAGAAAAAGATTTAGCTTCTAATGTTGACTCTTGAGTCTCGGGAGCATCAACAGAATGAGATAAAAACCTGAAGTTTCATACAAAAGAACAGTTTTTCACAGAAGTGGAAAATAGTCTAGAGATAAAGAAGCCACCTGTGGAAGATTATCTGACCATTTCTCTCCTCTTGTTTCAGATGACAGTCATGTCCCTTTCCAGGGACCTCAAGGACGACTTTCACAGTGACACGGTACTCTCCATCTTAAATGAGCAGCGCATTCGGGGCATTTTATGCGATGTCACTATCATTGTGGAAGATACCAAATTTAAAGCCCATAGCAATGTTCTGGCAGCTTCAAGCCTGTATTTTAAAAATATCTTTTGGAGCCATACAATCTGTATTTCCAGCCACGTCCTGGAGCTGGACGATCTCAAAGCTGAAGTGTTTACTGAAATACTTAATTATATCTACAGTTCCACAGTCGTTGTCAAGAGACAGGAAACAGTCACTGATCTCGCAGCTGCAGGAAAAAAGCTGGGAATATCGTTCTTGGAAGACCTTACTGATCGCAACTTCTCAAATTCCCCGGGTCCCTATGTATTCTGTATTACTGAAAAGGGAGTGGTTAAAGAAGAAAAAAATGAAAAAAGGCATGAAGAACCAGCCATCACTAATGGGCCAAGGATCACAAATGCATTTTCCATCATCGAAACAGAAAATAGTAATAACATGTTTTCCCCGCTGGACTTGAGGGCAAGTTTCAAAAAGGTCTCCGACTCCATGAGAACAGCTAGCCTTTGCCTGGAGAGGACGGACGTCTGCCACGAGGCAGAGCCTGTCCGCACACTTGCCGAGCACTCATACGCTGTTTCTTCCGTAGCTGAAGCTTACAGAAGTCAGCCTGTACGTGAACATGATGGCAGTTCACCTGGTAACACAGGGAAAGAAAATTGTGAAGCCCTTGCAGCGAAACCGAAAACATGCCGGAAGCCAAAGACATTCTCCATACCACAGGATTCGGATTCAGCCACAGAAAATATACCACCCCCTCCAGTATCCAACTTAGAGGTTAATCAAGAAAGAAGTCCACAACCAGCTGCTGTTCTCACTCGTTCAAAATCTCCAAACAATGAAGGAGATGTCCATTTTTCCAGGGAAGATGAAAATCAATCTTCTGATGTTCCCGGGCCGCCAGCCGCAGAGGTTCCACCTCTGGTGTACAATTGTAGCTGCTGTTCCAAAGCCTTTGACAGCAGCACTCTGCTCAGTGCCCACATGCAGCTTCACAAGCCAACCCAGGAGCCTTTAGTGTGCAAGTATTGCAACAAACAATTCACCACCCTGAACAGGTTGGATCGGCATGAACAGATCTGCATGAGGTCAAGCCACATGCCCATTCCTGGAGGAAACCAACGCTTTTTAGAAAACTATCCTACCATTGGACAAAATGGAGGTTCATTCACAGGTCCAGAACCTTTATTATCTGAAAATAGGATTGGTGAATTTTCCAGTACCGGAAGTACTTTGCCAGACACGGACCACATGGTTAAATTTGTTAATGGGCAAATGCTCTACAGTTGCGTTGTGTGCAAACGTAGTTATGTGACCTTATCTAGCCTCCGAAGACATGCAAATGTTCACTCCTGGAGAAGAACATATCCTTGCCATTACTGCAACAAAGTATTTGCATTGGCTGAGTACAGGACAAGGCATGAAATTTGGCATACGGGAGAAAGACGATATCAGTGCATTTTCTGTCTTGAAACTTTCATGACCTACTATATACTCAAAAATCATCAGAAGTCTTTCCATGCCATCGATCATAGACTTTCCATCAGTAAAAAAACAGCAAATGGAGGCTTGAAGCCTAGTGTCTATCCGTATAAACTTTATAGGCTACTGCCTATGAAATGCAAGAGAGCCCCTTATAAGAGCTACCGAAATTCTTCCTATGAAAATGCACGAGAAAACAGTCAAATGAATGAGTCTGCACCTGGTACCTATGTTGTTCAGAATCCACACAGCTCTGAATTACCAACGCTGAATTTCCAAGATACTGTAAACACCCTGACCAACAGTCCAGCCATCCCATTGGAAACATCTGCATGTCAGGACATACCCACTTCTGCCAATGTACAAAATGCAGAGGGTACCAAATGGGGAGAGGAGGCATTGAAAATGGATCTTGACAATAACTTTTATTCAACTGAGGTGTCAGTTTCTTCCACTGAAAATGCTGTCAGTTCTGACCTCCGGGCAGGGGATGTACCTGTTTTATCTTTGAGTAATAGCAGTGAGAATGCCGCCTCTGTGATCAGCTACAGTGGCTCTGCACCCTCGGTCATTGTACACAGCAGCCAGTTTTCATCGGTGATCATGCACAGCAATGCCATTGCTGCCATGACCAGCAGCAACCACAGAGCCTTTTCAGACCCAGCTGTCAGTCAGTCCCTGAAAGATGACAGTAAGCCCGAGCCAGATAAAGTGGGTAGGTTTGCAAGCAGACCCAAAAGCATTAAGGAGAAAAAGAAAACTACATCACATACCAGGGGAGAAATACCGGAGGAGTCAAACTATGTTGCTGATCCTGGAGGATCACTGAGCAAAACCACAAATATTGCTGAAGAAACCAGCAAAATTGAAACCTACATTGCAAAACCTGCTCTGCCGGGAACCTCCACAAATAGTAATGTTGCACCCCTTTGCCAAATAACAGTGAAAATTGGAAACGAAGCCATTGTGAAAAGGCACATTCTAGGATCTAAATTGTTTTATAAAAGAGGGAGAAGACCCAAGTATCAGATGCAGGAGGAGCCTTTGCCACAGGGGAATGACCCAGAACCCAGTGGAGACAGCCCACTCGGGCTTTGCCAATCCGAGTGCATGGAGATGAGTGAAGTGTTCGATGACGCAAGTGACCAGGATTCCACTGACAAACCGTGGCGCCCTTACTACAACTACAAACCCAAAAAGAAATCCAGACAGTTGAAAAAAATGAGGAAAGTCAACTGGAGGAAGGAGCACGGAAACAGGAGCCCGAGCCATAAATGTAAATACCCAGCAGAACTGGATTGCGCCGTGGGGAAGGCTCCTCAGGATAAACCCTTTGAGGAAGAAGAAACTAAAGAGATGCCCAAGCTGCAGTGTGAACTCTGTGATGGAGACAAAGCAGTGGGGGCTGGAAACCAAGGAAGGCCCCACCGACATCTTACTTCTCGGCCATATGCCTGCGAGCTCTGCGCCAAGCAGTTCCAGAGCCCTTCCACACTCAAAATGCACATGAGATGTCACACCGGGGAGAAGCCATACCAGTGCAAGACCTGCGGACGGTGCTTTTCGGTGCAAGGAAACTTACAGAAACATGAACGCATCCACCTGGGCTTGAAGGAGTTCGTCTGTCAGTATTGCAACAAGGCATTCACCTTGAATGAGACCCTCAAAATCCATGAAAGAATCCATACTGGAGAAAAGCGTTACCACTGTCAGTTCTGCTTTCAGAGATTTTTGTATCTCTCCACCAAAAGGAATCACGAGCAGAGGCATATTCGGGAGCATAATGGGAAGGGCTATGCCTGCTTCCAGTGCCCCAAAATTTGCAAAACAGCTGCTGCCCTTGGAATGCACCAAAAGAAACACTTATTCAAAAGCCCAAGTCAGCAGGAGAAAATAGGTGACGTGTGCCACGAAAACTCAAATCCCTTGGAGAATCAACATTTCATTGGTTCAGAAGACAATGACCAAAAGGATAACATACAAACCGGTGTGGAAAATGTTGTCCTTTGAGTGGCAAGAATTAGAAAAATCTTCAAAAATATAGTTGGTGGTTTTTTTAGTTATGATTTAAGTTTAGTTTCATTTTGTCCATGTGACAGTCATGAAGGAGTGAAATTAAAAAAAAAAAAAACTCATTTGTGAAAATTCCAGAAAAAGGATCCTAATATCTACTTTGGGTTTTAGCATTAACTTTATGCAAAGTGCACAAAAACAAAATAGCTGACTCCTCCAATATCCCAAGTTTCTTGTGAAAGTTAATAAAATTCTTAGCTGTGGTATTTCTACCAGTGAAAAAAGGAGTTTAATTTTAGCCTAGTTTAAAACTTTCTAATAATTGCTAATAAGAACTGGCTGCTGAACTGTCTTTAGTCACTGGAGAAAATAAGGGTCAGATATCCTGAAGATGGCATCTTCGTAAATATGTTACGTGGTAATAAGCTGTGTGACGGTCTTTATTCCCATCTGGCTTCTGCACTATTAAAATTTGTTTAAATTAATGGATACACATGAAATACTTAAACAATATAACTGAAATTATGTGCATAATGAGTAACCTAAAGTAGGACATTCATACATTATGTAGAACTACTTTTCTGCAACACAAACCTTGTAAAATACATATATAAATCACTATAACTTTTAACTGTCCATATCCCCTGTAGAGAATTATGAGGAGCAATAGATCTGCAAATAATGAGGACTGATGTAAAAATCAATAGAAAGCATTTTGAATATGATTTAAGAGCATGTGAATGCTTTTAGATGGAATGCTGTTCCCTTGAAGTTATGGCTGAGCTGTTCTTAGAACTGGTCTACTCAATTCACAGAAAACATAGGTCATGCCTTATCTATGGGGGAACACCCTCCCAGAATTTACCTGTGATTACCTGTGCTGCATATTACTTTGCAATGGCCTCATCTCAGAGAATGAAAGAGGGTCACATTGTTCTGAAACTCTCTGCAGTCTTCCAACCACCACAAGGCCATGGATGTGGGGGTCTATTCCAGACAGACTTAAGGGCTCAAGTGGAACCTGCCATCTCCCATTCCACTGAAGGACTGTCCAAGAGATTTAGTGCAAGGTACACTGCAGTAGTGAATTCCCAGGCACTTGAAAGTGACTGCCTAATCCCTACAATTACTAGCCTTGTTGGAGATTATGCAGCCCACAAGTACAGACTAGTATAAAGCAAAAGGACAAAGGAACCCCCACCCTCCACCCCACCCATTAATGACTTGAGTGGGCAAGAAGAAGTGATGGCCTTCCTTGCCTAAAACAGTAGCTTTGTTTTTAGGGGGTGGGAAGGTAGGATGTGGAGTGACATGGTTCTATCCTTTACTTATGAGACTCAGAAATATATCTACAAAGCCAGATGCTCTGTCTTCATATTTGCAGACATCTAGACCCCTTGCTAAAAACCCACTGAAGTTTTTTTTTTATGTTCTTTGACCCACACCATCAACACTACCCTCAAATCTAATTGCCCTACAGCATATTCTATCATGTGGACTAGGTTCCTGGAAAGCCGGAACTCATGATTCTTTTTCAAACTGCCAGAATAGAAGGGAGAGAGAAAACATTTCTACCCTTTGATCACCAGTGTGAACAGAATCCGGAATGCAGTTTCAGCGTGACCTGCAGTCATTCATGTTCATTGGATTTGACAGATGGAAACCCAAGGTTATCGAAGATTGGAAGGTTATCATTGTGAAGAAGTAGCTCAAAGGACTCCGGTTTCTGTCTACAAGTGTGATGTCTCCATGAAGAAGACTTAGTATGGATTTGGGTGGGTAAGAAAGCATTTAAACGCCCAGGAAAGGACATGATTAAAGTTGACCTTTTAATACTGTAGTACCTTGCTGTTAAGTAACCCCACTATTGTATCTGCATTTATCTTTTGTTCATCTACTTTCACTTACATACAGTATTATATAAGTAGAGAAAAATGGGAAAATGCAAGCAAATTCAACTTTATTTTATACATTGTATATATGTACACCCTACACTATTCATTTGGGTTTTATTAAAGAGATAGTCACAAAGGGCTTACGAAAATCATTTTTGAATTGATAATTAGAATATTGAATAAGCAATCCTATGATCCACTAATTTGTTTTATCAGTTAATAATATTAATCAAAGACATTTACTGTATATTCTAGTCATTTTGATTTGAGTTAACCCCAAATATAAAATTACCTGTAGTGATGTCTCTCTCCCAGCCCTTATATGTGGATATTTTTTAAGTGGACTTGTATGCTGATAATTCTAGACCAAAGTAAATATGGCAGAATATTTATACATGAAAAAATAATTTTGCAAATATTTTCTATAATTGTATTCATTTAAAATGTTGATAGCTTGTGTTAGTTTCAGGGAGGGGTGTATATTTTGATAAAAAAATACTTGACTTTGTAATTCTGTATATTCTATACAATTTATAGCAGAGCCGTTTTAAGACAGCCTTGTCACATTTTTTTGTTAATTGTGAAAATTTTATTGAGTGATGTTTAAGTATGCATTGAGTACATGACCAACTAGAATTAAAGTAAGTGTAAACAGTGAACATACTGTATGCTGTACAAGATATAATGTAACTTGCTGTTTTAGCATCTGTATTTTGGTTAGAAGATATTATTAAATGCAGATGTTAAGGATTGGAAAAGTCTAATTTTATTTTTAGAAATAATGGATATAAATTTGTTTTTGCTTGATTAAAATAGCTTATTCCTACATTAAGTCTCTTTTTAAATGTTTTCATGTTATTTCTTTTGTGCAGCTATTTCATCTGTGTGAGTCACAGCTTTGTTTCCACGTATTATTCAGTTTATTTCTGTTTCCTTACTTGTTTACATTCCGTGGTACCTACTTACATGCTTAGGAGTCAAATGGATTATGACATTAGGAAAAAAGCAGAATAAAAGAGATTGAAGTCTTCTGATGATTGAGTGTTTTGGATAGGCCTGATCTTATAATGATAAATCAGAGAATGAAATGCTCTCCAGGAAGCATTCTGCTCCACTCATCCGTGGGAAACAAATTACATTTATTGAGTACCAGGCACTGGGCAATGTCTTTACATAGGCTATTTCATTAACACACACGCACCAGAATTCGACCTCATTATCCTCGTTTTATAGTGACTTTGAGAAGGTCTCACAACCAGACAAAGCCAGGATGCTAACCTAGGTCTGCCTGACTCCAAAGCCCATGTTTTTGTTCCTTCTCAACACTGTAGAGAAAAATCATTTATAGAAACTGAACAGAGTATGAGGAAAGGAGATATGATAAAGTAATGCAGCTTTAGGATGGCAGTTAGTGACTGCCCTGGAACAGGATTAAAGGAGGCTGTGTCAGGTTCAGCTTCCCCTGAATTGGGCTTCCCTTATATCTCAGGAGATTGCCCTATAAAATCAGTAAAATTTGTGCACTTTTTTAAGGATATGGAGTAAAATTGTAATAGCATTATAAGCTGGTAATTTTCACACAAAGAAAAAAATACGTTCCGTCGTCACAGACTCTACTCCTAAACTTAGCTAACTAACTATCTTGCAAATGCCTGCAGTTTGTCCCAGTGGGCAATGTGAGAGGGGATGTCGGTGGCTCAGGCAGCACAGTCCATCACCAACACAGAGAAAATTACTGCCAGGCCTACCGGTGGCTGGCCAGTAGCATCAATTTTGTATTGGAAGGGCAATCCAAACCAGATTCACCAAAAATTTGATAACTGTTATCTGCTAAAACTAACTTCATTATGTACAAGAACAACAGATTTAATATTGAAAGCATCTGTAACAATTGGGAAAGTAAAAGCATAAAACAAAAGTGTTAGTATATTTTTTTCCATTACTTCGGATACTTTCATTCTTGCTACTCATCTTTTCTCATCACCTACTGATTGATTTAGTTGCACTCCCATCTGTCTCTTATCAGTTTATTTTTACAGAAGCAACAGCTCTTCCACTTCAGTTTCCTCCAAATCTGAGAATGCATCCCCCTCGCCCTCCCCAAATCCTGACCAGCTATTGATTTCTCTTCTGGAGAGAGAAGCCTCCTTTACTCCCTCCCTAGTTTGTACATCCTAACCCAGTTCCTCAAGCAAGATGGTCAGTGAGCAAGAAAGTTGGCTGGGTGTGCAATTTAGAACTATTCACTCTAAATTTAGACAACGAATGAAGAACTAGTTAGAAATGTTATATTTTATTATTTCATTAGTAACATCTAAAACATTCTATTTAGAATGTTTTTGTGGAAAATCAAACACTTTTTTGCAATAATTTTAAAATATATGACTTGTATGTAATTATAGGTGAAAGTATTTTATTCCAGTTAGAGAAACTGGTAAACAGACATTTTAAAGATGTAATAATGTGGCCGGGCGTGGTGGCTCACAACTGTAATCCCAGCACGTTGGAGGCCGAGGCGGGAGTTCAGGAATGGGCTGGCCAACATGGTGAAACCCCGTCTCTACTAAAAATACAAAACTTTAGCTGGGCATAGTGGTGGGTGCCTATAATCCCAGCTACTGGGGAGGCTGAAGCAGGAGAATCACTTGAACCTGGGAGGCGGAGGTGTAGTGAGCTGAGATCGTGCCTCTGCACTCTGGCCTGCACAACAGAGCAAGACTCCATCTCAAAAAAAAATAATAATGCTAACTTATGTAAAATTGTAATTAATTCATTCAAAATATACTTAATTTTTACTGCTGAACTAGGACTACAGAGATGTGAGGTAGCTTGTGCCTTTGAGGAACTTAAGTCTGGTGAAGGAGATTGATGAGACAATAGATGATTATAAAACAAAACTCTGAGCTCTTAAGAGGCCTAGAACCAAAGCAGAGAGAAGTGATACTGAGCGGGGGCTGGTGGAGCTGGGCTTCACCAGAGGCGTCGGGTCCAGAGAGGAGCAACTAAAACAAAGGAGCCACCGGGGAATGTAGGTTGTTCCAAAAGTCTGGCGTTTGGGATGATGAACCTGGAGAGGCACATGGGACACATCATCAGGGCCTTGGCTTTGCCAGAGTTGGACCTCTATCCTGACAGCATAAGGCAGTGGGCAAGCAAAGAAGGGGGCTGGGTAGTAAGAGATGAACTCAGAGAGAGTTAACACAATATCCAAGCAAGATGAGAAGCCTTTGGAGGACTTCAGCAGAGAGTGGAAGGATCTGATATGATTACAAGGATCACTCTTACTGCGTGTACTGAATAGACCACAGCCCGGGGCAAGGGTGGAGGCAGGGAGATGAGATAGGAGACTGTGGCAGCACAGGCGGGAGATGACAGTGGCTTGGAAGAGGGTGGGAGTAGTGGGGATGGTAAGAAATGGGTCACATTCTGGAGATAGATTTTTAATTTTGTAATGTGGAAATTTTCAAGCCTATGCAGAAGTAGAATAGTTTGGTGAAACCCAGTGTACCCATCATTCAACAATCAACAATTCACAGCCAATGTTGTTTCATCAATACCCTCACCTACTTTCCTTCTCCACTGTATTATTTTGAAGCAGATCATAGACATCATACCATTTCATCTGTAAATATGTCAGTATACATCTCTAAAAAGGTAAACAACATTTTTAATATAACCATATCATTACCATTCCTTAAAAATTAACATTTCCTTAATATCAAGTTCCATTCGTTAAAATTTCTGGTTGTCTCATCATTATATATATATTTTTTACAATTGGAATCAGAATCCAACTAAAGTCCCATACTACAATTAGTTGATATACCTGTCTTATAATCTATAGATTTTCTATTTTTTCCCTTCGCAATTTCATTCCGAAGAAATTCGGTGTTCACAGTCTAGGAAGAAACAAGGCAACTTCTTAGGTTGGGTTATGTTCTTCCATTAGGAGGTACACTCTGTGTGGCTTAGATATTGGATGTATTTTGAAGACAGATCTGATAGATTTGCTAATGGTGTAGATACCAGGGGTTGAAAAAGAGAGGGATCAAAAATGACACCAAGGTTTGGGCCTGAACAATTAGAAGGATGGTGTTGCCAACAAACTAGATACCTGGGTTGGAAGTTCAGAAGAGGAGACTGACTTGAGGTAAGGATTTGAAAGTTGTATTTTATTCATTCAAAATATATTTGAGGTGGGAGTACAGCACAAGAATGGCCAAAACAAATAGTCCCTGGAGCCTGTGACATAGTGGGGAACACAAAAGGCTAAAAAGCTGATTATTTACAACCATACTAAATGCTATGCAGAAGGGCTGCATGGTGCTCTGAGGACATCTAATGGAGGAATGTAACCTAGTTGGGAGGTTCAAGGGAGGCTGTCTTTGAGGAAGTAACTTTTTGTTTTCAGACCTAGACCTGAGGAAGTAACTTTTGAGCTGAGGTCTGAAAGATAAATAAGAGTTGAAAGGAGAGAGAGTTTCTAGGTTGAGGGACTAACAGATATCAAGGGCAGCCTGTGGAGGGAACACAGTTCTTTGGAGGCCAGTGGTGGCCAGAGTACAGAGAAATTGATTTAAAATCAGACTAGAGGACAGGAGCCATACCATGCAGAACCTTCAAGGTCATGCCAAGAATTTGGATCTTATTCTTAAGATCCAGAAGATCTTAAGAGCATCAGAAAGCCATTGAATTAT
This sequence comes from Homo sapiens, assembly GCF_000001405.40. Lineage (NCBI taxonomy): Eukaryota > Metazoa > Chordata > Mammalia > Primates > Hominidae > Homo > Homo sapiens. The sequence goes on from NC_000003.12 coordinate 141,452,572, forward strand.
TTAAAGCAGGTTGGGACAAGAAGAGGTATATTTAATCAGTTTTGTATTACAAAAAAGTCACTGTGGCTGAAATGTAGACAATGGCTTGGAAGACAGTAGCGGCCAGAAGTAGAGCAGTTAGGAAGCTACTGCAGTTGTGCAGGCTAGAGATTATAGTGGCTTGGATTTGTTAACTGGAAAAACCTTAAACAAGTTAAATGTAACAGAGTTTAATTGAGCAAAGAACCATTTGTGAATTGGGGACCCCTAAGAACCAGAATAGGTTTTAAGAACTCCAGCCTACAACGTAGTCAGGCAGCATTTATAAGAAGAAAATGGAAGAAGTAAGGTACAGAGGCAGCTTCATGGGCTACAGCTCACTGTTTTGCCTTATGTCAATCAGTCAGCTGTCTGAGATTGACTGAAGCTCAGCTGCTGAACTGAGACTCAGCTGTTAGTTTAGGCATTTAGTTAGTTTATGCAACTAAGTAAGGTTGCAGTTCATTTTGGACTTGAGTATGAAGGCATCCTTAGGCCAAATTTAGTTTAGTTTAACTGATGATGTGATTGCAGTGAAGATAGAGAGAAAGGGGAGGATTTGGGAGATACTTAAGGGAGAGAATCAGCAGGACGTGATGTTTGATGATATATGGGAAGTGAGGGCTAGGGATGGATCAAGGATAGTCTTTGGGTTTTAGAATTGTTGAAGCTAGGAGTGCAAGGTGTCCCGTCCATGAAGCTTGTATAGAGAAGGAAGAATCCAGAAAACACCAACACAAATGACCCCTGACTTCTGAGGTTTCCACTTACAACTTTTTGACTTCATGATTATGCAAAAGCAATACACATTCTGTAGAAACCATATTTTGAGTACCCATACAAGCATTCCATTTTTTACTCAGTACAGTATTCAATAAATTTCATGAGCTATTCTACACTTTATCATAAAATAAGCATTGCATTGGATGAGTTTGCCCAACTGCAGGCTAAAGTAAGCATTTGACCCACATTTAAGGTAGACTAGGCTAAGCTATTTGGTAGATTTTTTTTTTTTTTTTTTTTTTGAGATGGAATCTCGCTCTGTTGCCCAGGCTGGAGTGCAATGGTGCGATCTTGGCTCACTGCAACCTCCGCCTCCCGGGTTCAAGTGATTCTCCTGCCTCAGCCTCCGGAGTAGCTGGGATTACAGGCACGTGCTACCATGCCCGGGGAATTTTTGTATTTTTAGTAGAGATGGGTTTCACCATGTTGGCCAGGCTGGTCACAAACCCCTGACCAGGGGGTTAAGGGGCTTGCCCAGGCCAGACAGGACCAACTCTGAGCCTTTTGGTCTCCAAGACACTGTTTTCATCCCCACCTACTTATTCCACATTGACTAAGGTATTTTTTGGAAGAACCTAGAGCTAAAACAATAAAAAATACTGTCCTTTCCTGAAAATGAGTGTTTATTGGCCTGAGACTCTAATACTTTCAGAGACCTAGGTCATTCCTTTTTTTATTCGACATATTCTGTATGGCAACTAGTACTGCCAGGCGCTATTCTAAGCATCTAATGAAGATTAACTCATTTAGTCCTCATATCACCCCATGAGGGAAACACTATTATCATTGCCAACAATGTTTAGTTTGGTTATCTTTTTGCTGCACGGTGTCACAAAACAGTGGCTTAAAACAACCATTTATTATTATTTCACATGGTTCTGTGGTTTGACTGGGATCAGCTGGGCAGAGCCTCTCACGCAGTTGCAGTTAGATGGTGATGAGGCTGGAGTCATCTAAAGGCATGACCAGGCTGGCATTAAAGCAGCCACAGCCCACCCAGTTTCAAGGGGTTGAAGGTGTAGACTCCAGTCCTCAGTGGGGGAGTCACAGACACTTACAGGGAGGGAAGGAATTGATGGCAGCCATCTTCAGAGGTAAGCTACAACGACGGGTCATTCCCAATGAGAAAACCAAGCACAGAGAAGTTAAATTACTTACCAAAGGCCATACAGCTGGTATGTGAATAAACAGAGTTCATCCCAGGCAGTTGTGTTCCAGAGCCTGCTAGGAGAGGCAAAAGGGATTGGAGCTCAATAGCGCAGCACGGACTCTCACAGCAGAGTCAGAGTGTGAAGAGCACAGCATTATTCATAGCAGAACTGGAGAGTCCTAGAGTCATCCATCAGGGATCGGTGAAAAGGAAGAAATTCTAAAAATACTAGGAAATGTCAAGGACTGCCTAAACAAGGCTGTTATTATGTTGGGGGGTGAAAATATGGTCTCATGTGGCCCAAGGCAAGTGGAAGCCTTCATGCTTTCATTTATCTTTTCAATCAAGAAAAAATGAAAATATGAGTGTTGGGGGGCAGGAGTGGGTGGGGTATGTGTGTGGTATTTTTCCTTATAAATAATTAACATCTGGAACCTTTAGTCAGATACTCAAAGGGGTCATATACGGGAGAAACTAAGGCTTGGACCAGGGAGTTAAAATTTGCAGTGCAGACCAGCTTCAGAAGGTATCTTCAAGCTCCTCTGCTAAACGTCTGGGTCATCGATGACCTTATGCACATTTGCTCCCTCTAATGGAAGGACAAGGAAATGACATGTCTACTTCAGAAAGGTTAGTCACATCACAGGAGTAGTGGGTATTGCCAGAAATAAGCCGACTCACCTCTGGAGTGGTTGGTTTCTCTCTGGAACTCTAGCGACCTGAGACAGTTGGGTAGCTTAGGCCATTTTCGATGTCTAGCTTCTCAGAACTTCTGGGTCAGAAAGGGAGGTTCCACACATTGATTTGGACGTGCTCGACATCTGCGTGAGTGTGGTGAGTGGAAGAGCATCAGGCCATGTCCCAGGTCTTTCCAAATCAGACTCCATTATTTCTGACATTCCTCTTCCTAAAGACCAGAGGTAGGAATTCAGGGCCGCCATTTTCGTCGTCTCTTATCACGATGGGAATCAGCGTTCTCTGCTGCTGCTCCTGCTGAACACGACGACATTCCAGCCACCGGGAACTGCTCGGGACTCAGTATCATTCTCAGACCTAGGCAGGAGCGTTCCGTGCTTGCCCTCCTCCACAGGTGCCCCGCCGCACGGGGCAAAGAGTCTGCAGGGCCAACAGGGATGTGCCCCCGCAATGTCCACGCCATCCCCAGAGACCGCATTCTGGTACCCAGAACCTGAGAATTCCCTGCAGACTTTCAAGGCCTGTTCTGGCCGCTTCCTTGCCAGTGCCACACCCCTGGGGCAGCCAAAGGGCAGCTGTTTGCAGGGGTTGTGGACCGAGTTTGTGATGGAGTTTCAGCGTCCACATGTGTGCCTGAGGCCCCTAGCAGCCTGGGAGGGAGCAGGGTGAGGGGAGGAGGGGATGGGAGAAGATCTGGCCCACCTCTTCCCCTGCTGTCTCGTTCCTGCAGGAAATGCCAGAAACTAGGAATTCCACATTCCAACACGGTCTTCCAGATTGCTGTGAAAGTATATTTGTCAAGGGAGGAGAACAGAATATATTTAATTAAGAACTTGCTAGCCTGGTTTATACCTTTTAAATATTTAGACACATGATATATACGCCTCCATCTGTACACTTGCTCCCCGCCTTGCGAGTGTTGAGGGGGCGGCTGTCATCACTCTCCAAAATGCCTGGCTTCTCATCACGCTGTCTGTGTATACAAGCTCCTGACCATGCTGAAACGTTCATGCCCATCCCTACCCCAGCCCCATCCACAGACGTGATCATTTCTCAATACCTAATTCAAAGGCCCCATCAAAAGCCTCTTCCTTGCAGTGTTGTGTGAGACAGCCCCTCACGCCTCTGCTTGCCTTGACCTCCAGCCCCACCACAGCTCTCTGGATTCAGCCGTTTTCAATTCTGCCTCTGCCGTCAGCCAGCGAGCTCCTCCCGGATGTTCCCAGCATCAGCATGCTGCGGTCAAATGCAAGTCATCTATGAAGTGTGCCGATTCGCCACTCCAGATGACCAACTGCCTTGGTGTGCCTCGCACTGAAGACTCTCCCAAGTTGCAAAACATTCAGTGCTAAAACTGAGACAGTCCCAGGCAAATGAGGACGATGGGTCACCCTAACGGGGAAGAGCCTCTTCAGAAAGGAAAGGAGCATCAGCAGGCATGGTAGAAGTAGAACTCACTGGCCAATTTCAGTTTCAAACAACTAATAGGACGTTCTTTCCTGAGCAGTGAGGAAACACCTAGGCCACACAGAAATCTGGCCAGGCTGCACAAGTCTGGCATGAGAAAATGGAGGGAAGAACCTTGGGACCCAATCTCCAGAGCCCTACTAAAATCCTTCAGTGATTTCACAGTCACTCCTACTTCTCTCATTTCTCTGAAAAACCTCCTGGGAAACCAAGCTCACCATACTGCTTCCAGCTGCCCACACAAGGCATTTGCCTCTCAGAATTTTTGATAGCGTCCACCCTAAAAATCAGTGAGTACAAGTCTTCCACTACATCCTGCCCAGTGTGGAGGAAAGCTACAGGTTTTCCTGCTGAGTCCTTTTCTATGTTTATGGGTGAAAGCACCTGAATTTCCTTTAGGAAAACCCCCTAACCCTCTTATTCATCAGCCACACCTTCAGACCATATCTGAAATCAGGATCAGGTGACTGGTGGCCACCTGATGGGATTGGGAAGGAAGCATATAAGCCGGTTTCTAGCACGTGTTTTTTTAAATCTCAACACAAGAATGAGGAAACTGAGTCAAGACCTTCTCCATTGCCAGAGATAGAAACCCAGTTGTTCATGATATGGGGAGGATATAGCTGGCTTTAAGCAAAACTGAATTCAAGGGCTCTAGCAAAATGATATCTCTCTCAACCCCTCACTCTCTGTCCCTTTTCTCTCTTACTTTCCTCTGCATTAGCTTCAGTCTCAGACTGGTTCTCCCCAGTTGATAGACAAAGATATCCATGCTGAGTGAAATCAAGTTCTCCAAAACAAGTGAAAACACACTCTTCAAAAAAAAAAATAAAAAGTCTTCAAAGGGAGCAGAGATATTTCTAATGATAACCTCTCAAGAGCAGAGTCTGAATCCACATCCAGGACATCTAACATCAGAGTTGACACTCAGAATCTCTACTAATATAGGGTACGCACCTCCTTTCAGGACACATTAAAGAAAAATTTATCAAAATGACCACAAAACACTCTGCATCGAGCTAAGACTAACTGAGCCAGGCACATACTTTCATCTTTATTCAGAAGAACCTGGAAAGAAGGTCTTGTTTTCACCATTTAATCAATGCAGCAAGTGAAGGCCCAAGTCCAAGGACTCTGCTGCTCTGAGTGATGACAATCCACACAGGAATGACAGCCCCAGTTTACTGACTGGCAGTTCCTCAACCTCAGATATCAACTTACTGGTGCTCAGACTACACTCTCCACATTTCCCTTCTGCCCTCACTTTGTGTGGTTCCAGGAACACCAGCCTTCACTTCTTCCTGCTTTTACCTGGCCACTCAATGGTTTTTATGCATGAAAGCAAACATGTTAGAATAGGTGACCCAACCAGTGTGGACATGTATGAAGATCTGCCTACCTCAAGTTCCAGGAACTCGTATGATTAAGAGAAATGACTACTCTGTAATTGTAGTATAAAGAGAGATAATACATTTTTGTGTACTTGTGTATTATGTATGTATTTTAAAAGCTAATACATGTACACAGAAAAAATAATTTTCAAATACTGCAAAAGGGTACACAGAGAAAAATGGTCTCCCTCCCTCTCTGCCCCCAGGTTTCTCCCTAAAAGTATACACTGTTACCAGATCTTGGGTGTCCTTCCATAGATATCCCATGCATATCTAAGCATATATATATTTTATATATATATAATATATATATGTGTGTGTGCATTTAAACTTACAAATTTTTTCCTTTCTTTTTCTTGTTGTATATAAATGAGAGCACACTACACATGCCACTCACTACCTTATTTCATTTGTTTAACAATAGATAATGGAAAACTTTCTATGCTGGGACATATGGATCTCTTTTATTCTTTTAGTGACTGCATAGTATTCCATTGTATGAATTTGTTTAGGCTCCCTCAAATCATGGGACATTGTATGAATGTTTAACCCATTGTCTAATAATTGGCTAGCATTTGTTTCTAATCTTTTGCTTTTGTGTTTACATTTTAGACATATTTTTATAATACAGATATAAACAAAGAGAAAAAAAGTTTTCTGCTTAACTCTTATTTAACCAGAAAATATGATGAACAGAGGCCATACAATATTCTGAGGGTTCTTGGTAGTTGGAATGAAGGTAATTCCAATTCTGAGCTCTCAAGTAAAACTTTTTGGAATTCTTCTGCTGTGTATTAAATGCAAACTAAACAGAAGTTCGTGTCTTAGGGATCTTTAGTTGCTTAAGCAAAATGTGATGTTGGAAGGAAAAAAGAAACTAAGGGAGGACAGGGAAAAGCTGGAAACAGGAAGCAGAAAACTTCCCTCTCTCCACCTCTTGTCATCTCTGTGTCCCCCGTGTCACCTTTCTTCATTTCTGTCTGTGCTAATCATCAGCCTTCTCTGCCTCTCCCTGCCTGTGGATGGAAGATACTAGCCAGCCCTATAGGACCTCACAGGCAAAGGAATCCACGGCCCTCCTTCCCCACCCCCACTAAAGAGACTGGTTCTCCCATGATCTGATGAGCTCTGGTGAAAGGGACAGAGCCCTATAGTAGAAGATAGCTGCAGGGGCCCCACCCCAAGGACAAACACGGTGATCAGAGAAGGTTGGGTGGGCTGGGAATGGCCATCAAGTGCCACCACGTGGTTCCACGGGGACGAGAGCTTTGTGGACAAGGGCTGCTTAGTCAGTAACTCTGCATGAGGGACCCTCAAAGCCATCACGATGGCTTCAACTTGGCTGTCTAGCTTTCTAGCCTGGAGTATTCCATTATAGATATGTCAGGATAGGTAAGAAAAAGTTCTGCCAAGGCCTTGTCCAACAACAGCATTTCACACTTATTTGTGGGTAAGATGTGGTGTGCTGAATTGAGGAGTAGGATTCATGTATTTGTAAAGGATGCTTCAGCTCCTGTCCTCTACACACACACAAAAGTTTTGAGAGTGTTTTCACATCACCTTGTCAGATTGTAAATATGTTATTCTCAAGAAATGTCATGGATTTGTTTGGGTGACACTTGTTGTTGTTTTTGTTTTCAGACAAGGTCTTACTCTGTCGCCCAGGCTGGAGTGCAGTGGCGCGATCTCAGCTCACTGCAGCCTTGAACGCCCAGGCTCAAGCTATCCTCCCACCCCAGCCTCCTGAGTAGGTGCGATTACAGGTGCGTGCCACCAAACCCAGCTAATTTTTTTAATGTTTTGTAGAGATGGTGTCTCACCATGTTACCCAGGCTGGTCTTGAACTCCTGGGCTCAAGCAGTCCACCTGCCTTGGCCTCCTAAAGTGTTAGGATTACAGGTGTGAGCCACTGCGCCCAGCAACCCTTGTTTTGTTCTTTTTGAGAACATATTTTTAAAGAAATATGTTTAGATCTGAAAATGAGTAACGTAAAGAAGCCATATGTGTTTGAGAGAAAGTTCACTGAAGCAAGGGTAAGAATCTGTCTCAACTCCTGACTGTGTAACCCCAGCCTTTAGTGACAGTTTTAGCAGGAAAGCCCAGTCGGCCCTCTCCGTGAGCATCAGTCTTGGGGCATCTCTCTGAAGAACACTACTGAACCACACAGACTCCGAGGGAACTCCTACTCTCTGTGCACACTGGAGAGGAAAATCCTGCCAGCAGAGGTCACTGCCGTACCAGCTGGGAGTCAGCAGCGGGACAGCATCATCCCAATAAGGCTGTGCCCGCCTCTCCCCTGCCCTCTTCTTAACCTGATGGCTGCTTAGCTCATTGAAGGAGATAAATGGCAGTGTTGCACTAACCAAGTGTGCGTGGGCCATCAGCAGTTTTTTTTTTCTCAGTAGTAGGCTTTGATATCCCAAACCTAAGGGTGTTTAACATTAATACTCAGAATAAGACACACAGAGAACAGCGGGTTCTGCTTTCACCTTGGATTGTATTTTTCCGTGTTTAGCCCAATCATAAACTTAATCCACCTGCTTCTTGCCTGGATGACTGAGAGGAGACTCCCACCCCAGGACACAAGCCCGTGTGCATACACATGCACATACACACACCCCACACACACAACGTGGCCTGAGGTAACATACATAGATCCTCGTAGAGGAGGAAATGATACCATGATATGGAACCTCAAACATTTATCATTTCTTGATGTTGGGAACATTTCAAATCTTCTAGCTATTTTAAAATATACAATGAATTATTGTTAACGATAGTCACCCTACTGTGCTATTGAACACTAGAACTTACTCCTTCTAACTGTATCTTTGTACCCATTATTCAACCTCTCTGATCACCCCTGCTTCCCAGCTGCTGGTAATCATCATTCTACTCTCTACTCCCATGATATCCACCTTTCAAGCTCCCAAAAACAAGAGGCATCTATGAGCTACCTGTGGGCCAACAGCTAGCCACAGACAGTACCTATGTATAATGGACTGACTTGCCAGCCCTCTCAAATGGCCACCATCAGAGCAAAGACATGTCACCAGGGCTCATCCACCAATTAAAGGTGAAGGGGAAGAAACTGTAAAATGTGGCAGGAAGCAGTTGGGCACCTACAGACCATTGAATTGCCACATGATGGCATCTACTTCACATACTGGCCAGGGCCAAGAGGCCAGGTGAAAATAACAACTACAGGAGCCATTAGGATGTATGGCCTGTCCCCCACCCAAGCACCAGGTAATTGAGCAGCCAGGTCATTGAACCTTACAGCCTTTGGGCAATGGATGTGTGATATGCTTGTTCCCGTGCAAACATCTAGGCCATTCTGAATCTTTGTGACCATTCCTGACCCAGAGTGGGACCTAGCAATCGCAAGGCACAAATCTGAAATCTAAGATTAACACAGAGATAATAACTGTCCTATTACATGTTGTCTGCAAAAAACGACACATACTTAAAAGCATCTTATTGGAAATGAAGAGATTCTAGCAGAAGAGGAATGATAAATAGAAATTAATTGGACCATTCCCACTGTTGTGAATTTAAAATGTGTAAAATATTACAAATATTCCCTTTATTCAAAGAAGTGCCTTTCTTCCTTTTAGTGATGGTAAAAGATATTTAGGACATTTTTTTCTTTTGCTACTTTTTGGGTTTTATTGTTAAAGTGAGACATGCCCACAGTACAGCATGCAAATCTTGCATGCAGCTTAATGAATTTTAACATATGTAAAACGAGTGACAGGCTCTATGGATCTGTGTCCTCATTTGTCAAGTGAATGTTACTGAGACAGCATTTCTTAAGTCTCCTCTTAGAAACTTTCTTCTAAGCCAGCAAAATTCATTCTGCATGTTTTGATGCAATAGCTCCTATATCACTATTGCAGTATGTCTTTTGCCCCACACCTAATGCAGTGGCCCTGGCATAATTGGCACTGCATAAATCTTTGTTAGGCTGAGTTATCCAGAACTGTCTCTGATGCTACCTCCAAAAGAGCCTAGCTTTGGGAGGAGAAGGATGTGAACCAAAGAGCCCACAGTCCATGGTCCACAGCAATGCCAGTCATCACAGTGCACACAGAGATCCCATCACCCCCACTGGTAAATGCTCACATGGAGGGGGCTTAATAGATATGGATGGATGGATGGATGGATGGATGGATGGATGGATGGATGGATGGATTTCTGTTCCAAATTCTTCAGGGAGAGAAAAAGAACTAAACAAAAAAGGAAGCGGGTTCTGAGGTTAAAGGACTGTGGTCTTGACAGAAAAGGGGATTCCCTGGCCATCCAGCCTGATGCTGATTGTTCAAATCAATTTCCAGTTCCTCTGTAGTGTAATGACACAATGAAAAGAAATCAGAAATCCTCCGGAGTTCAGCATCTTGCCTGAAGCCATAACTATACCAGAGTGTTGATATCAACTATTTGCTGAAGGTTTTGTTTTGTGGCTGATTATGTTAGGTCAGCTGGGAAGAAGTATCTGTATCAGTTAGGAAGCTTCAGTCTGCAATCCACAGAAAAACCACCTTAACAAGGTGTCCCAAAGGAAGCAATTCCAAAGCCCAGCTGTGTCAACAAAGACTCAGGCCTTTATTCACACCTGTCAACTCTGTTTGTAATATCTACCCTCATGGCCAGAAGAAGGCCAAAGCCAGTCAAAGCATCCAACCCTTAAACGAGTCCAAAAGCAAGAAGAAAGTGCAGCATGACAGGACCCTCTCCCTTCCTTATAGACCCTCAGCACTTCACAGTAGGCCAATCCCTAGCAAAGAGGAAAGGGATGGCTCCTATGAGGGTTCTCCATTGACAGTGGTGGCATGGTTACTGAATAGCTGTACAGAATCGAGGCTCCATGAGCATGGACAGAGAAGACATGAGTTATGGGTAAACAACAAACATGTTCAACAAACATGGCCGCAGTCGCAGTCCTTGGCAATTATCCAGGCCAATCAAAACCCAACTAAATAAATTACCTTTTAACTTTAAATAACCAATTGCCATAGTAAAATTGGATCATAGGCCTTGACCAGGCAACCAAGGGCTCTGTGTAAAAAACTGGCTTCTGGGGTCAGGCATGGCGGCTCACACCTGTAATCCCAGCACTTTGGGAGGCCAAGATGGGCGGATCACCTGAGGTTGGGAGTCCGAGACCAGCCTGGCTAACATGGTGAAACCCCATCTCTACTAAAAATACAAAATTAGCCGGGTGTGGTGGTGGGCGCCTGTAATCCCAGCTACTTGGGAGGCTGAGGCAGGAAAATCACTGGAACCCAGGAGGCGGAGGTTGCAATGAGCTGGGATCACGCCACTTCACTCCAGCCTGAGCAACAGATAAGACTCCGTCTCCAAAATAATTAACTAACTAACTAAATAAATAAATAACTGGTTTCTGAAGGCCCTCAGTGACAATGTGGGCCTTCTTGCTCTGTTTACCACAGATTCGCTGCAGCAAATGCAGACACTTGGTAAGTGTGCTTGGCCTCTTCCTGGCTAAAGGGCATGGCTTCAGGAGAAAGCAGTTCATTGTGTGGCCTTGCAGAACAGTCATCGTTTGTTCCTTCTCAATGAAACTCTGCAGTCTGGGAACAGAATCGACTAACTTTCAACTTCCCTTGCTAGCTCCACCTCGAGAGCACACCCACGTGAGCCTGGATAAATTGCACTGTGAGGAGGAGCGCGGGGGTGGGCAATGACCCTGGAAGGACCAGAGGTGAGGGGAAAGGGTGATTTCCCAGGAAGTACCAAAAATGTCACCTAAGAGGTTCGTATACTAACAATTGGTCTTTTATTTCCATCCTTTCTCTGTAGTTATAGAGGCAAGACCAAGGCTATCCCTGAATGCCAGGACAGAGAGAGAGAGAGAGAGAGAGAGAGAGATCAGGGTCTGAGTCGAAGTGTGGTGAAGTGGGCAGGGCCAGAGTGAGTTATACCTGTAGTGATTAACCCACCCCCAGGGCTTGCTCTGGTTCCACAGGGTGCCAGTCTTTCCCCTCCCTCTCATGGTTGGGAGGAGGTCATGGGACCAACTTGGTAAAAAACAGGTGTGTTTGGGGTCATCATTGCTGTCACATGCTCTCCCAGCCTCTTTTCCACCTTCTTCTTTGTTCTGCTTCTACTTCCATCCTTTTGCCGTGACTCTGCATTGGCTGCAGTAGAAGGAGCCATTTCCCCTAAGACCCCTAAGACCAGGGTATGTGTACCACAAGAGGTGCCTGAGATCATTTCAGTGGCACATTTTATAGTTTAATAGATATGCACTTATTTTACTTCTCTTTACCAAAAAACCGCAAGTTGTGTGGTAGCCATATATACTAGTGTGTTCTCATGCTGCTATAAAGAACTGCCCAAGATTGGGTAATTTATAAAGGAAAGAGTTTGAATTGACTCACAGTTCCACAGGGCTGGGAAGGCCTTAGAAAACTTACAATCATGGCGAAAGGGGAAGCAAACATGTCCTTCTTCACATGGCAGCAGGAAGGAGAAGTGCAGAGCAAAGCAGAGGAACAGCCCCTTATAAAACCATCAGATCTCATGAGAACTTACTATCATGAGAACAGCATGGGGGTAACCGCCCCCATGATTCAATGACCTCCCATCAGGTCCCTCCCACAACATGTGAGGATTATGGGAACTACAATTCAAGATGAGATTTGGGTGGGGACACAGAGCCAAACCATATCACCATAAGAATTCCATTGATTCTTGAGCTCTTCCTCCAGGAAGAGAATGCTGAACTCCCCATAGAGGCTGAGGAAAACAAGACCCAAATGAAAGGGACTTGCCTGGCATCATGGAGCATAAAAACAGTGATTTCAGGATTAAAAACCATGTCTGGGGTTCCAGTGCTTTTCTCTCCACACCACTCTTCTGTTAAATACATCTGTTTCATCTGGTGCACTTTCTATTTTTATATTAACAAAATTTTTCTTGTAAATTAATGGAAATGGCTGCTTTCTAGAGGACAATATAGAGAACTGGTAATTTCTGGATCTAACCTGATTTGTAATGCCGCTTGCACCTACAGCTTTTAACAACTCTCTGAATATCTTTCTATTTCCTCATCCAGGAAATTACAGGACATTTCTGACATTTCAATGAGTTTTTAGTTAGGGACTTTAAAGGTAATAAGTATCTATTGCCTGGTTTCAAAGGAAGCATAACTGAAATTAAAGTCTAGTACACCAAATAAAAAGCTACATCATAGACAAGATAGCACAGCTTACATTTCTTTGTCAATCTGTTTTGTAAATGTCTGCATTTCTCATTGCAGACTCAATGTAACTGAGACATCTAGTGTTCAGTCCTAAGAAAAACAAATTTCCATGAATCTGGGTTTAAGGAATTCACAAAATCCCTTTTATGTTCCCTCTGAGTAAAACTGAATTATTCTCCCCATCCCCGATCCTGGGAAACCTCTTTATGGCTCTTCCTGGGCTTAGCTCTTTCCCAGGTGAAAATTTTTTTCATATCACAGACGCTTATGAAATGTTTCCCACATTTAGTGTTCTTGTTATTATAACTGTGTTGTGAGTCACATGGATAAAACCCATCCCCTCAGTCCAACCTCACCCTCCTCTAACTTTTAAAGCAATTGTCTCAGATAGAAAATGCCTTTCCTCGGCTGGGCGCGGTGGCTCATGCCTGTAATCCCAGCACTTTGGGAGGCTGAGGCAGGTGGATCACGAGGTCAGGAGATCGAGACCATCCTGACTAACACGGTGAAACCCCGTCTCTACTAAAAGCACAAAACTATTAGCCGGGCGTGGTGGTGGGCGCCTGTAGTCCCAGCTACTCAGGAGGCTGAGGCAGGAGAATGGCGTGAACCTGGGAGGCAGAGCTTGCAGTGAGCCGAGATCGCGCCACTGCACTCCAGCCTGGGCGACACAGTGAGACTCCGTCTCAAAAAAAAAAAAAAAAAAAAAAGAAAAAGAAAATGCCTTTCCTCTTCAATGGGGCTGCATGTAGGTCACACCTTGTTTTCTGGATTTCTAGTAATTAAGAATGTACACATAAACCCAAAATATTTAAATTATTTCATATGAATGTAAATAACATTAATTTCTATCACATAATGAATAATATTTGCATATCAGGATAACTTATAAAGGTGAATTGTATATTAAATATGGCAGCAAAAGCACAAGCAACAAAAAATAGGTGAACTGGACATCACCGAAATTTAGAACTTTATGCTTCAAAGGGCACTATCAAGAAAATGAAGACAACCCACAGAATGGTAGAAAACATTTGAAAATCGTGTATCTGATAAAAGACATATTTAAAATATGTAAAGTACTATTACAACTCAAAAAGACAACCCAATCTATAAATGGGCAAGGAATCTAAATAGACATTTTTGTCCAAATTTTCAATTTGGGGTGATGAGTACAGTAGAAACCCACCCACCATTATACAATATACTCATGTAGCAAACATGCACATTTGTATATTTTTTCAGATATACAAATGGCTAATAAACACATGATGCTCAACATAATAAGCACAAGATGTCAAACATCATTAGCCATTAGGGAACTGCAAATCAAAACCACAATGAAATACTACCTCACACCAACTATAGTGGCTGTAATACAAAAAAAAAGATAAAAACAAGTATGAGGGAAAATGTAGAGAAATTGGAACCCCCATGCATTGCTGGTGGAAATGTAAAATGGTGCAGCTGCCTTAGAAACAGTTTGGCAGTTCCTCGAAAGATTAAACAGAGTTACCACATGACCCAGCAATTTCACTCCTGGCTGAAGTGAAATTCACTGAAAACAAATGAAAGCCTATGTCTATACACACACTTGAAGACAAGCATCCTTCATAATAACCAAAAAGTGTAAACAACCCAAATATCCATCAACTGATGAAAAGGTAGATAAAATGTGGCGTATCCTCACAATGAAATATCATTTGGCCATAAGAAAAGGCTAATCTGCAGAGACAGAAAGTTGATTATCAGTTGCTTAGGGATAGGGTGGGGACGGAATGGGAGGGAGAATGAGTTGGAGGGAAATGGAAAGTGATTCCTAATGGGCATGGAGTTTCTTTTGGGGGGGTGAGGAAAATATTATAAAATTGATTGTGATGAACGTACTAAAAAACAGTTAAGGTCAGGTGTGGTGGCTCACACCTGTAATTCCAGCACTTTAGGAGGCCGAGGTGGGTGGATCACCTGAGGTCAGGAGTTCGAGACCAGCTGGCCAACATGATGAAACCCCGTCTTGACTAAAAATACAAAAAATTAGCTGGGCTTGGTGGCAGGCGCCTGTAATCCCAGCTACTTGGGAGGCTGAGACAGGAGAATCACTTGAACTTGGGAGGTGGAGGTTGCAGTGAGCTGAGGTTGCGCCACTGCACTCCAGCTTGGGCAACAAGAGTGAAACTCCGTCTCAAAAAAAAAATGTTTTTAAAAAAATAAATTAAAAATATTTAATTATATTTTAAAGTATAATGGGTGAATTTTATGGTAGGTAAATTATACCTCAACAAAGCTTTTATTTAAAAGTAGGTTATAAGTAGTAACTTTTTTCCATTAAAAGTTCCATTTACATTTACATAAAAGAGTTAATTTCTTACTTAGTGGTTAGAAGTTCATGATGTTTTCTTTTTTAATTAATTTTTAAAATGTTTGATTCATAGGGTACATGTGCATGTTTGTAACATGGGCATATTGCATAATGGTGGGGTTTGGGCCTCTAGTGTACTAGTCACCCTAAATTGAACATTGTCTCCAATAGGTAACCTTTCAACAATCACCCCCTTCCTCCCTTCCCCTTTTTGGAGTCCCCAGTGTCTGTTATTTCCATCTTTATGTCCATGTGTATCCATTGCTTAGCTCCCACTTATAAGTGAGAACAGGCAATATTTGATTTTCTGCTTCACTTAGGATAATGGCCTCCAGCTCCATTCATGTTGCTGTATGAAAGGAAATTATTTCTTTTTTTTATGGCTGCATATCACACTTTCTGTATCCAATCAACCACTGATGGATACTGCGTTAGTTCCTTGACTTTGCTATGATAAATAATAGTGCTGCAATAAACACACAAGTGTGGGTGGCTTTTTTTTTTGTATTATTTCTTATGTTTGGGGTAGATTCCCTTAGTGTGATTGCTCTATTTTTAGTTCCTTGAGATTTTTCCATAAAGGTTGAACCAATCTACATTCCTACCATCAGGGTACAAGAGTTCTCTTTTTTCGCATCCATGCCAACATTTGTTGTTTTTGACTTTGTAATAGTATTCTGAATGATGAAAGATGGTATCTCAGTGTGGTTTTTAATTTGCATTTCATTAATGATTGAGTGATGTTGAGCATTTTTTCATGTGTTTGTTGGCTGCTTATATTTCTTCTTTTAGGAAATGTCTGTTCATGTCCTTTGCCCAGTTTTTAATGGAGTTATTTGTTTTTTTCTTGTTCAATTGTTTGAGTTCCTTGTAGATTCTGTATATTAGTCCTTTGGTGAAGGAATAATTTGCAAATATTTTCTACCATTCTGTAGGTTGTCTGTTTATTCTGTTGATTATTTCAGAAGTATTTTAGCTTAATTAAATCCTATCTGTCTGTTTTCATTTTTATTGCGTTTGCTTTTGAGGTCTTTGTCATAAATTCTTTACCTAGGCTGATATTCAGAAGTGTTTTTCCTCGATTTTCTTCTAGGATTTTAATAGCTTCAGGCTTTACATTTAGGTCTTTAATCCATCTTGAATTAGTTTTTGTATGTGATGAGAGATAGAGGTCCAGTTTCCTTCTTCTGCAGGTGGCTAGCCAATTTTCCCAGAACCATTTATTGAATAAGGGTGTCCTTTCCCTATTGTTTATTTTTGTCAACTTTGTCAAAAATCAGTTGGTTGTAGGTATGTGACTTTATTTCTGGGTCCTCTATTCTGAACCATTGATCAATGTGTCTATTTTTGTACCAGTACCATGCTGTTTTAGTTACTATAGCCTTGTAGTATAATTTGACATCAGGCAATGTAATGCCTCCAGATTTGTTCTTTTTGTTTAGGATTGCTTTGGATATTTGGGCTTTTATTTAGGCTCCATAAGAACTTTAAGATAGCTTTCTTCTAGTGAGTAGTAACTTTTAAATTGATACATAATAACTGTACATATTTATGGAGTACATGTGATATTTTGATACATGCATACAATGTGTAATGATCAAATCATGGTGAATAAAATACCCATTACCTCAAACATTTATCATTTCTTTGTGTTGGGAACATTTCAAATTTTCTCTTCTAGTTATTTTGAAATATATGATAAATTATTGTTAACTTAGTCATCCTCCTGTGCCATCAAACACTAGAACATATTCCTTCTATCTAACTGTATTTTTGTACCCATTAACCAACCTCTATTCATCCTCTGTCCTTCCCAGCCTCTGGCAACCATCACTCTACTCTCCGCCTCCATGAGATCAACTTTTTAAGATCCCACACGTGAGTGACAGAATGTGGTATTTGTCTTTTTTCACTTTTCTAACCTAGTTATTTCACTTAACATAGCAATCTCTCGTTTCATCCATGCTGCTGCAAGTGACAGGATTTCATTCTTTTTTATGACGGAGTTGTATTTCATTGTGTATATATACCATATTTTCTTTATCCATACATCCATTGATGGACACTTAAATTGATCTCATATCTTAGCTATTGTGAAGAATGCTGCAATAAACATAGGTATGCAGATATCTCTTCAATATGCTGATTTCCTTTCTTTTGCATGCATACCTAGCAGTGGGATTGCTAGATCATATCATAGATCTATTTTTAGATCTCAGTGTTTTGAGGAACCTCCACACTGTTTTCCATAGTGACTGTACTGATTTATATTTCCATCTGCAGTGTATGAGTGTTTCCCTTTCTCCACATCCTCACCAGCATCTGTTATTTTTTGTGTTTTTCATAATAGCCATTCTAACTGGGATGAGATGAGATCTCACTGTGGTTTTGATTTGCATTTTCCTGATAATTAGTAATGTTGAGCATTTTTTATATGCCTGTTGGCCATTTGTATGTCTGCTTTTGAGAAATGTCTCTTCAGTTCATTTGCCCATTTTTAAATTGTATTACTTGGTTTTCTTTGTTTTGTTTTTTTGCTGTTGAGTTGAGTTCCGTATATATTCTGGTTATTAATCCCTTGTTGAATGGATAGTTTGCAAATATTTTTTCCCAATCTATAGATTGTCTCTTCACTTTGTTGATTGTTTCCTTTGCTATGCAGAAGCTTTTTAGCTTTATGCAATCTTATTTGCCTATTTTTGCTTTAGTTGTCTATGCTTTTGAGGTTTTAACCCAAAAAAATTTGCCCAGACCAATGTCATAAAGCACTTTCCCAATGTTTTCCTCTAGTAGTTTCAAGTCTTACATTTAAGTTTTTAATCCATTTTGATTTGTTTTTTCTATATGGTGAGAAATAGGGGTTTATTTTTTCTTTTTTCTTTTTTTTTTTTTTTTTTTTTTTTGACCTCTGAACTTTTTATTGGCCTCCTGCTCCCCAAAGGGCATCCTGCTTCTGCTGTCTTAATGTCTCAGAACTTTGGTGTCATTGGTCTCAGACACCACTTTGCCAACCACTATCTGGCAGATGGTGGTCTTTTGGATGGTTTGCAAGGAGTTGCTACTGTCCAGGGCATCACCAAGATTGAAGTCCTCGCCGTCTTCCAGCAGGCGGCGGTGGGTGGTGCTCTCAGCCTCCAGCTTGGCCTTGATGTTCAGCAGGGCCTCATACTCCTGGGCCTAACACTGCCCCTCTGCCCGGGTCTGTGCCAGCTGTGACTCCAGATACAGCAGGATCCCATTGAGCTGCTCCATCTGCAGGGCATAGCAGGCCTCCACCTCCTTCAGGCTGTTCTCCAAGCTGGGCTTCAGATTTCTCATCGAGTCCAGGTTGATCTCCAAGGACTGTACTCTATGTCTCAGCTCCCTGAGCATCATCTCAGCAGCTCTAATCTCAGCGGACTGCGTGGTGACTACTGTGGTACCCTCCTCAATCTGCTGAGACCAGTACTTGTCTAGCTTCTCTCGGTTCTTCTGAGCCAGCTCGTCATATTGGGCCCAGATATCTGCCATGATCTTGGTGAGGACCTGAGATTTGGGGACATCTACCTCCATGGTCAACCCAGAGCTGGCCACCTGGGCTTGTAGGCCTTTTACTTCCTCTTTGTGGTTCTTCTTCATAAAGAGCAGCTCCTTCTTGAGAGCCTCGGTCTCTGTCTACAGCTGCAGCTGAGTAACATTGGTGTCATCAATGACCTTGGGGAGTTCATGGATGTCGCTCTCCACAGACTGGCACATGGCCAGCTCTGTCTCATACTTAACTCGAAAGTCATCAGCAGCAAGACAGACATTGTTGATCTGAAGAACCATGGGAGCATTGTCCACAATATTTGCGAAGATCTGAGCCGTCAGGTCCTTGATGGTCTTAAAGTAATGGCCCCAGTCTCTGATCTGGGGTCCCTTCTTCTCCAGGTGCTCCCGGATTTTGCTCTCCAGCTTCTGGTTCTCTGTCTTCAGGTAGGAGGCCAGGCAGTTGTTCAGGCTTTGCACGGTCTCCTTTTCATTTTAGATGCCTCCCATTCTTACTAGACCCCCGGCCATCCCCGCAGCCAGGCCCCTGGGCCCCAAGCCACCCCGGAAGCTGATGGAGTGGGACACAGAGATCCAGAAACCAAAGCCCCCCCATGGCTGCATAGACACTGGCCATGCTGCTGACCAGCCAGGTGCTGTAGCTGGGTGCCTGGACAGACCCCAGGGACCAGTAGTTGGTGGAGAAGGTGGACCGAGTGGTGAAGCTCATGCTGTCCAGGGAGGAGAGCGAGAGGACAGGACTCAGGCTTTGCTGATGACCGAGATAGGGGTTTCATCTTTCTGTCTATGAATATCCAGTTTTCCCAGCACCATTTACTGAAGAGACTGTCATTTCTCCATTGAATATTCTTGGTACTTTTGTCAAAAATTTATTGGCTGTAAATACATGGATTCATTTCTGGGCTCTCTACTGTGTTCCATTGGTCTATGTGTCTGGTTTTATACCAGTACCATGCTGTTTTGTTTACTATAGTTTTGCAGTATATTTTGAAGTCAGGTAATGCGATGCCTCCAGTTTTGTTGTTTTTCACTCAGGACTGCTTTGGCTATTTGAGGCCTTCTGTGGCTTCTTTTGTTTTAAAAAAAATTTTAAGCTAATGTTCTTACTGGACTTCTGTGGTTTCATATGAATTTTAGGGTCATTTTTTCTACTTCTGTGAAGAATGTCTTTGGTATTTTGATAGAGATTGCACTGAATCTGTAGATCATTTTTGGTGGTATGGTCATTTTCATAATATAAATTCTTCCAGTCCATGAACAGGGATGTGTTTCCATTTTCTCTGTGACCTGTTCAATTTCTTTCATTCATGTTTTATGGTTTACCTTATAGAGATCTTTCATCAACTTGGTTAAATTTACTCTTACATTTTTTATAGCTGTTGTAAATGAGACTGATCTCTTGATTTCTTTTTCCACTAGTCTGTTATTGGTGTATAGAAATGATACTGATTTTTGTATGTTAATTTTTTATCCTGCAACTTTACTGAATTTGCTTATCAGTTCTAAGAGTTTTTTGTTTTGTTTTGTTTTGGTGGAACTTTTAGGGTTTTCTATATATAAAATCATGTCGTCTGCAAATAGGGACAGTGTGACTTCCTCCTTTCTAATTTAAATGCCCTTTATTTCTTTCTTTTGCTTATTTGCTCTGTCTAGGAATTCCAGTACTATGTTGAATAAGAGTGGTAAGAATGGGCATTCTTGTCTTGTTCTAGTTCTTAGAGAAGAAATTTTCAGTTTTTCCCCATTCAGTATAATATTAGCTGTGAGTTTGTCATATATGGCCTTTATTGTATTGAGGTACATTTTCTCTATACGTAATTTTTGGAGGGTTTTTTTTTTAATCATGAAGGGATGTTGAATTTTATAAAATGCTTTCTCTGCATCTATTGAGATGATTTTTTATACTTCATTCTTTTGACATAATATATCACATTTATAGATTTGCATATGCTAAACTATCCTTGCATCCCTGGAATAAATCCCACTAGATCATGATGAATGATCTTTTTAATGTGCTGTTGGACTCAGTTTACTAGTATTGTGTTGAGGATTTTTGCATCTATGTTCTTTAGGGACATTGTCCTATAGTTTACTTATATTGTTGTTGTGTTCTTGTCTGGTTTTGGTATCAGGATGAGCTGGCCTCAAAGATGCATTTGGAAGAATTCTCTCCTCTTCAACTTTCTGGAAAAGTTTTTAAAAAAAGGTATAGTTCTTCTTTAAATATTTGGTAGAATTCAGCAGTGAAATCATCAACTCCTGGACTTTTCTTTGATGGGAGACTTTTAATACTGATTCAATCATGTTACTCACAATTGGTCTATTCAGGTTTTCTGTTTCTTCTTGGTTCAATCTTGGTAGTTTGTACATGTCTAGGAATTTATGCATTTCCATTATGTTTCTCATTTTTTGGTGTACAGTTGTTCACAATAGTCTCTAACAATCTTTTGGACGTCTGTAGTAGCAGTTGTAATGTCTCCTTTTTTTGTTTCTGATTGTATTTGTTTGGGTCTTTTCTCTATTTTTCTTGTTTAGTCTGCCTAATGGTTTGGCAATTTTGTTTATCTTTTCAAAAAAACACCTTTTTTCTTTTGTATTTTTTTGGTCTCAATTATATTTATTTCTGCTCTTATCCTTGTTATTTCTTTTCTCCTACTAATTTTGAAGTTGGCTTCTTCTTGATTTTCTAGTTCCTTGAGATGCATCATTAGGTTGGTTATTTGAAATATTTATACTTTTTTAATGTAAGCATTTATTGTTATAAACTTCTCTCTTAATACTGCTTTTGCTGTATGCCATAGGTTTTGGTATGAGTATTTCTTCTCAATAATCTTCTTAATGGATGTGTTGCCATACCATCACTGTAGAGTGTATTTCTACCACAGATATCTGTGTCTTCAAGTGATCCATGCATGTCGCATAAGGTAATTTATTAATGCGATACTTCAATTCCCTGACTACTTTTGTGAATCAGAAATTTTACTACGATTTACTACATAAGATTTCTTTATCTGAAATGTGGAAAATGGGGTGAAACAAAGCTACTATTTAATAGAGAAAGAGTGAGAAAACAGTAAGTTTAGCTGAGGAAATGAAGCCAAATATAAAAATTTGTTAATGCCAGAGGAGATGCCACAAAATTCAGATGGGACTACATGTTTCTTTGCAAAGGGAAAATGTTATTGTGCAAAAAGCCGAATTTTCTGTTTTATCCAACAGGGGGCACTACATTAGCACCACGCCTCAGCTGCCAGGAACTACCAAGAGCACTTCACGTAACAGCAACTGTAGGATCCATTATTTATTTGTGTTTGATTGTGGCCTTTAAGAAGATCATTTTGTTAAAAACAAACAAATATACCTCACACAGACAGTAAAGTGTACTTGATGAAGAGATTCCAATTACTCTTCCTAGAGGTACATTCATGTGTTGATTGGTTTATTGAGTGCTTTTTTTTTTTTTTTTGAGACGGAGTCTCACTCTGTCGCCCAGGCTGGAGTGCAGTGGCGCAATCTTGGCTCACTGCAAGCTCCGCCTCCCGCGTTCACGCCATTCTCCTGCCTCAGCCTCCCGAGTAGCTGGGACTACAGGTGCCCGCCACCACGCCCGGCTAATTTTTTGTATTTTTAGTAGAGACGGGGCTTTGCTGTGTTAGCCAGGATGGTCTCGATCTCCTGACCTCATGATCCGCCCACCTTGGCCTCCCTAAGTGCTGGGATTACACGCGTGAGCCACCGTGCCCGGCCTATCGAGTGCCTTTTTTATATGTCAGGCACATACTTGGTGCTAGAGATACAATCGTGAGTAAAATAATGAGCCCTGTTCTTATGAACCTCATGGTTTAGTGGAGGAAACAGATATTAATGAGATGCTTATGTTAATGAAATAATCCAAATTGTGGTAAGTGACCCAAAGGAAAAAGGCAAGCCATATTATGATACAGGCACCAAGGTGGAAGGCCTGTACAGATGTGGACTAAGTTCTGTACAGAAGAGACAGAAATTGTCTAAAATGTTCAAATCTACCTTGTGCATATTTATTGGATTTTAAAGAGTGTCTGTGGCTCTCTTAAAAATCAGCTGGTCCCCCATGGCAACCAACAGACACAATAACTAACAGACGTAGAAAAAGTGCCCCATTCATGTCGCACTAGATGTTACACTTCAGCCAAAGTCTGGGATAGGTTCCATGCTTTCTCTCCTGAATGGCTTTCCTTCCTCTCACTTCTCTGCCACAAAATGCAGTAATTCCACCAGAAGCTGCACATAACCTACAACTTAAATTTCCCAAATATGGTTTCCTCTTAGCCAATTCCCTCTTCATGAAACAGACAGAAGCTCTGACTTTCTCAAAGCTGGCATTCTAGTCCTCACCCTGTGTGTTACTCAAGGATCTCCAGGACATGCTCCGGCGTCCTTTCGGTCCCACCTCCCATAGGCCCCCATGCAAATCCTGTGGGCAAAGAAGTATACCTACTAGCCTTGGAATGACCTTGTTTATCTCCCTTCTCTGGATCTGTTCCATGCCTTTGCTCCATGCCATCCAGGCATCTGAAGTGGCTTTCTTTCTTGTCAGTAAATGACGCCTTCCTTAAAATAAAATCATCAACTTTTCAGGTATTAAACGAAACACTGACAATACAAATAATGCTTTTACTTTTTTTAAAAGAAACATTTACAATACAAATAATGCTTTGTTTTAAACATCCGTGCTTGGCAAAATAAAAAGTGATACTCCTATGTTAGTCCTCTTAGTAAAAATATTTTACTAATATTTTTACTAATTGCTAATCTTTTGAATTGTAGATTCAGGGAAGCAGAGCCCTACAAAGAAGTCTCCCTTCGAAGACCCTGGCCTGACTCCATTTGAGAGAGAAAATTGGCCCACATGTGGGAGGACTGTCCTGAGGCTCCTGTGAGGCCAGGCCAAGAAACCTTGAGATGGCCAAGAACCCTTGAGATGGCAAAGAATGCTTTCTCCTGTCTGCTAAGATTGCCCTCAGAGTTCTGGTTTCCTGTCTGAGGACCTACATCTTCTTCCAGCCATTGGCTGGACAGATGTGGTCTACCCACAGGGCTGTGGTCTCAGCCTTGCAAGCCTCTATGGAACAACCACATTAGAACATGATGTGCATAGGAAAAATTATCAGTGCATATAATGGTGATAATATCATTTTGAAGTCCCTCAACTCGCTGCCTTCTTTTACATTTTCTTGTACTTACCTTTCCCCCAATCTTTAGAGGTTTCCAGTTGCCTCAGGGAGGTTTAGGATTGTTACAGTGGGAATGCAAAAAAAAAAAAAAAAGAAAAAGAAAAAGAAGAAGAAGGAGAAAAGAGAAAAAAAAAGTTAATTATCAGCTTCTAAATAGGATTTGGGGGCTTTTTGGCCAGGTAGTAGCTTAAAAGCTAGGCTTTATAAGAGAGAGAAAAGACGTTCTAGATTCCATCTTGGAGGTTGTTTTTGTTTGTTTGTTTTGTTTTTTTGAGATGGCATTTCACTCTTGTTGCCCAGGCTGGAGTGTAATGGCACAATCTTGGCTCACTGCAATCTCCGCCTCCTGGGTTCAAGTGATTCTCCTACCTCGGTTCCTGAGTAGCTGAGATTACAGGTGCATGCTACCATGCCCAGCTAATTTTTGTATTTTTAGTAGAGATGGGGTTTCACCATGTTGGCCAGGCTTGTCTCACACTCCTGACCTCAGGTGATCTGCCTGCCTCAGCCTCCCAAAGTGCTGGGATTACAGGCATGAGCCACCGTGCCTGGCCAATCTTGGAGTTTTACACAAGGAAAGACAAGAAGAAAAAGAGGAAACCCCTTCCCCACTATTCATCCCAGGGGACTACCTAGGAAAAGGGAGGTAAGGGAGGCCACATCTAATCTTCCTTTTCCTGATCCTGCCCAAAGTGAGGAGGTTTGTTAAGCAGATAGGGGAAAGGCTGAGGGCTTCGGAGTACTGCATCTTTAGGACCCTGGGAGGAGTTCACCTTATCGGTTGCCTGACACCACCCCAGAAGTGGCTATATCAAAGTTTAACTCAATAGCACAGCATAGCTTGCAGGGAAAGGGGTGAAATATAATTTCCTGAGCTTCCCCCAAGACCAGTACGGACTAGACTGGACCAAGGAGTTTCCACATACTCCAGAGAAGAGGCGTGGAAAGCAGCTGAGGTGGTAGCCACCAGGCTTCCAGGCACTGGCCATCACAAGGGAAAGGTGAATCAGCAGTGAGGCTGGGGAGAGATATTCTAGTGAAGAGCCAGATGGAGGATGTAGGGTCTGAGAGGCAGCCAGAGTGGAGTCTGAGTCATCAGGGAAAACAAGCAGGCGCTGCCAAGCCAGGAGGAACCAAATCACAGGTACTATAGATACAGCCTCAATAGCAGGCCCTCACACAACTCCCAGGATTGAGCCCGTCTCACCCTCAAAAGAAGTATCCAGAAAGTATCCAGACCACCCACCCACAACAGAAATCTGCAAAGATGCAAAAGATACTGCATTGATACAAGGACCCCACCTCTTCTCTGTCTCTATGGGGTCATTTAGCCACAACTCCATCAAAAACTCAGACACCATCTCAAAAAAATATAAAAAAAGAACGCAGATATCTAAGAGGCTGAGCATTATTTACCTAAATGGATGGACCATTTATATAATGTCTATTTAGGTCGCTGACACCTGTAATTCCAGTACTTTGGGAGGTCAAGGCAGAAGGATTGCTTAAGCCCAGGAATTTGAGACCTGCTTGGGCAACAAAGCAAGACCCCCATCTCAACAAAAAATAAAAATAAAAATAAATGGCTTATACCTATAGTCCCAGCTACTCAGGAGGCCAAGATGGGAGGATCCCTTGAGCCCAGGAATTCGAGGTTGCAGTGAGCTATGATCATCCACTGCACTCCAGCCTGGGTGACAGAGTGAGACCGTGTCTCAAAACAAACAAACAAACAAACTGGTGCATCAGAATATTTTCCCCTCTATTCAGTTATTGGAGACTCATAAGGAAGAGAAGAACAATTTTAGAGAAATGAAGATGCTACATCTTCTTTGCACATCTGTGGGTAGGATGAAAAAAATCTGCAACCCTTCACACATACTAGTGTTGCCAGTTTTTCTTGTCCTCCTCCCCACTGCTAAATTTGGTGCTGCTTGGGCTGCTCAGTTCCTCCCATCCACCCACACCCAACTGTAGAGAAGAGCGTGGAGGGTCCAGACCGGATCTTTGGGACTTTTGATGCAAAATTTAAAAAAATAAGAGAGGAATAGAAATGACATAAGCCACATGGGTACATTCTAGGGAGAAAAGAATCAAAGCCAAGCTTTTCTTGCAAGAAGCAACTGAGAGTGGGGGCCATTGATGTGCTCAGGGGCATCAAGTGGGAGCAGGAGGACAGTCAGAGATAGAAAGAGAGAACGGGTGGGTGGGAGAGTGTGCTACTCTGGGGAAAGAGGGTGAGGGATCTTGGTTTTGTTGGATATTGGAGAAGATAAGATGAAAAACATTTTGATAAGAACTGCTCCAGCCTGGTGCTGTGACACACACCTATGATGCCAGCTACCTGGGAGGCTGAAGCAAGAGAATCCCATAAACGGGAGTTCGAGACTCACCTAGGCAACATAGCGAAACCCCATCTGAAAAAGAAGAAGAAAGAAGAAGAAGAAGAAGAAGAAGAAGAAGAAGAAGAAGAAGAAGAAGAAGAAGAAGAAGAAGAAGAGGAAGAAGAAGAGGAAGAAGAAGAGGAAGAAGAAGAAGAAGGAGAAGAAGAAGAAGAAGAAGAAGAAGAAGAAGAAGAAGAAGAAGAAGAAGAAGAAGAAGGGGAGGAGGAGGAGGAAGAGGAAGAGGAAGA
Organism: Homo sapiens; assembly: GCF_000001405.40. Taxonomy (NCBI): domain Eukaryota; kingdom Metazoa; phylum Chordata; class Mammalia; order Primates; family Hominidae; genus Homo; species Homo sapiens. The sequence goes on from NC_000003.12 coordinate 141,479,037, forward strand.
AGAAGAAGAAGAAGATGAGGAGGAGGAGGAGGAGGAAGAGGAAGAGGAAGAAGAAGAAGAAGAACTGCTCTAGATTATATACTTGTATCTCATTTTTTAACAGTAGAATTACTATCAGGACTTTGCTTCTTTGAACTCTACCCACTCAGGCACTGAACAACGCAGACCTCAGCTTTGACAGGTTTACAAACACAATGACCCTGTTAATACAAAAGATGTATTAACATACAGCAGAGATTCTCAACGGGGCGGTGATTTATCTCCCAGAGGATATTTGGCAGTATCTGTAGACATTTTTGATAGTCACAACTGGAATATGCTGGTGGCATCTAGTGGATAGAGTCTAGGGTGCTGCTAAATGCCCTATAATGCACAGGACATTCCCCAACGAGAAAGAATTACCCATCCTAGCCAAAATGTCAGTAGTGCCACAGTTGGGAAACCCTGAAATAGAGAAATGGAGGAAGGGCAGTTGTTTCCTTACAGCTTCCCTTTCCAATGACAAAATAAAAGACAGCTTTGTTTCATTCGAAACACGTTCTCAAGTGTGTGATATTCATTCTTAATCAGCACTACATACATATAATAATCTCAGCCAAACCATATAAATCAGTTCCCTAAAACCCTTTAAGGTAAAAGAATTCCCATTGAAGAATTCCAGATCCTGTGGAAAAAACGGAGTTGAATAAAGAAGGCTCCAGAAAATTTTGGAAAATCTTTATAAATATTTGTATTTTCAATATGAAATATGAAAATATAATAAAACTAGCACAGCAAATAAAATAGCTATGACATGTAAGACATGCTTATTATGGGTAATCAGGTTACTCTCTATGCTTTGCTCATTCTGAGAGAATCCTCAGAATCTAGCTTATATTCCATCACGCCCCTTGAGAAAGTTTAGCTGAGGTGTTAGTACGTTTGTTTTGCCTCATTGCAGATAAGACATTCACTAAGAAGGATTATTTGGAGTTAAGGGTGCTGGGGACAGTGGTATATTTGGCCTTCCATACAGATGCTCTATAAATGCCTCTGGATTTTTATTTCAATCTCCTTGGCCCCTCTCTCCAACAGCCCTTCCCAGTTCTATCTCTGCACAGACAGCCCAAGAATTCAGTCCTAAGGACCCACCTTACATGGCTTAAAACAACAATACACAAACTAGATGTTTTACATTCTGGTGGCCATGTCGAGTAATTATTTGATAGGCCACGAGCTTTCATTTGTGGCTGTATATCCAAGTCAGTTTTCCAAAATTCAGTTATATGATTATAAAATAAGTACCAATGTCTTTAGAACTAGACAAAATACAATTTATTAAAATATTTTATCTTTATATATGTGATAAGGATTGAGGGGTTCACTCCCTCATTCCATCCCCAATCTTGCCCTCTTTTAGATGAAAGGCAGGAGGCAGTTGCCTAGGAGAGGGCAACCAATAGCCCTGGCCTAGGCAGGTCAATGCTGGCCTCTCTCCTTCCCTTGGACCCTCAACTGTGAGGGCTAGGATACCAGGCCGGGCTGTTCCTAAAGACTCTGAGCCCAAGCAGTGCAGCTGGGCCTAGAAATGGGGAGGTAACCCTTCTTGCCAACTTTGCTGAAAATGTGGAAGCCCCGCGGGTTCTGAAGGATAACGCTCTCGGCTTGGGCCTTGATAGTCTCATAGCAGGCATCATAAAGTGGTGAGGGTCCCTTTTTGTGACAGTGGCAGGGGGAGCCAGAGCAGGAGAGGAAGAATATAACAAATCCAGCAACCCCATCATGTTCCCCACACCCTACTCTGCCAATGTAACCCACTGGGCACTCCTGAAAATCAATAATTGGGAAGAGGTTTAATTATTTGGGCAGGTAGAAAGTGGAGACACAATAGAGAACTGCGGATTATTTATGTTAACAGGATTTCATTTGTAGCCACAGACTGACATGCTGCCTAGATATTTGGTCATAATAACAAGTATGAAAACACCTTGCAACTTTGAAATCAGTTTTCCCAGCTTCTACAACCACCCACAAAAAATTGTATCTAGCCTACGTTTAGAACACAGATTATGATCGATGAGCTTCTGCTCTCCTTGGCTGTCTCTGACAAAAATGAGCTGCTTGTGACAGACGCAGCCCCAGCCCAGTGTGAGGATTGGAAACCTCAGACCCTGACTCTTTCCCTTTCTCCTTCCTTATCTGACTCCTGAGCTATTATTGCCTTTTCTCTGCACCTAAGCTTTCTGCAAAGCCCAGACCCAGCCAGCTGGTTCTGTGGTCTGCTCTGATTTCCCTTGTGGATTTTAAATTCAGAATTCTAGGCTCATTTGTTAGCAGCTTCTCTGAACACATTATCTCATTTATTTGCTCATTCATTCATTCGTTCATTTATCAAACATTTAATAAGTGCCTTCTGTGTTCTTCTATATTTTCTATGCGCTAGGGAGGCAAAGACAAAACATTGTCCAGTCTTTGAGATGGTTTCAGACAGGTAAACAAACAGGAATAGTAAATGTGTTATGAGCACTACAATGATTATGTGTATTCTTATATACATGGTACATAATGGCCTAAAGGAAAAAGAGGCCAGTTCTGTGAGACAAAGTCAGGAGGTGAAGATTGGGCATTAAATGTATTGAAATATTTTCATTTGAACTTAGGCACTATTATTGGAAGATAAGTATGTTGATATGGTGAACAGAGTTGGCTGCCTACTCCATGTCTTACTGCTCCCCTTTCTGTGTCACAAGAAAACACTGGTTTGGTTCAGGCTTCAGGTCTCAAGTAGCAATGTACTTTGGGAAGGAGGGTTCATCCCCAGACCCAGGGGTATCAATGTTGCTTAGACTAAGAAAATTATATATTCCTTGTGATTGTAAATGAGCCTTAAGAAGATACCTCATGGTGGTGATTTACAGGAAAGCTACCTGGAAAAGCGTTCCTCCCTAATATTAGGTTGGTGCAAAAGTAACTATGATCTTGCCACTGAAAGTAATGAAAAAGACATTTTAGAAAAAAAAAAATACACCTTCCTGCCATTGGATGTTGAGATATTTGGAGGTACAGGAGCCATATTGTGACCATGAGGCAAAAGCCAAAAGAATTGCAAAGAAGCTAACCCAATAAAGTCCTGTTTATGAATGAATACAGAGTAGAAAATGAAACAAGTGAATGGCTGCACAACATTTCCAGTTTTCTTTTTACACTTATTGTTTTGTATGTTTTTATTTGTTTGGTTGGTTTTGAGTTTTGGGGGTTTTTGTTGTTTTTGTTTTTTGATTTGTTTTTTTAATAGATTTGGGGTCTCACTATGTTGCCCAGGCTCGTCTTGAACTCCTGGGCTCAAGTGATCCACCCAACTCGGCCTCTGAAAGTTCTGGGATTATAGGCATGAGTCACCATGCCCAGCCTACACCCATTGTTTTGTTTTATCACTAAAATGACAAGAATGCACTGCAGATGGAATGGATATGGCAAAATAGTTCAAAAGGAGGGGGATTGAGAAATAACTGAAGTCACACTGACCTAAGGGCATCAGCTGTATTGTGCTCAGATATTCAGGCCTTTAAAGTTCTCTTGCAAGAGGTGACAGAATTTGAAAAAAAAAAAATTCTATTTTTAGAGACAGGGTCTCTCTCTGTCACCCAGGCTGGAGTGCACTGGGATGATCATAGCTCACTGCAGCCTCAAATTCCTGAGCTCAAACAATCCTCCCACCTCAGCCTCCTGATTAGCTAGGAGTACAGGCAGGCACGTGCCACCATGCCCAGCTAATTTATTTATTTATATTTGTAGAGACAGAGTCTCACGGTGTTGCCCAGGCTGCTCCTGAACTCCTAGCCTCAGGTGATCCTCCTGTCAAAGTTGGTATTACAACCGACTGTTGGATTACAGGCATGAGCCATCACATCTGGCCTTGAAAATATTTGTACCGAAGGAGTTGGAGGTTTTAAGGTAAAAATTTGTCCACATTTTTGTCCACACAGCCTTGTCAATGGCCTTATTTGGTCTTCAAATGAAATGTTGAAAGTATGTTTTCTGAACATTTAAGGTCTCTCCTCACCTCCTACCACTCCAATTTTATTTTTTAAAATGCCAGTTGGATTTAGAGATTTTTTTTTAATAATGTAATTAGTGCATAATGCTTAACATCAAACAGTACTCTGATGGGGCAAATGGGGAAACCAAGTCATCAATGATCAAAGGAACTTGCTTTCCCACCAGTCCGGCAGAAACAGTTCTGTCTCATGAGTGTCCAGCCCTATGAAAATGATCTACATTTAAATATTAAAAAGAAAGCACATTTCTCTTCCTCCTACTCGCCAGAAAAAATGTAATAAATAACTCAAGGCCAGGAGACAACCCCTTACAATGCCATGTTATAGGTTGGTGGGTGCTGATTCAAAAATATGCCGTAACAGACAAGTTATGGAATTAGTTTCTAGCTGCAGGTTATAGTCTTCTTATTAAGAGACAATGTAGTTTTCCTACATCATCTGCCATAAAGCAAGCCAATGTATGGGTTGAAATGACTGAATGAGTTTAAAACTGGTGAAGAAATAGGAAAAGACATAGTAGTGAATGGTTGCTCATCAGAACGAAGAGTGGTAGGGATAGAAGGGATGGCCTTTAAACACATTCATTAATAATTTGAGGAAGGAAGTGAAGTTCAAGTTTGTGATGATGCAATATTGTTCCAGTTACTAAACATCATGAAGAAAAGAGAGGAACTCTAGATGAATTTAAAACATAATGCAAGGGCAATAAGGGGAATGAGATGTAACAGCCTTCTCGTAATTATACTGTATGTCTTGTTAGTCTTTAGAAAACTTTATTTTCGGCCGGGCGCGGTGGCTCACGCCTGTAATCCCAGCACTTTAGGAGGCTGAGGCTGGTGGATCACGAGGTCAGGAGATCAAGACCACAGTGAAACCACGTCTCTACTAAAAACACAAAAAAAATTAGCCGGGCGCAGTGGCGGGCGCCTGTAGTCCCAGCTACTAGGAAGGCTGAGGCAGGAGGATGGCATGAACCCGGGAGGCGGAGCTTGCAGTGAGCCGAGATCGCGCCACTGCATTCCAGCCTGGGCAACAGAGCAAGACTCCATCTTAAAAAAAAAAAAAAGAAAAGAAAGAAAGAAAGAAAACTTTATTTTCCAAATATTTTATATTAAGGAAACATTGACATTACCCAAGATCTCTTCAAAGTAGGCAAGTATCAGTAAAAACAGAATAATTAGAAGTGACTTCGGATGAAAAAGCAATGGAGTTTGGGGATTTTAGTGAAACGGTATAAGTCCGAAATCTGCAAAAGGAAGACTGTCTGGAAGAACAAAAAAGTGGAGTGTCCCTTTATGTAAAATTGTTTTCATACCTTTAGTGACCATTTAGTAACAGAGTTATGCACTTGGGGTTAAGCTAGTGAAAAGGAAGGGAAGTTAGAAGATTTTGACACTAATGGACAAAGATATTGATACTTTGTCCATTGGATACGTTTGTCCATTGGATACATTTGTCCATTTGTACATTGATACTTTATCCATGGATACATTTGTCCAAAGGTTCAAATAATTTCTCTGTTTATTGGAGAAAGAAATAGATGGATGAGGCATCGCTTGGCCAAGCAGGAGGAAGGCCAGAATCAGGCTGGTGAGAAAAGGGGCTCAGTGTGGCTGGAGATCAGAGGAGTCAGGTACGCTGGATCCAGTTCCAACTCTTGGCTGAAGAATTTGAACTTTAGTCATTTCTAGCATTGTTCATTACCTGTAGTGTGCTCTTGCTAGCTGGCTGAAGGGATAAATGAAGCCACTGATGTCCTCTTGAGCAGGCAACTGATAAGCTCCATTTTTTTTGTTAGGAAAGTTAATTTAAGTGGTATGTAGGAGGAATGAGAGGGATGGGGGACTTATTACCAGAGTTCCAGTCAAAAGCATGAGGTCAGTTACTGAGGTAATCCTACTACGTGCTCAGCATTCCACTAGACACTTAACACCCTGCTCCCAATACTTATTTAATCTTAATAACAACCCTTCAAAGAAGAAAGTTTAGCATTTCCACTTTACTGTTAAAGAAACAGGTTCAACCGGGCGCAGTGGCTTACACCCAGCACTTTGGGAGGCTGACGCGGATGGATCACTTGAGCCCAGAAGTTCAAGACCAGCCTGGGCAACATGGCAAAACCCCATCTCTACCAAAAATACAAAAATTAACTGGACATGGTGGCGCGCACCTGTAGTCCCAGCTACTTAGGAGGCTGACATGGGAGGATAGCTTGAGCCCAGGAAGTTGAAGCTGCAGTGAGCTGAGATCGTGCCACTGCACTCCAGCCTAGGCAACAGAGCAAGACTGTCAAAAAAAAAAAGAAAGAAAGAAAGAGAAGAAACAGAAACAGGTTTAGGAAGGTTGAGTAACTTGCCCAAATGTAAAAGGGGTAGAAACAGGCTCTATGTCTGATTCTAAAAAGGGATGCCTTTAAAAATAAGGGGGAAAAAACCCTGTAACACGTTGATACTCTTTAAATGAGAATAATTTTAACAAGGGCAATGACAGAGAATGGAAAGGAAGGAAGAGATTTCAGCAGAGTCAGAAGGATGTGGCAACTGAAAACAGCATTGGGACAAGGGATAAGAAAAAGTCAAAGTTTCTGGCCTGAGTAACAGTATAAGATGTGAACTCAGATTTGGAAAGGGAGACAGGAAATTAAGTTTTGGACTTATGTTTGAAATGACAGCAAAACATTCATATAAGAGGAAGTGGTTCACTTTATCCAACAAGTGTAAAGATCACATGGGGAAATAGAAGTCACCTGCAACACAGGCAGAACTGGAAGCTTCGCTGGCCAGGTCCATGTTAAACTCTGACCATTCTCTGGGGCTGTCCAGCCTTTGCACAGGCGGCGCGTTTGTCTTCAGTTTTCAGGTTTCCCCGTCCTATTTCTTATCTCCCAGTGCCTCTGGCCTTTTCTGTGTCTCCCTCCAGAATGAGCTGGAGCTCTCTTCATCTTGACCTTTGTGTAGTCTCTGAGGTCTGAGGCCATCACTATGTCTGACCCTCAAAAAATATTTGTTGACTGACTGGCTTATTCCTGTTGTTGCCCTGGAAAAGAATTACCCTGCCCGATTAAGTCACAGTTTCTTCCTTCTTAGGGCAGCGTAGTTAACAACCTCAACACCAGGAAATTGTCTTCCTCATCACATACCAGGGTATTATTCATGCAGTTTACTCACTGTAAAGAGTTCCCTTGAAATAAAGCTAACAATTAGTCAAAGATTTACACATTTCCTAGGGTCAGTCAACTTTTTAACAAAGCCAACTTTTAGTAGTGGTGGCGGTGGCGGGGGGGAGCCCTTCTTTGCTTTTTCTGTTCCTGAAATACAAAAGTGATGGTAAATGCTTCAGAATTTCTCTATGAGAGGGTCTCAGGCACTGCACTCACGCTGGAGTTGGGGGTGGCTGGTCCTTTTCTTGAACCAGGTTTTGCAGAGAATTGGTCCTAGTAAAGAGTATTTGTGTGGGAGGAGTTTGGCTTGCTGGCGGGGAGTATTTGGATAATACTGGAAGAGCCTCAAATGCATCTCTTGCCTCCTTTTGAATAAGATACTTTTGAGGTCCACCCACCTGCCAAATTCCATTCTATTTTCTTCCCACAGGGAGTTTCCCTGATTGGGAAGGGCCTGTATTTCCCGCGAGCGTTAGGAGATGTGCAGGTCTATTCATTGGGGGAGCCCAATTCCCGGGAGGATTTAGGGATCACGGGAGGGCCGGGGCGTTCTCCTGGTGGGGATTTTAAGGCCGCTCAGAGCCACGACTGGGAGCTACCCTTAGCCAGCGCCCCAAGCCGGGAGTACGGTTCTCTGCAGGGTAGCCCGGCTCGGGGGTGGCGAAGGCGGTGAATGGAGACCCGGGGGGGGCGGGGGCGGGGCCGCGGCGGGCGGGGCGGGGCGGGGCGAGTCGGGCCGAGGCCCGGGGGCGGGGCCAGGCGCGCGGCTGGCCTGGGCCTAGGCCGCTGCTGGGCTCCGCCTCGCCCGGCTACGCAGGCGGCAGGGCTGCGGCACGGGCCGGGCGGCACCATGGCGGCGGCGGCGCCTGCTGCTGCGGCGGCTTCTTCCGAGGCGCCAGCGGCGAGTGCGACTGCAGAGCCCGAGGCCGGGGACCAGGACAGTCGCGAGGTTCGAGTGTTGCAGAGCCTGCGGGGCAAGATCTGTAAGCGGGGGCTGGGCTGAGGGGACGCCCTGGCGGCGCTGGGCGCGAGGCTGAGGGGGCGGCGGGTTCGCGGCGGTGGCGGCGCCGAGCTGCGCTGGGATCGCGGGCCCGGGAGGGGGCCTGGGCCGGGCGCGGTTGAGGCTGGAAGGGGGTGTGTTGGGGGGCGGCGTCGCCTCGACGGGGCGGCGTGGGCCGGGGCTGCTGCTCTCCGGAGGGAGTGGGAGCTGGAGATGGGCCTGGGGTGGGAGAGCCCGGGCTGCGCCGGCGTGAGGGGCTCGGTCGTGGGGAGCGGCCTGGACGCGGGGACGCTGGAGTCCGGGGCGCGGCCGGGGGCGCGGTCCGGGGGCGTGAGGAGCTTCCGGCCGCCCTCAGACTCAGGCCTTCGCGCGGCTGCGGGCGCTGGGGAGTGGCCCCGCGGTGGGAGCCGAGCAGTAATTATACGGAGGCGCGGCCCGAGGAGGTGGCGGGCTGGGAAGTGGGGCTGGCCCGAGGGGAGGGGGCTGTTCGTTTCCTGGGCTCGGCGAGCCTGGGAGAGGTTGAAAAAGGCGCCCTGAGCTGCAGGAAACGGGCCGCCCTGGGGCCCGAGTGGCTACCGCGCGGTCTGTTCGCGGGTGAGCGCCCCGGGAGGAGCTCGGCGGGACACCTGTACTTGCCCCACCTCGCTGCGGCCGGGACTTGAATCGAGGGACGGCGTGACAGGCGGGACTAAAGGCAGGATGTAGTGGCTTCCTGTGAGCAGGTCTCAAAACACAATCACCCAGCCCGCACTCAGCCCGCTTAATTCCCTTCCTTCTCATGCGTGTAATTGCTACTTTAGTGAGCGAGCCTACCAGTTGACTAAATACGAAATTTTGCTCAGAGTTGTCCGAGCATTACTGTGGACAGATTATTTGAGTTCTGTCATTTGAACATTTTAGTTTTAAAAACGACCCTTTGGTGTCAGGTTGCCATTTTTTTTTTCACAGTGGTTTATTTAGATGAAGTGCTTTTTGTTTTCTGTTTGTAAGAGAGATCAATAACATTTATTTTTGCATTTGTCGAAAATTAGCATTATTTTCTTCATGCAGTATTCTCAGATTGGAAACATGCTTCATGTTTCTTATAAATAACCCTCAATTATGAGGGCGTACTTTTCACTTTGAAGAAAATTGACTTGCATTAAAGTGGCTAACAATTCTTTCCTGGGCAGGATGTAAAATTTTCCTCTCCTCTAATACCAGTACTGTTGAGCTCACATTCTCCCACTTTTCCTCTTTTCAGGTGGTTCACGTATTTGGGATTTTATGAAACCTCAGAAGCAGACATGTTAACTTTTCTTATCTTTTTATTCCCTGAGGTAGTCCTGGGGCTCTTAAGAGATTACAGTTCTTAAAACCTGGAAAGTGACACCAGAGAGGTAGATCTTAGTTCCCAAAATTAAAGTTACTTTCTAGGGCATAAAACCTTTTCAGAATTCAGATTAAATTTTATTTATTTTTTCTTTTTTCTGTAACCTTATATTTGAGGGGAAAATTTTGTTTTCAACTTTTGCATATATCTAATTTAACATTTGGGAAAACTGTAAATGGGCCAAAGTTTCTCCCTTTATATGATTTTCCAGATTTTTACCACTTTCTTAGTGCCACTTGATGCTAGGCATTGTCTATTGGAGACTCACTGGTACGTAACTGCAGGTTTTACCATGGAACTACATATACACATGTCTTGGAATTGAGGGTTAGGGTTTCCAGAAGGACTTAGTTGTCCTGTGCTTTTGTCTGCCCCATGCCAAAGACCACTAAGAACAGTTTTGTAAGTGAAACTTGGGTCTACACGTTAAAAAAAAGAAAAACAAAAAACCACTTTGTTTCTATGGTTTAAAGCAACCCTGGCTTGGAAATTGATCATCCAGCTGCTGGGAATGATATTACTGCTTTAACCACAGTTGAAGTATTCTATCTGTTATCCTAGTCAGTTTCTTGCTTTTTAAATTGCTTATCTTATAGCTCAGGTTATGGAGTGTCTGCTTTCTAGAAAAAAAAAATGTATTTGTATACTTATATACAGAAGCTCTCTTCCCATTTCTTTGTCCTCCTTTTAAATGATGTAATCCACAGTTGGTTGACATTCAGAACCTTGTGAAGAGATGCTGTTTTCTGTTTCCCTGAAACTAACATGTGGGTTTTGTAGGGTGGGGACTGAGGGGTTGGAAGAGTCATTAGCAGGTGTCAAGGTCACAGAAATGAGATGGTGGTGGTTCTGACAAGATATTAAGCAGCTTGGGGAGGGTGTAACCGTGTCAGCTTTTCTCTTCACCACAGTAGGAAACCTTGGAAGAAAGCCTGATAGTGCCCACTAGGAGATGTGCTGGCAGATTTTATACTACTGATTGAGAGCCTCTTTTCTGGAGAGTTAGAGATCTGTAGGGGCTGAAAATTAGCCTGAAGAAATTTTCTTATTTCTGGACTTGCATAGGACTTTTAAACTGCACATCACCCCAGTGAAAAGTGAGGATGGATTGGTTTATGTATCTTGAATGTTCAAGAGATAATAGTCCATAACCTTCTTTAGGGATTTCATTCCTGTAATTATTTCCCCTTATACTTCACAAGGTGAAATATCTGTCAGTTGGACAGATATTTGTCTATTGGACAAGAGGAAACTTAACAAAAAGTGGTAACCAAAAAGGTGGAGGTCACAAAATAACAACATGAGACCTCAATATATATAAAGGATGAAGCCCCAATACCCCTTTTTTGCTTGAGTGTACTTTTTTTTTTTTTTTTGCCGGGGGGCTGGGGAGGAGGGAAGAAGGGACATGCAAATATGTTTCAGGTGTTTTATATGCGCTCAAACGAACCCAGGGAATTCGAGATCCATCTATAAGACAAAATATTGTCAGCAACCCTGGATTTGCTGCAGTTTGCGCTAGGAAACCATGACAGTTCTGAATTGTCTGCTTCCTTAAACTTTTTCAAGAGGTGAGTTTGGTTGTTTGATATCCTAAGGTTGTCATATGAACCCTTGATAAAGGAAATTAGGGGTGTACTCGACTCCATTCTTCGGTCTGCACTCCTGTGTAGCGAGTAGCAAGTATGCTAGAACACCTGAAACACATTTGCATGCTCCCTCCTCCCCTCAAAAAAAAAAAAAAAAAAAAAACCGTATTCAAACAGAAAAGAGGGATTGGGGCTTCCTCCTTTATGTATCTTCAGGCTTCATGCTGTTATTTGGTGACCTCCTTTTTGATTAGCACTTGTTAAGTTTCCTCTTATCCAATTACATTAGATTGTAAAAATGTTGCGGAGAGCACCCATGCCACCATATGTGTGGGCTTATCTACTCAAGGAATACCAGATCAATAAGAGAGCCAAATGGGAAAATTTTGTGTGAATTTTCAGATGTGTGGTACAGTGCGAGATCTGTGGGACTATGTGTTCCAAAACTCACTTAGTTTCTCTGGTGTCTTCAGACCAAGAATAGCCTAGGGTTATTTGACAGAGTAGGGAAGATCTATAGGGTATGGTTAAGTGCTTGAGCTTAGAGGCTGGGTGAAAAAGTTAGTTACCTGGGTTTGAATCTTCACCTAATTTCCAACTTTTGTTAATGTCTTTGGGCCTTCATATTCTCATATATAAAATGGGGATAGTAAAAATACCTATCTCACGGGTTGTTATGAGGTTTAAATAAGCCTCCCTCCCTACTCTGCCCCTCCTCATCTCTGCCTGCTCTTTCTCACTCCCCAGGATCTGGGTCATACACCGACCATCTCTTAGGAAGGAGTAAAGTAGGAGATAAAAACTAATCTTCATCTGATGTTCTTGTCCAATGTATACTGGAGTTTCCAGGTGTACAAAGCTGATTAAAATCTGAAGACCTATATTCTTCTTTAAACGTTGTTAATTAATCTTCATATGGCGTTAGCCAGCTCACTTATCTTGAAGCTTACCTTCCGCATCTTTTAAATGGGAATGATGCTTTTCCACTATCCATTGTATACAGGTTGTTCCCTCTGCTTGGGATTGTCTTTCTTCTTTACTCCACCCCATCTTTATGTCAGGAAGCTCCTACTCATCCCTCAAAAGCCTGCTCTATGTGATCTCCTTCCCAAAACCTTCTGAGACACTTCCAGTGCCATCTCTGGCCAGCATCTCTGCTGCTGGGGAACACAATTCCTTGCTCATTTCCTTATTATAGCACATTTCATAGAAATCATTTGTTCACTTCTCCTGTTAGATTGTGAGCTCTTTCAAGATAGAATTGATTCTTGTTCATTTTTAAAAAATCATCCCAGTGTCAGCACAATGCCTAGAACAGAATAGGCCTTTAGAATATGCCCTACCTCACAATGTTATCCTGTGGATAATTACTAGATATGAAAGTATTTTATAAATTATATACCTAAAAAAACTAGAAGGTGTTAGTATTAAGAGAAAACTGTATGAGTCTGCATCAGGAAGTTCATCCCTTTCAAAATCACAGTGCCCACTAAGCTTAGGTTTGAATTGATGCCAAAGTTGCCTTGTTAGGAAAAAGATTAAATTTTTCTTAATGCTCTGATTACTTATTATTAGGGCATTTGAATATTGTTACTAATTGGTCCTGGAGCTTGGAAAAGAAAATCTCATATTCATACTTTACACATTAAGTGTTTTAATTTGACATGACAGGTTTGAATAAAACCGTCTATTTAATTCTGTGAAGTATAAATCAAAACATTTTATTGACTATCCAGTAAAGTTGAGTGGAAGAGATTAAAAAGGGTGTATTCATGCTAAGAGTTCATTTTTATCAGATATTTGAAATGAGATGATGAGTTATTTAGGATGGAGGAAGAATCCATCTTTCAGATGGATAGAAACTGGGGAGAAAAGGGTTCTTTGTAAAAGTTCACAGAGCAGTCTGCTAATCATTTGCTCTGTGGAAGACGGGAGGTAAACCTCAGTGAGTTCATAGAGTTGTTTTTTTAAAACTTAGAACTCTTTGAATAGATCCTTAAGTGACTAATATAGCCAGAATAAAACCATCATTTTATCCTTTAATCATAGCTGCTAATCCTATTTCCTTGTTAATGTGCTTTATGAAATTATTTGACAATAATATCAGATTACATGTTTTTGCTACTAATAAAGTTCTATTCTCTTTTGAGAACTGCAAACAAAATGTTGTATAGTCATATATTCATGTAAGTTAAGCTTTTTATGTGTATTAAGACATTTTTATGGCATCTCTTTAGGTTTGTATGTAATTTTAGTTATCAAAAACCCCTATCTAAAGTGATAAACATTAAAAGTTTGTATCAGTACACATACAGAGAACCATAAATGACAAATTTGTTTTCCTGTCATTAATGACAATGACTTTGGGCAAATTCTTTAACCTTGCTGAGCCCGTATTTCCTTACTTGTAAAATTAGAGGTTTGGATATGGTCTTTAACATCCCTTCTACCATTTTGATTATTGCTTTTTAACTTGAACCATTTGCTTTAAGGCAGTACATCAGATGCTTTATTTTAGTGTTTAAATGTATTTAGTACACTTGTTTTGCATGATTCACTGTTTTAAAAATATTTAAGATTTATTAGATAAGAGCGTTTGAATTCTAAATTTTTTTTCTGTGACTGTTAATTAATTCAGCAGCACGTAATACATATCGAAGGGTCTGTTAAGAGACGCTAACCCACTGGACTGAAATGGGCCTAAGCTGTGAATCGGATGAAAGATCCTATTTTATCCTAAAGTCTATACTAAGCAATAGCTGTTTTTAGACATCTGTATTCTTAGACAATTATAGAAATTTAAAGCTGGAAGGTAGAGAACATGAAGGTAGAGAAAATAAAGGTTCTTACCCTTCATTTTACAAATGAAGAATCTAACAGAGACAGCAAGTGTCACACAGTTGATGGCCTGTTCGGCACTAGTCCACTATTATCAAAGTTCTTTCTAGAATGCTATATGAGATTAACTTATTACTATGAATGTTGCAAATGTACTACATTTAATACACAGAGATTATACTACTTATCTGTTTATATATTGAGAGGTGGTAAGATTTTCACTGTGCCGTCTACACACTCTTAACTGTTCCTTCTTAAGAACTTTGTGAAGTGGTTAGGATTAGTGATGAAACTATGGTTATGACCTAGGTGGAGATTGAACCTGGATGTTTAGTTACTTGTGCCATGGTCTACCTCAGCTATTTTCAGTTCTGACTGTCTGTCACCATCACCTGTGAACTAAAAAAATTATGATGCCCAGACTGTACCCCAGACCTACTAAGTCAGAATTTCTGGTTTCAAAAGTTCCATAGGGGGTGATGTTGGGCAGCTAGGATAGTGAATTTCTGCTTTTGTCACAAATAGATTAGCCACATACCCTACCTAAATGATGGCAACCTGCTGTGCTATCATTTAAAAGGTATCAGTAGAAAGGTTGGTATAGTTACAGTGAGATTTTAGTTTGTTTGCATATATATTTGATATATTAATTCTATTTGATTAGATAATATGAACACTTGGTACAAAATTCAAGAGGTACAAAACAGTATATACATTGAAAAGTATTCCTTCCTTTCATTATCTTCTAGCCATTCCCTCCCAAGAAGCAAGCATTACCAATTTGTTATATCCTTTTTGTTGTGTGTTCTTCCAGAAATTAAGCATTTACAAACATAAATTTATGTGCACTAATATATTCCTTCCACCAACATACAAATTATAGCAAAATATATACATTTTTCTGTATCTTGCTTTTTTACACTTAACAACATAGCTTGAAGATTTTTTCACATTCACATAAAGAGAGATCTGCCTTATTTTTTAAACAACTGCATAATATTTCATCATTTGGCTGTACCACAGTTTATTTAGCCAGTCCCCTATTAGTTGACACTTAGGTTGTAAACAGTCATTGCTATTACAGACATTACTACAATGAATAACCTTGTAAGCATGTCATTTTTAATATGAGTGTCTTTTTGTAGGATACATTTCTAGATAGATGTTAAATTGATGAATTGAAGGATATGTGCATTTTTATTTTGGAAAGACAATGCTAAACTATAGCAATTTAAGCTCTCACCAGCAATGTATGACTGCCTATTTCTTTATACCCACGTAGGGTGTATTTTAAAACTTCTTAATCTTTACTGGTCTATGAAATAAAAAGGAACATTTAATTTGTAGTTTTAATTTGCACTTTTAAATGAGAGTGAGGATTGCTCTGTCACCAGGGCACGATCTTGGCTCACTGCAACCTCCGCCTCCCGGGTTCAAGCGATTCTCCTGCCTCAGCCTCCCGAGTAGCTGGGATTACAGGCATGTGCCACCACGCCCAGCTAATTTTTGTATTTTTGGTAGAGACGGGGTTTCACCATGTTGGCCAGGATGGTCTCGATCTCCTGATCTCGTGATCTGCCTGCTTCAGCCTCCCAAAGTGCTGGGATTACAGCCGTGAACCACTGCGCCTGGCCCTAATTTTTAAATTTTAAATTTTTCTAAGGCTTGAAATTAAGTTATAGGATCTCTTCATATTTTTAAGAGCCTTTTTTTTTGATGTGCTATGTGAACTGGTCTATTTCTTTTGTCCTTTTTTTTCTGGTGAGTTACAGTCTTCTTGATTTGTGAGAAAATGCTTTATGCTGTAAGGAAGTTAGCTATTATTTTAAAACCTGTGCAAAGATTTAAAAAATCTGTATACTTTGGCTGATGCCTGAATTTATTCTTAAGTTGATTGTGAGATCCAGTGAGGGCAGTCAGTTGTAAGTTTCATCTACTTATATAACGTCTGATGGTTGAGAAATTGAGAAAGAACTGCTTGAGGAAAGGTAAGTGAAGACTTATAAACAAAAGTTAAAAGACAATAGATTGGGAGAAAATATTTGCAGTGTATCCTTCAGACAAAGGAAATGTGTATAACACTGAATTCTTTGCCAGGCACTGTTTTAAAGCACTTTATGCGTATTAACTAATTTAATCCTTACAGTAACTCTAAAAATACCATTATTATCCCCATTTTACACATTATGAGGAAACAGATACACAATAGCTAAGCTAAGTAAATTGACCAAGGTTAGATGGCTGGTGAATGGTGGAGCTATCAATCAGACTGGGCAGATTGGCTCTAGAGTCCATCCTGTTAACTCTTAACCTACTGTGCTATTATGCCTCTCTATTTATTATGTCCAGATTATATAAATAATTCATACAGACTTAAAAACAAGAGGCCATTAGAAAAATAAAGGATACGAATAGGCATCTCACAGGAAAGGAAATACAAATGTCCAGTAAACATGAAAATATTGGTAAAGTAAAAATTAATCAGGGAAATAAAATTTTAAAACATCAATTTACAAAAAAAGGAAAGTTTATCTCAGTCTTTGGTGAGGGTTTAGGGAAATAAGTATTTTCCTCATTGTTGTTGTGAGTTTAAATTGATAAAGCAATGTTGGAGAGCATTTTGGCTATATCTGTTAAGAATTTAAATGTCTATACACCATGCATTTTTACTTCTACCTATTTGCCCTGCATCAACAGTTGTACATTTAGAGAAGAGGCATATACAAAGATATTCAATGTTGCCTTGTTGGTAAAACAGAATAATTGGAGACGACTTAAATGTACATCGGTAGGAAAATGGATAATATGTTCATACACGTATTCTATAGCAACTAAAAAGAATGAGGTATATCTATGTTATGAAAGGAAAGAACTCCAGGATGTCTTGTTGGGTAAAAACAGCAAGTTGTAGAATAATATGTGTAGTATCCTGTGTATTGTTTTAAATCTCAAAACATTTTACTTTTCTGCATGTAGATGGATAAATACATAAAAAGAGGTCTGAACAGTTGTACAGATAACAGTGATTGCCTCAATGGTGGATAAAGGGAGTTAGCCGGTGCTGGGAAAACTGGCTAGGCATGTGTAGAAAGCTGAAACTGGAACCCTTCCTTACACCTTGTACAAAAATTAATTCAAGATGGATTAAAGACTTAAATGTTAGACCTAAAACCGTAAAAACCCTAGAAGAAAACCTAGGCAATACCATTCAGGACATAGGCATGGGCAAGGACTTCATGTCCAAAACACCAAAAGCAATGGCAACAAAAGCCAAAATTGACAAATGGGATCTCATTAAACTAAAGAGCTTCTGCACAGCAAAAAAAACTACCATCAGAGTGAACAGGCAACCTACAGAATGGGAGAAAAATTTTGCAATCTACTCATCTGACAAAGGGCTAATATCCAGAATCTACAAAGAACTCAAACAAATTTACAAGAAAAAAACAACCCCATGAAAAAGTGGGTGAAGGATATGAACAGACACTTCTCAAAAGAAGACATTTATGCAGCCAACAGACATATGAAATAATGCTTATCATCACTGGCCATCAGAGAAATGCAAATCAAAACCACAATGAGATACTATCTCACACCAGTTAGAATGGCGATCATTAAAAAGTCAGGAAACAACAGGTGCTGGAGAGGATGTGGAGAAATAGGAACACTTTTACACTGTTGGTGGGACTGTAAACTAGTTCAACTGTTGTGGAAGTCAGTGTGGCGATTCCTCAGGGATCTAGAACTAGAAATACCATTTGACCCAGCCATCCCATTACTGGGTGTATACCCAAAGGATTATAAATCATGCTGCTACAAAGACACATGCACACGTATGTTTATTGCGGCATTATTCACAATAGCAAAGACTTGGAACCAACCCACATGTCCATCAGTGATAGACTGGGTTAACAAAATGTGGCACATATACACCATGGAATACTATGCAGCCATAAAAATGGATGAATTCATGTCCTTTGTAGGGACATGGATGAAGCTGGAAACCATCATTCTCAGCAAACTATCACAAGGACGAAAAACCAAACACCACATGTTCTCACTCATAGGTGGGAATTGAACAATGAGAACACTTGGACACAGGAAGGGGAACATCACACACCGGGGCCTGTCGTGGGGTGGGGGGAGAGGGGAGGGGGGAGGGATAACATTAGGAGATATACCTAATGTAAATGACGAATTAATGGGTGCAGCACACCAATATGGCACATGTATACATATGTAACAAACCTGCACATTGTGCACATGTACCCTAAAACGTAAAGTATAATAAAAAAAAAAAAAGAGCGAGTTAGCCTTATCTGTAATGGTTTGATTTCCTATAGGGAGTATATTTATATATTATATTATCAAAAGTAACTATTTATATAAATGAACTTGATACAGTATTAATCTTAAGCTGTGCCAGTCTCTGTTGCTCTACTTTGGAAGACTATCCTATCTGCAAAACAAGAGTAATCAAATGTTAGGTTTTGTAACATTTTGAGTGCTATAGAAGAAATAAAGTCAACTTTTCTGTTAAGTTTTTTTGGTAACTTTTGATATAATTTCAAACTTACAAATTGTAAGAATAGGCTGAGGAGGGTGGATGGCTTGAGCTCAGGAGTTTGAGACCAGCCTGGGCCACATGGCAAAACTCCGTTTCTACAAACGAAAAAAAAAAAAAAATGCCAGGCATAGTGGTGTGTGTCTTCAGCCCTAGCTATTAATACTTGGAATGCTGAGGCCAGAGAATCACTTGAGCCCAGGAGGTTGAGGCTGCGGTGAGCTGAGGTCGCACCACTGCACTCCAGCCTGGGTGACAAAGTGAGACCCTGTCTCAAAAAAAAAAAAAAAGTAGAAATAATACAGCAAATTCTTATATACTTTGCCTGTTTGACTAATTGTTTATGTTAGAAAAACTTTTTAAAATTTTAATACATTGTTTCAGAGAAATGTGGTAAAAAGGGTCTGAAAATTTTGGATCCTTTAAAATATGACATTTGTGTGAGTGGTACAGAATTTTAGTTTTGAATTTTACAGTTTTATATAAAATATTCTTGGTAGATGGGGTGAACTAATGTTTATTGAGTATTTCCTGGTTTCCAGATGTTGTGTTAGGATACTTTGCAAAATATTTCATGTAATCCAATTTCATGAAGAAGATTGTTATTCCTATTTTAGAGAAGAAGCAACAGACAGAGGTTATTTGCTCAGGATTGTAAGGGAGCAGAGCCAAGTTTTCAGAAAGTCTTTATGTTACCAAAGCCCACATCCCTTTCTCTACAAAGCTGCCTGTGAGATGATATATTGGAAGGAATTGATGAATACATTTATGTTGTCAAGAAGTTGATAATTACTCCTAAATTGGCTATGGTCTAATGTAGTGGATATTCAATAAAATTATGATGTTTGAATGCCATAAGAATTTATCTTCTGGCCTGTTTTGGGGGTTCATGAATGTAATTATTTTAGCTGCCTAACTGCTTATGTGGGTTTGTATGTACTTTTGAGTGGTTCTTGGATATGTGTACACACATACATACACACACACAGATATACACATACACACCTTTATATGCTCATGGGTGTAACTTCTTTATGTGTCTAGGTGTCTTTTTTTTGTGGAGGGGGGGCGAAGATCAATATGAATCCTATTTTGGCCCCCTGGATGCTGTCACCAGAAATAACAGCCATATCCCATATATAGCCTGTCCATGTAGCCCTGAGTTCTGCCAGCACCTGGCTTTTTGCCTTCCTTTTGTTTGTCATACCAGGCTCTCTTGGTCACCTTGGTAGCCTTGCTAAGCTTCTTGTAGCTATAGGTACCATTGGCTTAGCCCAGAAGAGATTCCTGCCATATGTACTTCAGAGTTTGGTTTGCCACTTGAGGAAGGGGTCTGTAGGGAGCTTGTAGATCAGCACACATTCAAAACTGAAACCGGAAGTGGGCAAGGCAAACCACAGGAAGATCCTGCCCGCAACTTGGTGACGTATCTATATAACCCATAGACACTTCCTGGCAATACCTTGTGAAACTTGCCTTTTCGTGTATAGTAGTTTCCTAACTTCTTGTTCTAGATTAAGCTTCAGTGAAAAGTGATTAATATGATAGCAGTGTAGATAACTGTATGATAGTTATTGTGCACATGACTTCCATGCAGCAACTAGCCCCGATTATGTTCTGTAGACTTTATCACTGAGGAGTTGCAGTGGTATTTATGCGTTTACTTTGACTTTGTCTTGTCACTAGCCATTGTCTTACTTATGTGTAATTGTACTTATATATAGTTCAGGTTTTATACCCACAAAAACCCTTGTGATATAATACCACTATACAGGATTGCCTTATTTATGTGGAATTGTACTTATATATAGTTCAGGTTTTATAGCCACACACACACACACGAAAAAACAGTTCTTTGCTTCACTGAGTCTCGGCTAGCCACCCAAACTGTGTCATATTCCTAGAGTCCTGTGCCCACTCAAGTGTTTGCTCACTGGTACTACCTCATTTTATCATAGTGCCTTGTTCTTAGGCAGAACCAGATTTCTGGTAGGAGTTATTTAATGTGTTGATTTTTTTTTTGAGACGGAGTCTCCCTCTGTCACCAGGCTGGAGTGCAGTGGTGCGATCTCAGCTCACTGCAACCTCCACCTCCCAGGTTCGACAATTCTCCTGCCTCAGCCTCCCGATTAGCTGGGACTGCAGGTGCACGCCACCACATCCAGCTAATTTTTGTGTTTTTAGTAGAGGCGGCATTTCGCCATGTTAGCCAGGATGGTCTCGATCTCCTGACCCGCCCACCTCGGCCTCCCAAAGTGCTGGGATTACAGGCATGAGCCACCGTGCCTGGCCAATGTGTTGTTTTTTTAAAGATTACCAATCGAGTGGGATTATAGACTCTTGGATTATTTTACAGATACAAGTCATTTGCCAGGAGTGAGGAAAATTGCTTGACAACTGAGTTATCTCACCATGTTAATTTATGCATTGGAAAACTCTGCTTAGTGGTAGATATTCCAGCAGTCACCATATGCCTATTGGTACTATTTCTCATTCTCTGTCTGATTAATGTCACAAATGTGTAACTTTCCAGTGGTGTTTTCAAGATGACAGTTAAGGAGCCACTAAGGAAGGAAATAACAGCTACATAACTTTTTTCTTTTCAGTAGTTCTTGACAGTCCCCCCTCCTTTTTTTGTTTTTGTTTCTTCATACCCTGCAGCAATCTGATGTACTCTGAAGGGGGTAAATTTGAGACTCTTTGGAAGGTCATGTGTGATAAAGACAGTTCTTCTCTTCCTTTCTCCATTCAGAACTGTTAAAGATAAATCAATGGGAGTGTTTTTTTCTTGTGTAAGATTTATTATATACAAAATATTTTTTAAGTGTGTGAAAACTGATTAAATGATAAAGGCTAAGGTAGCATGTTTAAAGCATGGTTTTCTGCTACTTTTCTACTAATCACTTAACCTCTCTGAGCCTCAGCTTCCTTGTCTACAAATTAGGAATAGTAGTTTTACTAATCATATAGCATAGTTGTGAAAAGGTTAAATGACTCGGTATACTGCCTGGCATTTTGTGCTCAGTTAAGTGTTGGTTCTAACATGAGCAGTAGTGATACTCATAAAGTATCTTTTCATAGTTTTCTTAATGGATAACTTATTTGATAGAAATGTACTGGAGTATTCATACTTACATGTATATCCAGTTCTTGTAGTGTTCATCAGGTTAAACTGGCAATAAGTGTTAATATCTGAAAGCATTAGAAATCAGTGTTACTCTGTGCTTTTTAAATTTCAAGTGTTGTCTCTCAGATTTTATTTTTTTATTTTTTATTTTTTTTGTCTCTCAGATTTTAGAGCTATAGAGAACCTAGAAGATTAACTGGCTAAGGAGTTGCAAACTCAAATATACACAGACCAGGTATAATGCAGTAAAGCCCAGCAGAGATTATTATGATTTAGTAAGATACACCTGTCTGCAGTTTCCACTCAAAATCATTTTGCCAGATTTTGATTATTAAAGAGAAACCAGAAATACAAATTTATTTATTGTTAGCTCTCAGTTTCTAGATGGTCACAAATTATTTTTTAAATTTGGTGCAGGCCAAACAAATCTCTGGCTAGCCAACCTCAGATTTGTATCCTCATTTTAGAGATGTGGAGCTTGAGGTATAAAGGTTGGACGTGTTTCCATGTATTTCCTATAATAGAAATCCATTGATTCTGTAACAAAGGACTCATTTTAAACAATGACCTCCTCTGTTATACCCAGTTGTTATATTACAGGTTATTTTTGGTCAGGAGCTAATGGCTTGGATGAAGGGAATTGTATATAGATGCTAATTTTTAAGAATGTCTAGCCAAGAAAGGGCACTAATAGTTACTATCCATTGAATATTTACTCTGTCTTAGGCATTGTGCCAAGCGCTTTACCTTAGTTAATGCTCACAACAATCTTGAAGCATTATAGTTACCTCTTTTTACATAAGAGGTTGAGAGTAAGGACATACAGATAGTTAAATGCAAAGTTCATGTTGAAACGCAGATGTCTGCCTCTGTAATGCATTCATTTAACTTGCTATACTATACTAGTACTGTATATGTTTTTATAATTATGCATACCTTTTATCATATTGCAAAAATTGAAATTAAACTTTAGAAGAAAATTTCAAAGACCTTATGATATATTACCATTATATAGGGTTGTCTTATTTATATGGAATTAGATTGGCACAACAGCATTTTAATTTTACTCTAAACTAGTCAATACCAGAGACTATATCATATTTTTAAATGTGCATTAGATTCATTCTTTCTCACTCTTTTTTTTTTGTTGTTGTTGTGAATGTAAATGACAAAATGTGCATATTTTATATCTTTTCATCTCCTGAAGTTCTACTGTTCTGTTTAGGTTGATATTTCTATTACTGGTTGAGCATTCCAAATTTCAAAGTCCAAAATTCCAAATGCTCCAGGATGCAAAACTGAGCACCAACATGATTCTCAAAGGAAATACTCATTGGAGCATTTCAGATTTTCAGATTTGGGATGCACAACTGGTAAGTATATATAATGCAACATTTCAAAATGTAAAAACATTTGAAATCTGAAATACTTCTGGTCCTAAGCATTTCAGATAAGGGATATTCGATCTGTATTAGAACATTATGTCCTGAGTCATTCAAGCCAGTTAATGCCAAATTCTGTGGATTCTGTCTCCATAGTAGCTCTTCTATTTTTTCTTTCCTCCTATCTCCCTTTGTTACCTTAATGTAGGCTCTTCAGACTATCAGAGTACTTTTCCTGAAGTATGAACCACACAGAAACTTTTAGCGACCCTTGTTGCCTACTGAATAAAGTTAAACCTTAGCTTGGCATTTTAGGTTCTCTGTTTGATACTAGCTGTCCTTTATAATCTTTTCCCTCTCATTCCCCCTTCATCTCTCTTTATGCTTTAGTCAGTTTATACTATTCACTGCCTCCTCGATGGTGCTCTTCTTGTTGCCACCCTCCAGAACTTGTTCATGTTATGCCTTCCTCCTGGAACGTTATCCTCCGATCCCCAATTTCTGTATTTTGAAAATATATATCATTCAGAAGAGTTATTGTGAAGATTAAGTAAAATAATATATATGAAGTCAATGAAAAATCTGTGTAATACATGTATTAATTTATTCAGTAAGTGGTAGCTATTATTATGATTTGGCTTTCTGTCACCCCAAATAATCCTTAACTTTGGATCATCTTGTCCAGGACCCTGGCTCTTTGCAGTTTTTCTAGGGGATTAATCCCACTGGGACCCATGTTGGCGCCTACCCTTGTACTTCAGGTAACCTTTGAAGCAGACCTGGACCTACTACATCTCTTTCAGATGGGAATAGTTTCTCAGCACAGCTGTATTCAGAAAGACCTTAAGAGTTGAATAGAAAGACTCTAGGCTTTGGAGTTTGATTTATGCCAGATAACCTTACCAGCTATGTAACTGAATTTTTTTTTCTTAATTTATGAAAGGGAATAGTAATGCTTATCTCACAGGGTTGTCGTACCGATCAAATGAAACATTTGAGAAAATATTTAACACTGTCTTGGAGCATCTAACTACTTAATAAATCTTTATCTTCTTTTCTGTCTTATCCCTGTAGTGTCCTCCCCTAGGACATGAAGAAACATACATGCAAACCTTCAGGTATAAATGCATGCACATAATCCTCAAACATCCACATAGGCACATAGGTACATACTCACATATGTACATACTCACATACATGAACAGAAGCATATACATCAGAATCTCTACCTTTGATAGTAGCCTGATATTGGAATTTTTGTCCTAGATAAAATTTATATGGTAGGATTTGAATTTACTGTCTGATGACTGTTACATGGAATCATTGATCTTGTACATAGAGAGTTGGCTGTTTTTCCATTTCTGTTAATCTTAACAGTTTTGATTTGATGGTGTTTATCTTTCGCGCTTTAAACTATTTACTTTTTAACAATATCTAAAAGCTGCTGTTTTCTATAGTTACATGTCTCTCCTCTTTTTTCAGGTATTTATGCAGAAGTTACTTTCTCAATGAAGCCTTCCTTGAGCTACCTCATTTCTTGTGGTGCCCATACTTATTAGTATTAGGCCATACATTTTTACTTATTTATCTTATTTGTTGTCGATCTCTCCATGTGTGTTAGCCTAATAAGGACACAGACTTTTTGTCTGTTTTGCTCACTGTCATATCCTAGCAGCTTAGTAGGTACTCAGTAAATATTTGAATGTGTGAACTTCAGCACTGGTTTATTTTCAAAACGTCTCTGTATTAATACAATAAAGATTCTTTAAGTGCTTTTGGTAACTGTATACAGGAGACTTTTTAAAAAATCTTTGGAGTAGTTGACATAAATCAACTTAAATGAAATGGAAAAAAGAAGTTTACATACAATTTTATGGTTTGTGATGTGGTATTGGAACCTCTTTTTTGCCCATGCCAAAGTTATATACACACGCATTGATACTTATTCAGCAGCTGTTTCATTATATATTTTATGCTAAGGATGGTGCTAAGAATTGGTCCCCTTCCTCAAGAAGTTTATAGTTCAGTGAAGAGACAACCAAACTGCTTTTGCTTGGTTGTGTCTCATCTTTACCACCTCAAAACATTAGAGAGCCCTGAGGCTCAGTCTTCAAATTTCTTTTCTATATTTGCTCCCATTGTGATTTTGTATTGTCTCTTGGTTTTGTAAATTTTATGTACTTACTGATGATTCTCAAATTTTTTCTCTATCTAGGACCCTTTGTCCTTGGACAGATTGTCTGCACTTGGATGTATAAGGCATCTCAGATTTAATATTCAATACAGTCTCTTGAATTTGGTCCCCAACAAGAGGCTGTGTCTCTAGAAATAGCATCTCTATTCATCCAGCTGCTCAGACTAAGACTCTTAGAAGTCATTCTTGACTACTCTATTTCTCACACCCTGCAGTAAATCCTGTTGGCTCCATCTTCAAAATACATGCCCAAATGACCCATTCTCTCCAGACCCGTGTCTGCTCTGCCCCTCCCCTGACCTGCAAGTTTTCGCTCATTGAGATTACTACAGTAGCCTCCTATCTAGTCACCTGCTTCTACCTTTCCCCTCTGCACTGATTTTAAAACAAAAAATCTTGCCATTTTTATGCTGAAAATCCTTCAAAACCTTACCATCTGACACACAAAAAAAGCCTAAGACTTTCCCGTGCCTGTAAGACCTTATTTAACCTGTCTCCTCCCATACCCTTACTCCATCTCTTACTATCTCCTCCCTCTCCCCACTTTGCTTATTGCTTTGTAGCCATACTGCCCTCCTTGCCACTCCTCCAGTGTGCCAAACTATCCTGTCTCAGGGCCTTTGCACATTTTATTCTTTCTGCCTGTCCGTCTCCTTCCCCAGATATCTGTATGGCTTATACCCTCAATGACTTCCTTCAGGTATCTGCTTAAATATTTTAATTGAAAGGCCTTCCCTGCTTCCCTATATAAAATAACATTGACCTCCTCCCTGTCTCTACCCTCTGGGCCTGCCATTCCCTAACTCTCTTAACCTGCTTTGTTTTCTTGAATAGCAATAAATATTTATTTCTTCCATGACAATAAATACTATATGCTTATTTAAGAGTTTGTGGTATTTGTCGTCCCTGTATATATTGTACAACAGTTTCGTATGGGCAGAGACCTGTTTTTATTCACTGTTATATCCCCAGCACTTAGAACAGTGCCTCGTGTGTTTAGGCACTTAGTAAATATTTGTTGAGTGAAATGCAACAAGTACAAAACAATATGATCACTGTAGTAGAGATGCAAGGTACAGTAGAAACACATGGGAAAGAGTGACATGACTACATAGGAATTGAGGAAGACTTTGCAAAGATGCCCTTAAGCAGAGCTCTTTGGAGAGAAAAACAGGTAGGGCATTTCATACAAAGAAAATAGCATTGCAGATACACAGAGGAATGAGAGAACAGTGTGTTCAAGGAACTAAAATATAGTACTGCTACAGCATAATTTGTGGGGGTAAAGATGAACTAGATGAGGTTGAACATGTAGTAGATAGCACCTGATCATGGAGGGATGGAGGGTTTTTGTGCCAGACTAAGGAATTTTAGATTTTGTCCTGTCAAGTGGGCAGTGGTAGATAGTGTGAGCCATTGAAGACTTCTAAGCAAGGGATGTTTTATTTATATTTATTTATACGTGTCTCTGTGTTTGTGTGTGTGTGTGTGTGTACGTATTAAAAAGGTAACTAGCAACATTGTGAAGGTTGAGTATCAAAGCTAAACACAGCATTTTATTTAAGATATGTATGATTTAGGAAGATATGATGTAGAAAAACAATTACTATCACATGTGGGCGAGAGGATATTTCATTTTATATTTGGACAAAATCATGGATGTATAGTGGGAAGATGTTCTTGGCATACTTGCAGTACATTTGTGAAAGAGAAGAAATGCACAATGGAGGATTATTCTGTTTGTCTTTGAAAATCCACCCTTTAAGAAAGAAGACTTTAAAAAATTAGTTAACAGTTATGTTGTAAGTCGTAATGTACACTAGAAAAGTGCTTAAGGAGTACCAGTTATGAATCAACAAGAAAAGATGTTACAGAATAAAATAAATTGTGCTTGAATGTCAACCTCCTTTCTTCGTAGAGGAACAGTTGGTTGTCATTGATATACCTCCTGATCTTGATTTATTGTTGAAGGAAATAGTGACAGTTGTACACACAATCAAATCTATACTGTTTGCTGTGGGAACAATGTATCTGCCTTTGTAGGACAAATGTCTGCTTTTGCATATTGCAGGACTCCGCATGCACAGAATTTTTGAAATGAGGGATGAACTATAAAAACATTTCTTCCTTTCATTCAAATGCAAGTAAAAACCATTTTTATTATTTCAGCTGGCTTGCTTGTGTCATATCTTAGCAATATATTGAATTTCTTGAATACTTTATTCTTATTAATTTAGGGTCAAACTATGATTTGTGAATTTAAGGATAAAATAGAGGCACCCAAAATGGTGCACACGATTTGAATGTTAAGAATTTGGATTTGGCACTCCCAGCCAGGCATGGTAGCTCACGCCTATAATCCCAGCACTTTGGGAGGCCAAGGCAGGCAGATCTCTTGAACCCAGGAGTTCAAGACCAGCCTGGGCAACATGGCAAAACCCTGCCTCTCCATAAAATACAAAGCAAATTAGTCAGGCATGGTGGTATGTGTCTGTAGTCCCAGCTACTCGGGAGGCTGAGGTGACAGAATCACGTGAGTCCAGGAAGGCGAGGCTGCAGTGAGCCATGATTGTGCCACTGCACTCCAGCGTGGGCGACAGAGCGAGACCCTGTCTCAAAAAAAAAAAAAAAAAGAAAAAGAAAAAAGAATTTGGCATTCCAAATTCATGAAAATATGAATACTGTATTATTGAATATATTTTTAAAATTTTATCCAAATGCTACAGAAGATGAAGAAATATTTTGTGAAGGTAGATACAACTATATATGGAGTTAAGATCCATTTCCCAAGTTAAAGGATTCCCTTTTTAAGTGTGCTGCTATTCAACTCACTATCTGATGGAACAATGAAAATAATTTTCAGTGAAAAATTGCTTGGTAATTTCTGTGTCCATGTTTGATCCAGATAGCCACGTGTAGCCGGTGGATTTACCCAACCATGATGACCAGTAACTCAAAGTGGGATTTTCTAATTTGTTGGAAACAAAGGTTAGAAAAGAATTGAGATTAGGTGACAGCATCAACTCTAGTTAGTTTAAGCAGAAAGAGCTTTAATAAAAAAATTTTAAGTGGCTTACAAAATTGTTGACAAGGCTGAAGAAACAGACTCTAGATCTAGAAAAAGCCATGTTGCATCTAGGCCACCAAGAGAGTTATTGCCTCTTTTAGGATCAGAAAGACTTTTGCAGAATTGTGAAACTGTAACTTTTAGATGCCTGTCTTAGAACCTTACCACCTCTGCCATGATCAGGAGTCTACTACTGTTAGGAAATAGCCATTAGCAAGCAGCCACCTTCCTCAGTAAGCCGTTGTTGTTGCTGGCCCTAGAGCCAAGCCCTGCCTACCACAACCTGTACTGCAGAATGGATGCCTTGTGCCTTTCTTAATATTCATGAAATCTGTGACTGAATACTAGGACTTCAACAAATACTGCTGTGAACATGAACATCTCCATGACAATGTTTGCTAGTAAAACAACCCAAACTCAACCTCCCTTCTCTTCTGTCCTTGAAATTTCTAGTGAGTGCATCTGGTTGGTGGAACTTAAATCACATTTACAACTGTAGCCACAAGAGAGGCTGGGAAATGTATTTTTTAACTTTCTCTTCTCTGCAGCACAGGAAGACATACACTGAAGGAGGTTGAAATGGATGTGAACAGTAATCTACCATATTTACTGCAGGTTTAGAACCTGGTTCTCCTTAAGGCTGGCTGTCATTAAACGGGCTATAGATAAGTTGAGAAAGTTTATAAATAATACCGTCAAACAATGTTGAGAAACTCATTTGTTTCTTTGTATATTTTTATTGTTTTATAATGACTACATTAAAAAAAAAACTAGAATTTGTCCTTCACCTCTATGATGAATTAAGTGGTCTGTGGATACCGAAAGTTTCCTCACGTTTAAGATGTGGTTAGTGGATAAAAAGACCAAAAGAGGGAGTATAAGAAAAACCCTCATACAAGGTTACCTGAGCTGAGGAAAGGTTAGTGTTGTCAAATAATGAAGAGTGGTCAAATAAGGTGGGACTGAAAAGCAGTGTTACGATTTGGGCACTTAATATTAGTGGTTTTTTGGGTTTTTTTTTTCTTTCTTTACTATTGAGACAGGGTCTTGCTCTTTTGTCCCAGGCTGGAGTGCAGTGGCAGCTCACTGCAACTCCCATCCCCTGGGCTCAAGCCATCCTCACACCTCAGCCTCCCAAGTAGCTGGGACCACAGGCATGCACCACCACGCCTGGCTAATTTTTTGTATTTTTAGTAGAGATGAGATCTCACCATGTTGCCAAGGCTGGTTTCAAAATCCTGTTCTCAAGCAGTTTGCCCACCTTGGCCTCCCAAAGTGTTGGGATTACAGGCATGACCACTGCGCCCAGCCTGTTAGTGTTCTTCAAGGTTCTAAACAAGAAGTAGAGAAGTAGGATAAGAGGGCAAGTTGCAGGTTTAGGCTGTGAGTTGAAGGGAGCACTTGAAAGGAGAGATTATAGAATAAGTTTTCAAGAAATTTGGCAATGGATTTTTTTTTTTTTTGGTCCAAGGCGCATGCTCATTTATATACCAGAATTGGCTAGAGTTCATGAGGCCCTGAACAAATATCACACACAAGCAAGTACAGTCTTCCAAAGTTCTTCACTTTTGTCTTTTTGTGTAGCTTGATGTAAAGTGTGGCTCTTAACATATTCTCTTTATGCTTAGAGATATAATAGGCACAATATTACTTTTATTATATCTGTAACCATTACTTCCTTTTTGATTATGTTGTTTATAAAGTGCCAATTAATCACTACTATAGTTTGGAGTTACAGTATCTGACTTAACATATTTGTACAATTGATTGTTGAGCCGGGCATTGATTAGATGAATTAACTTTCAACAAAGTTTATTTGAACTTCAGTCATTGGTGGATATTTAAGAAGTACAGATTATGATAACTGCTTTTATAGGAAAGGATGCTTGGTACATTTTTTCATATGACATAGATCTTACATTTTTATTTATTCTGGATAAATATCTGATAATGTCAGGTTCATTGGATTCTTCAAAATAACCTCATTGTCTCTCTCTTAAGAGGGAGAGGGAAGTAGAATATGTGTAAATTTATATAATGTTGTTTTCTCAAAACTGCACCTATGTGAATGAAACAGAAACATGTTCAGGGACAGTTAGTGTTTCAAATTCTCCCAATTAGATATGGAGCATATTTATTATGGAGCATATTTATTAAGTAGAAAATTATTATGGTCTAATTCCAAATTTTTTATATTTTAGGTCCTATATTGCGACCTAGTTGGACTTTCGTTTAAAAAAAAGTCTAAATTATGCAGAAGGGAGACGTCAAAGAAAAAGGAGAGACTGAAGAACAAGAAGGCTGAAAGTAATGAAAATAGAATTGCTAGACAGTGTCCTGGAGGGACAAGAGGGAATGGGGTAGAGAGAGCACAGGTAAATGGATGAGCTTTGGATGAGAAGAGGAATAACTAGTCTTTGGAGGAAGAGGAAAATGGATGAATACCGGTTCAGATATAGATTATTTGTCTTAGTGACCTGGTTTATTTGTAAGGACTAACCCATTTTAGGCAGTTAATTAAATTAATCATTTAAAAGGTGAGATTCCTCAATTCTGACTTGAGATGGACCTAAATTTGTTTATTCTGTTTAAGTAGTAACTTTATTTTTTTAGTGACAGATTTAAGAAGTATCTTACTGGTACTATTCCATTGGTTTTCTTATTTCAATTTTATAAATAATGTGTTTACTGAGTTTTTTTATAGGTGCTTCTTAGGTTTCTAATAGACTTCTCTAAAATATATTGGTTTAAATGGCCTTTAAAGTTGATAAGCAGAAAGATACTTGAGTTTATCTAGTCCAAACCTTCATCAGGAAAGCTGTGATTGAGTGATTTGTCTGAAGTCATACAGCCACTTAGTAGCAGAGTAAGAGAGGAATATTGGTTTTATGGTTCTTGGGGTAATGCTGTTTCCCTTATGCCAACTGATTGCATAAGGGAACTAGTGTACTGATTTCAGCGCCCATACTTGTGTATGTCCTTTGAGCTAGAGTATCAAAGGACTTCAAAACTTCAAAACTAGACTTTTTAGGTTATTTAATATTCCTTCAACAAATGTTTCTCAGCTGTCTACCGTATGACAGTCACTGTTTAAGATCTTGAAGATCAACAAGTTCTTGGGCCTCAAGAATGAGGGAACCAAAAAATAAACACTGAATTAAAAATGAACAGAAATTTAGATAATCATCAGTGCTATCAAAGAAACAAAATGGAGAAATAGAATATGGTAGCAGAACTATGTGCTTTAGATAGAATAGTCAAGGAAGATTTCTCTGAGTTAGTGATATTTGAGCTGAGACTGAATGATAAGGCACTCGCCATTGAAGATATCTAGGAGTGTAGCATTCCAGACAAAAGCCCTAAACTTGAACATGGTGTGGCACAGTTGATGAATGAAAAAAACTAAACACTGACCGGGGTTGGGGGAATGGAAGGAGAAGAGATCAGAGAGACCATTAAGTAGGGCTTTGTAGACTGTGGTATAGAAAGATAATTTTATTCTAAGTGAAATGGTGTGGTATTGGAGGAGGAGAGTGAGTGAGTAACCTAAAGAATATGTTTCAAATATCACACTGCTTGATGGAGAATGGATTGTAGGAGGGCCAAAAGTGGAAGCAGGGGCACCAGTTAGGCAACTCTCATGTTTGTTCGAATAAAAGATTGTGGTGGCTTGGACTCGGTGATTCTGGTCAAGGCAAAGAGAACTGGTTGGATTTGGGATTTATTTTGGAGGTCTGCTGGATTTGCTAAGAGACTGGGTATGGGAGTTTGGGGAAATAGAGGATGGTGAGAGTAAGAGAGAAAAATGGTAGACTGGGGAAAGGGCACATCTTGGGGAAAGAAATCAGATGGTTTTTCTGGGACTTGTTAAATTTGAAATGCCTACTGGATATCCAAGGAGACAGTTAAATAGTCACATCTAGTGTTTGTTGAGGAGAGGTTAGACCTGGTGTTGCAGATCTGGGAGGCGTTCGCATTAACACCATATACTGCAGAGTTGGCAAAGAGAAGGAAGAGAAGGTGGTTTGGAATTGAGGCATTGCATGTTTAGAGGTAGCCAGGGGGAGAAGTCAGCAGAGAGCCA
Source organism: Homo sapiens (assembly GCF_000001405.40). Classification (NCBI taxonomy): domain Eukaryota; kingdom Metazoa; phylum Chordata; class Mammalia; order Primates; family Hominidae; genus Homo; species Homo sapiens. Next base: position 141,511,451 of record NC_000003.12, read on the forward strand.
GTGACGTAGGAGAAAAGTCAGAAATACTGTGTTGTGGAAGCCAAGAGAAGAGAGCATTTTAAAGAGGGATATTTATGTTCACTTGGGTTAAATCATGCTGCCAGGCCGGGTATGATGAAAACAGAGAAGTGACCGTTGATTTGGCAATGTGGAAGGCATTAGTGTCCTCAGCTAGAGCAGTTTTAGTGGCATGGTGGGGTCAGAAGCTGATTGGAGAGGGTTGAAGAATGAATGGAAGGTAAGAAGAGACAACGACTAGAGATGATGCTTTTAAGAAGTTTTTTTTCCTTTTCTTTTTGTGTGTTTTTTTAAGTTGAGAAATTCCCATCATCGTTTATATGCTGATGGGAATGATCGCTAGAGAGGAAAATTAATGGTGATTTGGGAAAGAAAGATTAATTGTGGAGTAAAGTCCTTGAGGTAGCACTGGTGGAATGGGATAGAGAGCACAAGTAGAGGGATTACCCTTTCATAGGAGTGGGGATGCAATTACGTAATATAAAAAAGGGACCTCAAGCCACTTTACACACAGCCCCTCCCTTCAGTCTTAACAATCTCCTTTAGACCAGCTTGATCTTTCTGTAATCACTAGTGTTTTTTTTTTTTTCTGTGCCACATTAATATGTTCTTTCAGATTGAAGTCATCCTATATAAGGCTTAGTATGAAGCAGTTGATGATATTTAATAACAATTTTAAATTTTATGCCAACAGGTGAAGCAAAAAATTTATTGCCATATCTTGGACCCCACAAAATGAGAGATTGTTTCTGTACCATAAATTTGGACCAGGAAGAAGTTTATCGTACCCAAGTTGTGGAAAAATCTTTAAGGTTGGTAGAAAAAATTGGTAAATTATAATTTTTACTATATAGATTGGTAAATATTATGCATTTTCCAGATTATAATAATCAAGAAGACAAGACAGAAACAGTGCTTGCTTTCATGTGGCTTTTCATTGCCTCAAAATGTATCTTCCTCTTAATTGTTCCTAATTTTATCTTTGTTTTCTGGAGAAAAGTTTTTTCACATGACAGGCTAAATATTGCCTATTCGTTTGAACTTTCCTCAAAGTACATCTTTATTTTATTTATCTAAAGAATAAGTTACTTAAAGTTCATAGAAGTTGCTTAACTTAGTAGTGCATTATCAGGGAATGAATTCTCAGATAGATGTCTCATCTTTGAAAGTGTAATTGCCCTTTGAGAGTATCATATTAAATTCTAATTCATAAAACTGGAATATACCACCTCTGCACCGTAGCAATGTGAACATAATTCTAGTGCAGAGTTGTGCTGAGAATCTTGTTCAGAGACAAAAGTCAAAATAAGGAGGCCGGGCGTGGTGGCTCACGCTTGTAATCCCAGCACTTTGGGAGGCAGACGCGGGCAGATCACTTGAGGTCAGAATTTCGAGACCAGCTTGGGCAACATGGTGAAACCCCGTCTCTACGAAAAATACAAAAATTAGTTGGGCGTGGTGCTGGGTGTCTGTAATCTCAGCTACTTGGGAGGCTGAGGCAGGAGAATCGCTTGAACCCAGGGGTCGGAGGTTGCAGTGAGCCAAGATTATGCCATTGGACTCTAGCCTGGGCAACAAGAGTGAAACTCCATCTCAGAAAAAAAAAAAAAAACAAAAAAACGAAAAACAGGGTGTGGGGTATTATTGGAATGAGCATGTGGTGGATGAAATATTGAATGCCATGCCTTATCTGAATCATATTTTAGGTCAGTTGTATTTTAGGGATCTGTTTTTTTTTTTATGCCTTTAAAAAAATATCTTTCTTTTACATTTGCCTTTGAAGTTTCCCTTTATGTCTTTATTTTCATTTTTTATAATTTTAAATATCTATTGAATTCTTCTTAGAAAAGGTATTGTATAAAACTGAAAATACTTTAGTAGCCCAAAAACATTTCAAGGAGTAAACTTGAAATCTTTAGTCTTAATTCTCATATTGTTCTTATTTGGCTTTAGAATGTACTTTAAACATAATATTTGAATGTGGATGTGATATATAAAGGAAATTCTGCATTTATAATTGTTTAGAAAATAATGCAAAGAGATACATACCTACACATGTCTTGTCTTTCATATCATGTTTTCATATCATATTTGACTAATAGTTCTTTTTGCATTGATTTCTATGTTGAAATTAATTAGAAGGCTCTAGTTACTTTGTGAGACCAACTTTTAAAAGTTTAGTTTGGTTACATTTGAAGGGAAAAATATAGTGACAAAAGTTCACCAGGCATTTTAACAACTAAAAAGCTGAACCAACTGTTTTCTAGACAAGATCAGATATGACTTCTGTAGGAGTATTTTACTTTATATTTCAGCTTCTCATTTAGTTATGACATCATAAAGATACTGCATTTCATAGCGATATTTCTAGAGAATCTTTTTGTTCTTTAAACTTTCTCAGGAAAGAGGTACACTTGACAAAAGAAACTATCATTTCAGAGATTCGCGTCTTCATAGAAGAATCATAGAAGGATAAATATATCAAAATGGCATTCTTAAAATGAACTTATAAAAATAAGCTTTGCAACATGAGGATGGGCAAAGATTTCTTGCTTTGAATGCAAGAAGCACCACTAATTATAAAAGATGAAAATTGGTAAATTAGATTTTATCAAACTTAGAGGCTCCTTTTCTTTAAAAGACACTGTCAAGAAAATTAAATGGCAAGCCACACCTGGGAGAAAGTATTCTGACAAAAGACTTGTATCCAGAATTTATTTAAAAACAAAAACCCTGATAACTCAAAAGAAGACCGATGGCCATTTAAAATATGGGGAGAATACTTAAACAGATATTTCAGAAAAGATATGGCCAAGAGCACATGAAAAGGTATTGGACATTGTTAGTCATCAGGAAATCAATTTAAAACCATTTTTGTCACTATAGATTCTAGAACATAATCTGCAGTGATAGAAATCATATCACTGGTTGCCTGTAAGAATATGGTGGGAGTGATTGCAGAGTCACAAGGGAACTTTCTGGGGAGATAAAAATGTTTTGTATCTTGATTATAAGGTAGAGATTACATAGGTGTATACATTTATCATGTTACATTCACTAGAATAGCTAAAGTTAAAGGCTGTCAGTACCAAGATGTGGAACAACTGGAGCATTGCTGTTAGGGGTGTAAAACAGTACAACCACTTTGAAAACAGTTTGACAGTTTCTTGTAAATTACACATTCACCTGCCTTTTAACTCAGCAGTTGCATTCTCAGTAATCAAAAGCATGTGTCTAGAAAAAGCTTTATATAAGAATGTTCATAGCAGCTTTACTTTTGATAGCCCAAACTGGAAACAACTCAAATAACATCACTAGGCGAATGGATTTGGAATGCAATGGAATACTATGCAGCAATTAAAACAGTTGAACTACTATGTACACAACAACATCGAAAAAATCTCATAGACATTAAGCTGAATGAACAAAGCTGGACATGAGTACATACTATATGATTCTATTTATGTGAGATTTTAGGATAGATGTATAGTGATAGAAAACACATCACAGGTTGGGGCAGGTATGATGGGGTAACTGAAGGAGAGGCATAAGAGAACTTTCTGGGGAGATAGCAGTGTCCTTTATTTTGATTGGGGTGGAAGCTACACAGTTGTATAAATTTATCAGAAGTCATCAACCTCTATACTTTAAATTGGATTTTTATTGTTTGTAACTTATAGCTCAATAAAACTGATTTAAAAATACCTTGTTTTAATTTTTTAAAAATATTTTTTAAAGTTGATTTTAAAATTGCATATTTTAATTTTTTAAAAATAGCTTAATTTAAAAAAAAATTTTGAAGTAGCCTTTCACATAACATTGGCTGTTTTAGGTATTATGTATTGTAAATAATACAGCTTTACACATTTCTAAGACAAGGATGGTATGAATGACACTATCCTCACCTCTCAAATGGTCCACCTTAGGTGAGCATGACCCCAGGCAGTTACTGTATCTTCTATCCACAGGACTGCTGAAAAGCTATTTGTTCAGAACTCATACTGGCAACTTAGATCCCTTCAGTGTTCAGCTTGGTTTGTATAGAACTTAGTTGAAATTTAGCATTGAGAATTATTTTGGGGCTTTTCAAATTCTTTTCAATGGCATTTTAGTCCATAATTTCATTAACTTTATTGAAAGTGATATTATTTGGCCAGGAACATTAGCTCACTCCTGTAATCCCAGTACTTTGGGAGGCTGAGGCGGGTGGATTGCAAGGTCAAGAGATTGAGACCATCCTGGCCAACATGGTGAAACCCCATCTCTACTAAAAATACAAAAATTAGCTGGGCGTGGTGGCATGTGCCTGTAGTCCCAGCTACTCGGGAGGCTGAGGCAGGAGAATCGCTTGAACCTGGGAGCTGGAGGTTGTGGTGAGCTGAGATCACGCCACTGGACTCCAGCCTGGCAACAGAGCAAGACTCTGTCTCAAAAAAAAAAAAAAAAAGTGATATTATCATTCTCAGCAAACTATCGCAAAGACAAAAAAACCAAACACCACATGTTCTCACTCATAGGTGGGAACTGAACAATGAGAACACTTGGACACAGGAAGGGGAGCATCACACACTGGGGCCTGTTGTGGGGTGGGGGGAGGGGGGAGGGATAGCATTAGGAGATATACCTAATGTAAATGATGAGTTAATGGGCGCAGCACACCAACATGGCACATGTATACATATGTAACAAAGCTGCACGTTGTGCACATGTACCCTAGAACTTAAAGTATAATAAAATATATATATATTAAAAAAAGAAAGTGATATTATTTGAGTATTTATACAATTATTATTGAAAGTGATATTAATTATTATTTATTTTATATTATTTGAAGTAATGAGCTTTCCTTTTCTTTCTAGCCCATTTTTCAGTGAAGAATTTTACTTTGAGATTCCAAGAACTTTCCAGTATTTGTCTTTCTATGTTTATGATAAGAATGTTTTACAAAGAGATCTCCGTATAGGTATGTACTATTCATAATTATCTTTAATCACAATGTTAATGTTTATATTCATTCGTTCTCTTAGTATAGTTTTGAAAATTGCAGAATAATATATGCTCAACATCTCTGATCTTTTTCTGTAGACTACATGTTCATTTGTGAAATTTCATTTTTAATTTGTATGTTCAGCTTATATGACACTTTCTCAGGGAGGCCTTTGCAGCTCCCCTAGTCACTATGTCATATGTTTTTATAATTCCTGATGGTTCCCTTTCCATGGTACTCATTATGCTTATTCATTAGTTGGCTGTTTCATATCTAGGTTCTCTAGTTAAATGTGAAATTTAAAAGGGCAGGGACTCTTTTTTTGTTTTTTTTTTTGACACAGAATCTTGCTCTATCTCCCAGGCTGGACTGCAGTGGTGCGATCTTGGCTCACTGCAACCTCTACTTCCCAGGTTAAGCGATTTCTCCTGTCTCAGCCTCCTGAGTAGCTGGGATTACAGGCGTGTGCCACCACGCCTAGCCAATTTTTGTATTTTTAGTAGAAACAGGGTTTCACCATGTTGGCCAGGCTGATCTTAAACTCCTGCAGGAAATCCACCTGCCTCGGCCTCCCAGAGTGTTAGGATTACAGGCATGAGCCACCACGCCTGGCCGGGCAGGGACTCTTTCTTACGGAGCACCTTACACTTAGTAAGTGTTGGGTAAGTATTTGTTTAGTGGTTCAAATAATGTTTTTATAGAAAGATTGCAGTTTTGATCCTTCCAAAGAACATCTGTTGTTGAGGTTTTTCTAATAGAAGTAATAATTCACTTTAATCTATTTATACATTTTCTTCCTGTCTGTATTAGTGACTGTATTAGTCCATTCTCACACTGCCATAAAGACATACCTGAGACTGGGTAATTTATAAAGAATATAGGTTTATTGGCTCACAGTTTTTCAGGCTGTACAGGCTTCTGCTTCTGGAAGGCCTCAGGAAACCTACATGAGTGAAAGGCAAAGGGGAAGCAAGCACATCTTCACATGGCTGGCAGGAGAGAGGAGAGTTGGGATGTGCTACACACTTTTACAATAACCAGATCTCATGAGAACTCACTGTCATGAGAGCAGCAAGGGGATGTCTGCCCCCATGATTCAGTCACCTTATGCCAGGCCCCTCCTCCAACAGTGGGATTACAGTTTGCCATGACATTTTCGTGGGGACACAGAGTCAAACCATATCGGTGACCAATAAATATATTTCTCTTTTTTTTTGAGACGGAGTGTCACTCTGTCGCCCAGGCTGGAGTTCAGTGGCGCGATCTCAGCTCACTGCAAGCTCCGCCTCCTGGGTTCACGCCATTCTCCTGCCACAGCCTCCCGAATAGCTGGGACTACAGGCTCCCACCACCACGCCCGACTAATTTTTTTTGTATTTTTAGTAGAGACAGGGTTTCACCATGTTAGCCAGGATGGTCTCGATCTCCTGACCTCGTGATCTGCCCACCTCGGCCTCCCAAAGTGCTGGGATTACAGGCGTCAGCCACTGCTCCCGGCCAATAAATATATTTCTTAAATAATTGTCAGACTAGAGTGTGATCTGTGGGCATGAACTAGAACAGAGCTAACTGGCCACATATGTGTCACATTCCTGATCTTTGCACCACTATCTTTGTATTTTAATCATAGGCAGAGGTCTAATTTACATTTATTCTCTTTCTTTTTAGTATCCTAAATTTCATCTCCCTTTCCTTTTTTATTTGAAATATGGTCAAGTCTCCTACAGCTTAAAAAATTAAGCATTATTTGGCCAGGTGCAGTGGCTCATGCCTGTAATCCTAGCACTTTGGGAGGCCGAGGTGGGCAGATCACGAGGTCAGGAGTTCAAGACCAGCCTGGCCAATGTGGTGAAACTGTCTCTACTAAAAATACAAAAATTAGCCTGGAGCGGCGGTGCGCACCTGTAGTCCCAGCTACTCAGGAGGCTGAGGCAGAAGAATCGCTTGAATCCGGGAGGCAGAGGTTGCAGTGAGCTGAGGTTGTGCCACTGTGCTCCAGCCTCGGCAACAGAGCAAGACACCATCTCAAAAAAAAAAAAAAAAAAAAAAAAAAAAAAAAAAAATTAAGCGTTGTCTTTGTCCTCTTAACTAACTTCTGATGTTTCTCTGTGTTTGATATTGAACTCCTTAACAAATGGTCTGTGTCAGTCCTCTGCTTGCTACTTATTTCTTTTAAAATCTCTATAATCTGGCTTCTATGTTTTTTTGATAAACCTTTCTTGAAATTTGCCAACATCATTTTAATCAAATAACCTTTAAAACAATATGTTTTTCTTAATTATAAAACTGTTATATGTTCTTAGTATTTGGTAGTGATTCTCTACAGAAATAACTACAGTTAATAATTTGGTGTATTTCTTCCATTCTTTATTTCATACATTTGTATTACTACATTTTATTCAGATTTTTTCCTTTTCAATTAATACCATAGTGATCCTTTCCCCATATCATTAATATTTGTTAAAACTATTTGTTACATAATATCCTTTATAGAAAAGTGTTTTATTTTAACCACATCCTTGTTGGTGAACATTTACATTTCCAAATTTTGGGCATCCTCAATGGTGTTGCTATGAACAAATGTCCTTTGGCATAAATTTTTGCATGTCTCTTTTTCCCCAGGATAAATTCCTAGAAGTGAAAATACTGAGTCAAGGGGTATGAACATTTTTATGATTTCCTCTGTAAATTTCTGTATTGCCCCTCTGCCCCACAGAGTATCATACTAATATGGACGACATAAATGTTGTACTAATTTACATTTCCTCAAAGATGTCATGGGCATAACCATTTTACCACCCCCTGGCCATTCTTGCATATTATCATTGAAAAAAATTTGCCAATATGATAGGTGAAAAATAACACATTATTATTTTAATGTGTGTTTTCTGATTTTGAAGGAATTTGAGGAATTTTTCATATGTTTATTGGTATTTACATTTTTCTTCTGTGAATTGATTGCTCATTCCTTTGCCTATTTTTCTTTTGGTTGGAGTTCTAACATTTATCCTTAAGCCTTCTTATTTTTAGATATGTTAACTTTTGTCAGCTATATACATACCAAATACTCTGTCTCACAAAAGGCATTTTCTTAGTTTTTATTGTTATCTGCCTCTGTGTCACATTTCACTCTCTTGATTGCTTATTCGGTTTGCTGAAAGTGAAAGAAAAGACATTTTCATGGTGGTGTATTTTTTTAGATGTGTTTCTCCCTCTGATGCCTTCTTATATGCAGACTCTTCTGTTTGTAGCAAACTGTTGATTATAGATCACCCTTGAAGCTGTATCCTCAATTCAGTTTAACATTTACCAAACACTTCTCCGTGGCACACAAAGGTTGGGACTTTTAAGATGAGTAAGACTCGTTGCTCATCAGAGAGGCAGACTTCTAGTCTAATACTAATATATTAATACTAATATATTAGGGTCTGTGCTGGAGATATGAACAGAATACTTAGAATAGTAGGGAGAACAGCTCATTTTATTTGGTAGGGGAATAACAGAGACTACATAGGTAGGAAAAAGAAGAACAATTTCTTTTCTTTTTCTTTTTCTCTTTTTTTTTTTTTTTTTTTTGAGATGGAGTCTTGCTCTGTTGCCCAGGCTGGAGTGCAGTGACATGATCTCCGTTCACTGCAACCTCCACCTCCTGGGTTCAAGCGATTCTCCTGCCTTAGCCTCCAAGTAGCTGGGATTACAGGCATGCAACACCACACCCAGCTAATTTTTGTATTTTTAGTAGAGACAGGGTTTCACCATGTCAGCCAGGCTGGTCTCGAACTCCTGACCTCGTGATCTGCCTGCCTTGGCCTCCCAAAGTGCTGGGATTACAGGTATGAGCCACCACGCCCCACCAGGAAGAACAGTTTCAAGGTGACAGGGATTGGCAGAAGCAGAGGGGGAAGAATGAATCATGTTTGTGGTGTACCTGCTGGAGGAGGGTGATAGAAGCTGAGGATATAAATTGGGACCAAACTGATGAACCCTAGAAACCATTCTTAATTCCAAAAGCTAAGGAACTTGGACTTTATTCTGTAGACAGTGGTTTTGAACCTTTTGAGAATGTATGTAACTATATATAACTGGAGTGTGTGTGTGTGTGTGTTATAATATACATGCATTTGTACTGCTAGAAACAGAAGAATCTGCATATTGTATTATATGATATACAGTTATATATAGTTACATACACATATATATATGCACACACATATATACACATACACTTATATACACAGATATATATACACACACAGTTATATACACACGCAGATATTATATATTCTAATTTAAATATGTAATCTATATACATCGAGTTTGTAGTACTGTTGTAGGCCATAAGAAGTTGTTGATTTGGAATAGGGAGCGGTTAGAGGCAGGAAGACCAACAGGTATGCTGTTTTCAAATGAAATGAGTTAGGGCAGTTGCAGTGGAAATACAGATGAGGGAATGTACTTCAGGGGTTTCAAATAGGGCATAGGGACCAAGATGAACAGGAGATGTGAAAAGGAGAAGAGTTTAAAATGGTCTTGTTTGTATGGCTGTCATTAAATTAGATAAAGAACACAGCAAGAACATTCACTTTTGAGTGAGAAGGGGAGAGGATGACTTTGGTTTCAAACAAGTTAAACTTAGTATTACCGGGGTACATCTTAGTGGACATGTTGGTTGACAGTTGGAAATATAGATCTGAAGCTTAGAGAAAAGAGCTAGAGATGTAGATTTGAGAGTTATTAGCATTAAGTGATAGGTGAAGCCTGTGTTGGAATGAACGAAATTACCTGGGAGTGGATAAGGAGGGTTTCAGGGAAGAAGAGACTTGAAGATAGATAAGGCATATCAGGAAGTAGAAAGAAAGATGGGAGAGATTAATGTCAGAGAAGATAAGGAAACCTTTTAATGTCAGCAACTAGAGAAAGGTGGAGTCAGATAAGGATTGATAGAGGCTATTGGTAGTTATTAATAACCTTTGAGAGAATGTATAACTTCGGCCATCATACCTTAAGAAAAATGTTTAGTAATTTTCGTCTCTTTACATGTTATAATCTTAAGGTAATATTTCTTGAAAAGGCCTTTAAGGCCTTTTAAATAGCAGCATAAAGTTGAGGTTTATGATTTCCAGAAGTTGCCTTTGTTTTTTGTTTATTTTGAAAGTAAAAATCAACTTTAGGTAAAATAATTTCTAGTAAAAATCAGTTGTTTAGGGAGTGGTGTCAGAAAGCTGTAACTGTTGGTGTGATAACTTTTTCTTAAATGTTTATTCTTTCTAAGGGATAAAATTTATACATTTAACAGAAAATTCTTTTTCCTTTTGCATATAGAGTTATTATTAAACACACTACATACCCTTTAAGGTTGGAAGTGGTTGATGGTTTTACTTATACATTTTTAACATTTTTCTAGTTCAGTATCATTTTCTTTTGTCATTAACACACAGGTTTTTTTTTTTTTTAATTTTGAGCTATTGGAAGTTGAGTTTTCTTAATTTATAATTTGGAGCCACTCAATTGTAGATTAAACACTGACACAGCATTTTCTGGAAATGAAATTTGAGCTAGAATTTAGAGAATCATCTTTTAAACTTAAGATCTTAGATTCAGTACAAGTTGAGCATAGATAGATTTTAGGGGTTTTTTATTTTTAATTACATGAGTAATGTATGGATTTTTTTTTTGTCATTCATTTATTTCACATTTATTCTCATTGTACCAGGCAAAGAGAGGAAGGAGTCATGCACCAACACACACAGATTGTGCTGTTTTTCAGTCTTTCTGATAGAATCAGGATCCAGATTCTAACTGTCTTCTAAATCTGGATCAGTCAGTAGAGATGGACCACTGTGGTGGAGGGCCCGGGGCTGCTGAGAGAAAGGCAGGATACATCTGTAGAACTGACCATGGCAGGTTCATGTTCCAGGGCTCCCATCTGGGTACCTGAGCATTTTCCATATAGATCACAGGTGTTGGGGCCCACATCGGCTCCTGAAAGTCTCCGGGAATGCCATAGGCGTGGGGCTGGTGCTCGGGAGGTGCAAGGTCAGCCACATCAGCACAGGGAGGACCTGAGAAGACGCTGATCTTCCATCTGTATCCCAGAATCCTGTGCAGGGCCTCTCCATAAGGACATTGCAAGGGGTGGCACCTTGGCCTCTGGTTGGCCTCATGAATAGTGAAGTATAAGTCCTGCAAGCTTATCAGCATCTGGAGACATTCCTGCCAGCTCTTCTTTATACCTCTGTGCTTGAGATGCGGGGCAACTGCTTTTGATACTGTGTGATACTTCTTCACCCCGTACACTTCACGCTCAAGAAATTCCCATTCTTGCAGGAAACTCTGGACTTCCTGGCTACTCCATGGTTTAATTAACTGGACTGAGGGCTTTTCTGGTCCCTGGACTGCTTTTTTTCTGCTTCATTTTCAGGATGTTTCTGGTAGTTTCAGTCTGAAGTATCACTTTCTCCATTTTTATTCCTGAGTTTTCTTCTGGGATGATTCTCACTGAGTCTGCAGGGCCTGTTCCTGGGTTGGCGGAACACTGGCACTTACTCTGCTCTAATGGAACCTAGGAGAGTCAGAAGGAGCCTGAGTGTGGAAATGTGTTTGCTTCTCTCTGCTTCTTATGTATGGATATTTTTATTTTTGTAAAAAAATTTTAAATTATGGCATAGATAATCCCATTTTTTTTTTTTTTGAGACGAAGACTTGCCCTGTTGTCCAGGCTGGAGTGCGTTGGCATGATCTCGGCTCACTGCAACCTCCGCCTCCTGGTTTTAAGCAATTCTGCCTCAGCCTCCTGAGTAGCTGGGATTACAAATACCCACCCCCACACCTGGCTAATTTTTATATTTTTAGTAGAGACGAGGTTTCGCCATTTGGCCAGGCTGGTCTCAAACTCTTATCCACCTGCCTTAGCCTCCCAAAGTGCTGGAATTGCAGGCGTGAGCCACCGTGCCCAGCCTAAATTACTTTTGACCACTGCCTCCTCCCAGTCCTCTTCCCAGAGGTAATAATTGTTATTAATTCGGGGCATAATTGTTTATATTAGGCATCTTTATATGCTAGGAACTGTTAGTACAAAATGAGAGAAAAAGAAAAACTTTAAGCATATATTTTTATTTCCAATGAGGATTCTAATAATATTGAAATTAAAACATAAATGTTTTACCTCCTATTATGTATTTTTTAGTTATTTTGTTATTCAAGAGCTCAAACAAGTAAACTATGACTATTTTTCTAGAGCTCAAACAAGTAAACTGACTATCTTAGTAGACTCTGGCAGTTCTCCCCGACCCCTCACTCCACCTTGGTTCAGAACCATATAGAAATGAAAGGATTTTACTAGAATGTCAGAGACCTGAATACCAGTCATGACTATGTCACTATCTATCTATGTGATCTTCATTGAGTCATTTTCTTAGGCCTGGTTCATCCATAAAATAAGATTGGGTTTAAAATTGCTAAGGTCTTTTCCAACACTTTGAATTGTAATTTCTGCTGACATTTAGCTTTTAAGCAAAATTTACTGTGTATAAATTGCTTATGGCTACACTTTGGTGTCTGTTTGCACAGGGACTATATCAGTTATCTACTGCTATGTAAGTACTCCAATACTTACTGGCTTAATACAGCAACCGTACATTTACTCATGATCCTATTGTTTGTCAGTTTGAGCTGAACCTAGCTGAGTGGCTCGGCTGGTCTCGCCTGGGGCTGATGTGCAGTTATCTGGGAGATTGGGGCTGGCTGGTCTGATTCATATGTCTGATGGTTGGTGCTGACTATTAGCTGGACCTTCCTCACCACATGGTCTCCTGATTGGTTCTAAGAAGGCAAGCCCTAATGCAAAGGTGTGTCACATTTGCTGATGTCCCATTGGTAAAAGCAAGTCACATAATCCAAGAGTCAGTGCTATAGGAGACCACACAATGGTGTAGATAACCAGGAGTTATGGAGGCCATTAATATACCAGTTTACCACAAAGACCAAAATATGTCTATCGAAACCTCGTACACTAAGGCTTCGAAGTGCTGCCATTGTCTCTAAATTGCTGCTGTTGACTGTTTGCCAGGATTTGTTCAGTCCTCTGGTCCTGTTTCATTTTTCTATAGACAGTAATATTTGTCACTGTTTTTGTTTGTTTGTTTTTTTGAGATGGAGTCTTGCTCTGTCGCCCAGGCTGGAGTGCAGTGGCGTGGCATGATTTCATCTTACTGCAACCTCTGCCTCCTGGGTTCAAGCAATTCTCTTGTCTCAGCCTCCCGAGTAGCTGGGACTACAGGCGCACACTGCCACGCTCGGCTAATTTTTTGTATTTTAGTAGAGATGGGGTTTCACCGTGTTGCCCAGGCTAGTCTCAAACTCCTGAGCTCAGGCAATCCACCCACCTCAGCCTCCCAAAGTGCTAGGATTACACGCGTGAGCCACCATGCCCGGCCTGTCACTGTTTTTATCTCCTCTTTTAGCCATTTCTGCTAGTGCTCAAGTAGGAACAGGACTATCAGGATTTTCCTAATTGGTGAATTGTATCAGGCTGAAATTTCTAAGAATATATTGTATCTAAAAATGGGTCCCAAGGGTAACACAGTATTTACTGATGGCAAGAAAATGCTGCTGAAAAATGGTATTAGAAAGCTAAAAATGCTTTTTTTTTATTTAAAGATCAACAAAGGTGGTTTCTGTGCCCACAGTTCCTTCATTTCCTTTTGTGTTTCCTTTCTTTGTCTGATTTTAAGGAACTAATACAGCATCTGGTGTGTATATGTTTGGTTTTAAGCTCTTTCTGTCTGTGAGTTTGTCAGGACAGTGAGGAAATGAAGTACTAACTTTAAATGATTTGTTGGGACGTTTGTTTCTTGTTGACTTTTTTTTTTTAAGAGTTGGGGGTCTCACTGTGTTGCCCAGGCTGGACTTGAACTCCTGGGCTCAAGCAGTCCTCCTGTCTCAGCTTCCCAGGTACCTGGAACTACAGGCATGCACCACTGCACCCAGATGTGTTTGATTTTTTTTGAAGTTGGTAACTTCATAGCTAGTGAAATAATGAATTAATTTTGTTTAAAATAGTAATCAACAACTGGCCACAGTGGCTCATGTCTATAACCCCAGCACTTTGGGAGGCCAAGGCAGTTGGACTGCTTAAGCTCAAAAGTTCAAGACCAGCCTCGGCAACATGGTGAAAACCCATCTCTACAAAAACTATAAAAAGTAGCCAACTGGGACCAACTGTAAAAATTACTTCTGGCTACTTGGGAGGCTGAAATGGGAGGATCACCTGAGCCCAGGAGATCGAGGCTGCAGTGAGCTGTAATCATGCCACTACACTCCATCCTGGGCAGCAGAGCAAGACTCTGTCTCAAAAAAAAAATTAAAAAAAATACATAAATAAAAGAAAATAGTAAACACTAAACTAAAACAATCTTTGGGACTATTAGAGGCACAAAAAGGGTTTTTAAGATCATTAAGTTAAAAGTCATTCTAATGCAGAGGAGGCACATCAGATGTAGAGTTTGAGTAATTCACCCGAGATTACACAGCTAATAAGTAACAGAATTGACACTAGGTTATGGAATTAGTGTTTGTGTTGGAAGGAGCACAAACAGGCATGCCTTGGTTTCAAAATCTGGCTGCAGCACCTGTTAGCGGCAAGTTTAAAAATATTGTTCAGCTTTCCTCATCTGTAAGATGGTGATTATACCCTCTACCTCCAAGATTGTTAGGAAAATTAAACAAGAAAATATATAAGAATGTCTCCTACCTGGTAGAGACTCAGTAAATGCTGGCTTTTCTTTCAGTTCAGTGCTCTTTCCACTGTGTCGGGCTGCCTACCTTTTACTGTTAATGCCTGCCAGTTTAGTGATTAAACAACAAATCAGAATCGTGAGGCTTTTTTTTTTATTCTATTTGTGTTTCAGAAACTTGTTCCTTCTTTCCCCATCCTCTCTTCTCCCTCTCCCGTACTTCCTTCTCATTTATCCTTCCACCTTTTTTCCTCCTTCATTCTTTGTCTGTCTTCTCCTCTCCCTCTTCCCTGTTTTATTCCCTTGGGCTGATGATGTATATTTCTTTTTATATGTTATATTGCCTAATAAAGTGCTGGACATGTTGTAGGTATCCTGCTACCTATTAACTTCAAATATTTTTCTTAATTTTCCTGTGCCATTCTTATATATCATTTTCTCTAACTTTGTGGAATCATGTACTCTTTCTTCTCTGTTTCTTCAGGCCAACTGGCCTCATGCAACTAGATCTTTACATATCAGAAACTGACATCTTAAAAAGGAGCTTAAGAATAAGAGCTGGCAATAAAATTACAGATTATTCTCAGCTCACAAATGACTTGTTTATGCAGCTAGTCAGAGAAGGGTTTCCCTCTCATAGGACAAGAAACATTCAACTCTTCAGTGACAGTGAATGTCATGATACTCATGATGCAGAATAGGAGGAAGAGGCTGCTTGCTTTAGAATATATTACCTGTGTGACTAAGAGAGGATTCTCTTTTGGGAAGGCACCTGTGACAGATGAGATGTATTTCCAGTGATCTGAGAGTAGTGAGTCATAAATAGGACAGGTAAATTTCTACTCTAGTTTTTAGCAGCATTGTTAGTTAAATAGAGTTTGGTTAGGGAAGCCTGGAAATCAAATCAGCATTTACAACACAATGCCATTGTGATTGTTGAATGAGGGAATGAATTTGTCAAACCAATAAACTCCTAAATAAACTTTGTAGGCAACCCTCTTTTAGAATTTGGGACTTGTTTTAGTGGTGTTTGTATGTATTATATGTATGTACATATGTACATCTATATACATATTCATAAATTGTGTACAAAACTAAAAATTATGGAAATTGTAAAGTAGAAATTTCACCAGAAGTCTACTGATTCGTTTCTGGATGGTAAGTAAACTCTCTTAAAATTTTGTGCCAGATATTATCTGTCCTTTTTCTGGGGAGAGGACATAAAAGATACACAGTTACAAAGATTCTTAAAGGGAGGATAATGGTTCTCAAAAGGTAAGAGCTTCAGCTATAGGATGTATAGATGTATTTCTGTATGTACATATATATTTTTTGAGTATCAAACTGTTATGCATTGCCTTAACATTTTATTTATGTCTGGTGTGGAATCTGTGGTAATTAGGACTACTTGATAGAATTATGGTAATCATTTGTGGTGTGCAATATTGAATACTTTGTCATAATTTTATATCTTAAGCCATTCCTGGTAATATATGGATTTGCCAGGAATTTGATACAATTCATAGATAAAACATATCCAGAGATTTGGATGATTTGTCTCTTAACCTAAATTCTTCCTGCAGTTTAAGGAACATTTGAGTATTCCAGTTAGTACCTGAATTTTATATTTGGCTTTTAATCTGTGTATTTAATACTATAAGAATTTCTGTTTTCCCATCATTTTTATCTTAAATTTAACCAAAAAAGAACTAAAATACATTATTTCCCTAGTGTCATTTTCCATGTGATTTGAATGAACTATAAATGCTGTATATTCACATAAAGATTTTGATCTTCAATTACATTTTATCCAAAGTATTCAAAAGAAAGTTGGGAAGATACGTATTTGTTATCAGGACCAATTTATTTTAAAATTTTATATGTTTTAACTTCATGTATTCATAGACATATAAAGATGAACTTTCAATAGGCCTCCTTCGATTGTATTTTTTTAATACAGTTACCACTCGTATTTTTTTAATACAGTTACAAACTCTTTAATAAAATACAGCTGTGTACTTTACTATTTTCTTTAAAATTAGATGTATCGATTGTCTTTACAGTTTGAATTCCAAGACATGAATGAGAAGCTTATCAAAAACTGTAATGTGGTTACATTCTAAAAATAACAGTTTTATTGAGATGTAATTCACATACCATTAATTCACCCTTTTAAGGTATACATTATATTTGCTTTTCAGTGGTTCAGAAAAAGAATCATTATATACGTTAGAGGGAGAGAAACATTATAAAAGTTAACAGTAGGGGAATGTGAGTAGAAAATATGGAAATTTTTAGTGTACGGTTCTTGTAACTTTTCTCTGTTTGAAATTATTTCAAAATACATCTTTTTTTCTTTTTTCCAGCACTAATGGCTTGGGTGAATTAAAATATTTTTTAAATTAAAAAAAGTGTATGGTGTGGTGGGGGCCTTAATATATTCACAGAGTTGTGTAACTGTCACCACTAATTCCAGAGTGAAATTTTAAGCATAGTTTGTGTTTGTTTTCCTGTTCCTTCCTTTTCACTTGATATACAAAAGTTGACGTATCTTGACAGAAAAATTTCTTTACAATTTTCTTAAAGTTTTCAAATGTTGAACTAAAAGACCAAGGTATATCATAAGTACAAGGAAATAAAGTAGAATTAGGGCGTATAAAATGAAAATTCTTACTTGACAAAAGAAAGTGAACTGCTTTTAACTTTATATATCCTTTGTTGAAACTTTTGTGTAGAATCCTGGAATAAATCATTAGTCTTATGCAAAACTGTGTCTACTTCTTAAAACTTGAATTGAGGAAGGAAATGCTTTGTACCAAGATGGCAAATATTTTATTATAAGAACATTTCTGTTTCTTCCTCTCATACTACTATGTTCATTGTACTGTATCTTCCTCTGAGAGGGTTTAAACTCTTTAGAGAACTGCCTTAATTTTTGTATGTATTGGAGCAACATAATCAGTGTTTGCAATGTTTTGATAAAAGTAAATTCTTAATAATAAAATTGTTATAATCTCCCATAATTTTCAAGTCAGTTTTCACTGTTGTTAATGATGTATGATATTGTTTTTCCTTTTCTCTTAATTGGAATTTATAAACTCTTACTAAATGCAGATACATCTGCTCAAAACTTGTCATTTGTTCTTAGGGTCAAAAAATTGGGAAGATTAGTTTGCACTACCATTGTACCTTGCTTTTTATAATGAGTGTACTCTGGGTAAAAACATGAATCTGAATAAGTACTAAAAAAATGCAGTTGCCTGTAATACAACTGAGGTTTTATCTAATCCCCTGATTCAAAATGACCCAGACAAATGTCTGCCAAGGGGCAAGGAGAAATGAGACACTTTTTCATTCTTTAGAATGTAGAAAAAATGCTTTATAAAAATGGATTTTTATGTCAATAGGTACAAATCATTTTAAAATATTTTCTATAAAGTATTATATAAAACAGTGCTAATGAGTCTTAGGATTATACGAAGCATGTTTTCTTATATTGTTTTACTTATTTTCTGTAGGAAAAGTAGCCATCAAAAAAGAAGACTTGTGTAATCACAGTGGCAAAGAAACTTGGTTTTCATTACAGCCTGTTGACTCCAATTCAGAGGTTCAGGTAAATATTAAGGCTTATGTAATACAAGAGATTGTCACAGGAAATGAGTAAAAAATGAACTAATTAAACTGGTTCATGTAAATAGAGCATATTATACCTTATTTTAAATTCTAGCATCAAATATTATAGACTTTTGGGTAATATAGGACAGGAAGGTAATGGCTTTGTCATATTGTTTCAAGAATAATGCTCATGTATATGCATATGTGTAGATTTGTGGAGATTAGGGCATTTCTTTCTTACCTTCTGTTTGAGTCACAATAGCAAATTATTATTTGTCTTTGAGGGGAAAAGTTTTAAGGGAAAATATGTGTTTTATTAACTCTGACTTTGGGGGAGAATCCCTGGAAGTCTGATTTTGTCTGTCTTGATTCTCTGTTTACTCTCTAGTAAACTGGACTTGGGGAAATGTTATTCATTTAAACCCTGCCTGAGCCCACTGTGCACAGCCTTCACTCCCACACCCACCCTTTCCTGTTGTTCACCTCGCTTTTTATTTGAAAGAGTATCATTACTCTTTAATCTTTTTCTTTTTTCCAAAATAAGAGACCTTTTTCAGATTCTGAGTAAAGATGTGTGTTTAGCCATGTAGCTGAAGTTTCTATTTGTTTTTAGAAAATCTGAGTTGCTCTTAGAAATTATTTTTCTAACTAAAGGGAATCTTTTTGCTGTAGCCTTATTTATTTATAAAATATGGTAAGGATTGTGAAACCATTTCCCGAGGGCATAATTGCAAGCAGGATTCTTCCTCTCCAAAAGAAGTTTTAATTTGCCACTGTGACTCAGAAGTTTAAGACAAGAAAAAAGTGCTACACCCACACCACAGATAATTTGCAAATAAGTGCCTGTGTCTCCATTTCCTCATAATCTCTCAAGCATTCTCTTTGATTAATTATTAAATTCTCAAAAAATTAAGTACTTATGCACTAACCCCCCTTCTTAACTGCAAAATTTAACATACTTTTCCTGTTTAACCTACTTTGCCATGTTTTAATATTCTTGTCTTTCCTTATGACCATAGCTATTATTCAGATCCCAGTTGTACAGTATTGTAAATGATCCATGTGAGAAGCAATGTGAAGAAGTGGAAAGTGTTTAAATTAAAAGGCAGAAAACTTAGGTCCTAGTTTTTATATGTAGTTACTTAAATGACATTGAATTTCATTTCTATAAAGTGGGAATAAAAGTTGCTGTGTTCGATTCATATGGTTGTGAGAATTAAGTGAAATATCTGTAAGAATAGTTTAAAAGCTGTTAATGCTATACAGATGTAAAATATTGTCTGTTTACCACCAGTCAGTCTGGTGGCTATTTCCCTAATATTCCTTTACCAAAAGGCAGATATGAAAGTTTTAAAGTACCAGTTTTTCTTTTAATAGTTTTAAGAAAAGGCATGATAGGAAAAGGCTTTGAAAATTTAAACTGAAATTTTATGAACCATTACATTTTATAAAACTCATAAATTTTGTGAATTTTATGTAAATTTGCTAAACAATTTAAGAGTTCCAGCTCTCAAAAGGTAAAAATCTATATAGAATATAGAATTCTTGTAGATGGTACTAAAGATTAATACAGAGACACAAGACTTTATTTGATGGTGTGTGTGTGTATATATATGTGTGTGTATATATATATGCATATGTGTATATATGCATATGTGTGTATATATATGCATATATATGTATATATATACACACACATTACATACACATGGGTATGCATATTTATAGATATACATATATATGCATATATGCATGTATATATACACATTTGAGAGATATATATCTCATCTATGAAACATGAAAATTGGGGAAGCAACAGTTACCCAGATATAATATAGTCATTTAAAAATTTTGTACAAGTTATTTTCATGACTGTGAGTTATTAAACTTTACAACTCTTTTGTCTTAAATGATACTTACTTAATAAGATTTGCTCACTATTTAAAACAGATTTTAGAAGGAAAAGTACTTTGTGGGGTGGAAGAGACATATAACACTTTTGGGTTAATATGGTACCATTGAAAATGTTGTTGTCCCACTGCTGATAAGGGAATACTAAATTATGAGTCTAGAAAAGATAGAAAATCATCCCATGGTTCATACAAATCCTACTTTGTTAATAAATTTGTTCACTTCCATAAACTTTATAAAATTTTACAAAAATACCATGAAACATAAGAGCAATTAATAGGGAAATAGGTGAAAGCTATGAAACAGATTGCGTTCAACAGGAACTCAGTCTGATAATTACTATTAGTAATTATACCAGTGTATCCTAAGCACAGTACTAAGTACTTAATGTCATTTAACTTTCAAAGTAGCATTATGAGGTAAATAGCATCACCTGCATTTTACAAATAAGGCAAATGAAATTCAGAGGTTAAATGTCTTCTCCAGAGTCACAGAACTACTAAGTAGTGGAGCCTTGATTCCAAAAGAGATCTGTCTGATTCTAAAACTCCTAACCACAGTGCCTTTACTACCTTTCACCATTCTGTACTATTAGTCATTAAAAAAAATAGATTAGGAGTATCACTTAAGTAACATCTGAGTGTAAGGAAGAGAAGCCTGCTCAGATTTGCTCAAAGAAAATGGGAGAGGCCATTGGAAAGCTCCTAAAGAGTTTCTTGGAATGTCATCATAGGAACTTTACATTGCCAGTGTGAGCTAGAAAGTTGTCAGGCATTTGCAGAGGAGATGCATCTTAAGTGGAGGCTAGATTCTTAGAACAACAGACATTAAAATTTGCCTAAGTTCATCTGTAAAATGAGTATACAAAATGAAAAGTTAAAAATTTTTGCGTAAGTTACAATTATTTTTGAAAAGAGTTTAGTTTCTTATAAAATACACTAAGGTATTTGGGTGGTTTGTTTGTTTTTGGTTGACTACCGCATAAAATAATTGGCTTGCATTCTGGGCCATGGTAAATGAAAACTATATACTGTATCTTTAAACTGTAGACCTCCCCCCTGCCCTGACTCAGTACAGCAATAGATACTGCAAGTGGCACATGGAAACTGAGACCCACTAATCATTTCTTATATTCCTATGTTCACTGTGCTTATTGAGCATAAGTTCTCACTGTTTAAATATTGTTTTTTTTCTTTCCCTTTCATGAAGTGAATAATGTTTTCTCTCAGTCTTTCCCTCTCATTTTAATAACTATTTGCTTTGCAAAATATAAAGGAAAGAAAAAAACACCATTTTGAGATGCCATTGTATTCTTTTTGTATGTATGATGAGACATGTCTCTTCCTCTGCTTCTCTGTAAATCTACTCCAGTCTCTTTTTGAGACCTAAAAGACGCCACACCAATTTTTGAGTCCATGTGACCATACAGCTTCCTCACCTCCAACATCTGACTCAGTTTTCTGCCACAATCTAGAGAGAAAGTTTGGCTAAACTTGGGTCAGATGTCTACTTCAATCTAATTTGATATGGTTGGAGGAAAATTCACTGTAAGGCAGTCCACTTTAGGGCTTTGAGTAGGCATGTTCCCTAAGGAAGGGGTTTGAGTAGAGGAAATGAATGGCATTGCTACCTCAGAGGGAGAGATGCTTGTTTCCTAGTTCTACCACTAATTAGCATTTGTGCCCCAAATAATCGCAAGCCTGTTACCTGAGGATCTTCATCTATGAAATGATAATGTCAGCGCAAAGGGTTCCCTTAGTTGTGAAGTTCTAGGGAAATAACATGCAGAAATGTAATTTAGCTTTCCAGTGGAAGGATCCCAGTAGTATTAAGATGGGCTTTATGCCAAAACAGTTGAAAAATTGTTTAGAACTATAACCTCTTACCTTGAATTGTCTCCCAGAGATAATTTTTTATTATTGCTGATACTGTTATACTTGTCAATAATGTTAATAGTTCTTTTCAGTTTCATCTTCAGTAGTTCAAAATATTGTTAGTAACATTTCATGAGTGTATTTTTCTACTTTTTTTTTGTATTTAGATTTTGGCTTGATTCTACCTTTTGTAATTTTTCCTTCTGGGCTGAACCATTTTTTTCCTCAACCTATTCTAATCTGCTTTCAGACTCTGCAGTGGGTCAGAGAGAGAGCAGAAATGGTTCTTTTTACCAATGACATTGTGTCAATAAGTCTAGTGGACATTTTTCAGTCCTCATCTTACTTGATCTTTGAGCAGCTTTTGATACTGGTGACCACTCCCTCCATTTTGAAGCATTCTTTTCCTTAGTTTCTGATCCTGTTTATGGTCCTAGTTATCATCTATTTCATTTGGTATTCTTTCTCAATATTCTTTGCCACATATGTGAAGTTAATATGGGTTGTGCTGGTGCCTTCTATAAATCCTCTTTTGGCTTCAGTGAACTACAGCCGTGCTATTAGTTATTAGGTCCTGTAACTCACCAGGAACATTAGGTATTTATCCTTTCTTTATTTCTTAGGCACAGTGATAAAAAGCATACTTTACATATGGTTGATTAACCAGGCCGGGTATGGTGGCCCACTGTAGTCCCAGCACTTTGAAAGGTTGAGGCAGACAGATTGCTTGAGCCCAGAAGTTTGAGACCAGCTTGGGCAACATAGCAAGACCCCATCTTTATAGGGGGGGGAAAAAGAGTGATTAAACCAAATCTCCCATATGGAGAATTTGCTGCTCTCATTAATTAAGGAGTTTGTCTCACACAACTTGTCCAAGCAGTAAATCCAGATGTGCTATCAACCATGTCCTATATGATGCAATTACTTAGTTAATAGGTCTTTACCAACAAGCATATCTTGAATTTCTGGATCATGCCATAAGTTATTGATTGTTTTATAGGTGTTTTTTTTTTTAAAGACCTCTGCCTTACCTGTTTAAAAAGACATTTAAAAAGAAATGCAATGATTATAGCTAATAATAAATACATGAGGATTTTTAAAACATGCCCTATTCAAGACATAACAAATGTAAAAACATAATTCATTATTGCAGGTTGATTTTTTTTAACTTCATTTTAAATTTTTATGTGAATTAATAATGAGCCATTCTAGATCATATTAAATACTTCTTTAAGGAGAAAACAACACCTTCATAAAGAACTGCCATTAATATAAGAGATATTAAATAAAATT
The DNA here is from genome assembly GCF_000001405.40 of Homo sapiens. NCBI lineage: Eukaryota > Metazoa > Chordata > Mammalia > Primates > Hominidae > Homo > Homo sapiens. The sequence continues at coordinate 141,534,883 of NC_000003.12, forward strand.
TGTATTTTGCTTTTTCATCTGATGGGCGATTGTGTCCAAAATCATTTATAGAGGTAATTTCTACGTATTAAAACATCCATCAGAAACTCCGAAGTTGGGATATTTTTCACCTCATGTACAGGCATACCTTCTTTCATTGTACTTCACTGTGTCGTGCTTCACAGATACTGCATTTTTTACAAATTGCAGGTTTGTGACAACCCTGTGTCAAGCAAATCTATCTGCCTCATTTTTCCGACATCATATGCTCACCTCATTTCTCTATGACAGCCTTTTTTAGCAATAACATATTTTTAAATTAAAATATGTATATTGTTATTTAAGACATATTGCACACTTAATAGACTGCAATATAGTATAAATGTAACTTATATACACTAGAAAACCAAAAAATTTTTGTGACTTTCTGTTTAGATATTTGCTTTATTGAAGTGGTCTGGACCCTTAGACAGTATTTCCAAGGTATGCCTGTAAAAACATTTTTTACCAGTTGAAACATACTGAGTTATTTTATATGGAAATGGTTGTTAAAATTTAGTGTTTTGTGATAAAAACAAAATAAAGTTTAGACTTGAGAGGATTTTAAGTGCATGTATTATGTTTTGCTCAAATACCTCTATATTAGTCCATTTTTGTGTTGCTATAAAGGAACATCTAAGGCTGAGTAATTTATAAAGGAAAGAGGTTTATTTTGGCTTACAGTTCTTCTGCAGGCTGTACAGGAAGTATGGTGCTGGCATCTGCTTCTGGTGAGTGCTTCAGGAAGCTTACAATCATGGTGGAAGGTAAACGGGGAGCAGGCATATTACATGATGAGAGAGGGAGCAAGAGACAGAAGGCAGAAGTCCCAGACTCTTAAACAACTAGATCTCACATGAACTAACTAAGCAAGACGCACTTATCACCAAGGGGGTGGCACTCAGCCATTCATGAGGGATCTACCCCCATGATCTGACACCTCCCACTAGGCCCCACCTCCAACACTGGGGATCACATTTCATCATGAGATTTGGAGGGACAAACATTCAAGCCATATCAACCTCTGTTCATCTTATTTTCCCAAACTGTATGCAGAAATTTACACAGTATCTTCTATATGGTACCAAGAATATATGTAATACACAATTGAAATAATCACAGATATTTTTGTGTGAAATTTTTGTAAAATTAATTGAAATAAAGTTAGCGTATAAAATACTAAATCTTCAAATAGTACCTGTATTAGCCCATTTTCACGCTGCTGATAAAGACATATCCAAGACTGGAAAGAAAAAGAGGTTTAATTGGACTTATAGTTCCACATGACTGGGGAGGCGTCAGAATCATGGCAGGAGGTGAAAGGCACTTCTTACATGGCAGTGGCAAAAGAAAATGAGAGAGAAGCAAAAGCGGAAACCCCTGATAAACCCATCAGATCTTGTGAGACTTATTCACTATTACGAGAATAGCACAGGAAAGACTGGCCCCCATGATTCAATGACCTCCCCCCGGGTTCCTCCCACAACACATGGGAATTCTGGGAGATACAATTCAAGTTGACATTTGGTGGGGACACAGCCAAACCATATCAGTACGAGAGTAGTGTAAGTTCCTCAGAATGCCCCTTAATATAAGATAATGTGATATTATAACTGCATGTATCAGCCTAACATAGTCAGTGCTATGGAAGTCATATAGAGCAATACCTTCCAAGAATTTGGTTTATTTTTTATTAAAGACGTATAATACAGTGCAAGGTATCTGATCTTCCAACATTTTCTGACATACATGAAAAGTATACTGTCATTGAGCTTCCTTTAGGAGATTGAATAATAAGAATGCAGTTGTAGACCAAATCACATTACATGTTTATTATCAAACATAGTACCTTGTTAGATTCTTTTTTTTTTTTTTTTTTGAGATGGAGTTCTGCTGGAGTGCAATGGTGTGATCTCAGTTCACCACAACCTCTGCCTCCTGGGTTCAAGTGATTCTCCTGCCTCAGCCTCCCGAATAGCTGGGATTACAGGCATGCGCTGCCACACCCGGCTAATTTTGTATTTTTAGTAGAGACGGGGTTTCTCCGTGTTGGTCAGGCTGGTCTCAAACTGCTGACCTCAGGTGATCTGCCTGCCTTGGCCTCCCAAAGTGCTGGGATTACAGGCATGAGCCACTGCGCCCAGCCTCCTTGTTGGATTCTTAATGTTACTTCTTCGTAGGTTCTTTATTTTTCTTATTTGTCCCTAGGAGTTCTTGAATCTGTGGCTTGTCTTCTATCAGTTTTGGAAAATTCCAGGCAATTATCTTATCTCCTTTTTTTTTCTGCCCTGTTCTTTTTTTCTCTTCTCTGCTGTGACTCCAGTTACATGAATAATAGGCCATTTCACCATGTCTCATATGTCTCCTATGCTTTTTCCCTCTCTGTGCTTCATTGTGGATATTTTCTACTGACCTGTCTCCCATTTCACCAGTCCTCTTTTCAGCTGTGGCTACTCTGCTACTAAATACATTTTCATTTTGGTTTATTGCTTAGTTCTAACTTTTTTATTTCATTCATTTTATAGTTTCCAGGTATCTGCTGGATTTTTCATTTTGTTTTATGTCTTTTAAAAAATAGCTATTTTAGGCTGGATGCAGTGGCTCACACCTGTAATCCCAGCACTTTGGGAGGCCAAGGCGGGAAAATTACTTGAGGTCAGAAGTTCAAGACCAGCCTGGCCAACATGGTGAAACCGTGTCTCTACTAAAAATACAAAAATTAGCCGGGCGTGGTGGCACATGCCTGTAGTCCCAGCTACTCGGGAGGCTGAGGCAGGAGAATCGCTTGAACCCGGGAGGCAGAGGTTGCAGTGAGCTGAGATCACGCCACTGCACTCTGGCCTGCGTGACAGAGCTAGACTCTGTCTCAAAGAAAAAAAAAGCAATTTTAAATTCTGTCAATTCCAATATCTGCGTCTCTTGTAAGTCCACTGCTTTCCTCATTTTTTCTCTTGGTTTTTGATCTTCTGGCATATTCTGTAATTTTTAATGGAATGCTGGAGAATAAAATATAAAATATATTGGAGATAATTTGAGGGCCTGAATGGTATATTTCCTCTAGAGAAGAAGTATGATTCCCTGCCAGCAACTGCTGTTTCTATCTTGTTGGCCAGAACTACATCATATGGCTATCCCTGATCTCAAGGGAGGCTACAGAATGTCAGTTTGCTGGGCTCATAACTGCCCCATCAAAAAACAAAACACACACACACACACACACACACACACACAAACTTGTTTTGCTGCAATTCAAATCTATTAAATGATTACAGATATAAGTAAAACTGAACTTTTGTGTGAAAAGAGACTAAAAAGTATTCTAAAATGTTCACTGATTTGAGTTTCTAAAACTGAAAAGCAGTTTTAAATAATTTAAAACTTTATTTTTCTTTACTAAGAACAACACAGTAGTAGTAAAAACTTTGAAAATTAAATTGGTAGTATATACTTTTAAAATCTGAAAATTAAATTGGTAGTATGAACTTTTAAAATCTAGAGCAAAAAAGCAAAGAAAATCTTCTGAAATTTCACCAACCAAAGGTATCTTCTATCAACATTTTGGTAGATGATCTTGTAATTTTATACATATATGTTTTTTATTTTTATAAGTTAACATTATAGTATGTACCCTATTTTGTGATTTATTTCTTTTGCTAAGGATAGTATGTATTTCCTTGTTAAAGTATATAATGAGTTAGTGTTTTACAGTTTAGAAATTATAATTTCCTTAATTTAACTCATAATGCCTTTTAATTTAGTGTTCCACCCTAACAGTATGTGTTTTGTGTCTGCCTGTTCTGTCCTCACACTTTTCTTGACCTGGTTAATATATAATTGTGTTATTGTTGATTAATACCTAAGGAATGTTTTATTTACCAGTCAGTGGGAGTAATGAACATATTAGGTAGGCTCTGACTCAATAATAATGATTTCTGGCAGAATCTCATTAAATATCCTTTTGACTTGCTATAATACTATGATTTTAGTTGTAAACAAAATGATTATCTTTTTCTACTCTATTGTCATAGTTTTTATTTCTTAGAACTGGAATAGATCCCAGACATTTCCTGAGAGACAGTTGTGTTAGCATACGATTTCTGTAATAAAATGTATATATGTTAAAATTGTAAAACTGCAAATTTTTGTGCCGTTGGCTTGGCTCCCTTGCTAGCCAAGTAATACATACATGCTGTCACAACAGAAAATATGATTTCAAAATTCTAGTTGAGTAATATTACAAATTACAGATCATGGACCTTCAAGATCACCCTTGAATAGTAGAGATTGTAAATACTAAATGCAGGAATAATGAAAGACCTAGTTTACAAATTATATATGATTTTATGAATATTTGTGCCTAGATTTTTAGTGGAAGATTTGCTTAATTTAGTTCCAGCTCCACGTAACTGCTATTAATTTTTCTACCACAGATGTGTTTGCTCCTTTAGACCTTAGCTTTCTCAGGCAGACTTCTGTTTTAAGATCCATCAGTATTTTTTGCTCATCTCTTACTATTCATCTAACCCTGAGCTTTGTACCTGGTGGACCTCAGATTCATTCTTGTATAAGTCCCCTTAAAATAGTGAGGGTGTTTCAGGTTAGGTTTCTGTGAAAGAATTTTTGAAAAGGGTTGTTCTAAAGAGGAACAGTGACTAGATAATGAACTTTCCTACCTCTAATGAAATCACTCACGTCATCAGTCCCTAGACATCACTCCCCTGAAATCTCCACATGGCAATGTGAGAATTTGTCTTGTCAGCTGGAGGGAGGTAATCCAGTACTGTTTCTTAACCAGTTTAGAATTGTTAGCGCAGAATTGCTCATCACCAGCGGCAGGTTAGAAATATCAAGCTCTAGATTATATTGTTCCTAAGCCTTTATTTCTTGAGAAGTTGATTGTTTGAATTCTTTTGAACTTACACTACTTAATTTTTAAAAATTCGTCTATTAATATCTCTTTAAGAAAGTACTCCTTTATTTTCAGTGTCCCATCTTTCCATCAAGACTCTTGGCCATATGTTATCTTTTGTTTATTGTCTTCCCAACTAGATTGTACGCTGCTTGTAAGCAGTGACTTACATCTTTAACATCTATGGATTCCTACCCACTCCCACAGTGCCTTCTGAAACATAGTAGACATTCCATAAATCTTTATTGTTTGATCAAAGTAAGTAGTGACAAATTGAGTTTTATTGGCTGTAACTTAGTTTTTAGTTGTTTTAGAATTGTATGATTTCTCTGTCTTTTAATGAGACTGCTTCTGTCCTTAATGCTGGTTTATCTTCTGGAAAAAGCATCCTACATTTTATAATTTGGTTTTATCTCAAAATTTCCTTAAATTTAGGTATTGTCTTTCCTTTTAGTCTGTGATAATTAGATATATAAATATTTATTGAATTGGACATAAAATTCTTAAATTTGAATACCATGTTTGACATAAGTATTTGTTTCATATCTTTCAGAACTTTGATCTCTGGTTTTGGTTATTATTCATTTAACAAGTACTTAGTGTAGGCAAAGCCATGTGCTAGTGGTCAGTGGATAAATACTGTGGTGATTTGAAAAGGCACATACCTTTAATATTTTGTCAGTAAAATAGACTACTCAGTTTGTAATCTTTTTGTCATTATAGGGTAAAGTTCACCTTGAATTAAAACTGAATGAACTGATAACGGAGAATGGAACTGTATGCCAGCAGCTTGTTGTACAGTAAGCATTTTTTTTAACCAAAATCAACTAGAAATAATTCTCCATTTTGTATTCTTTCGATTTTAAGCCAACTCCTTGTTTTAACTTCAGAAACTTTTTTCAAAAATGAAATTCTGCTATGTCATTCCTTTTGTGAAGTTGATTTTCAATTTAATTTTCTCATAGTCTACTCAGGTTATGGTGAGTCATTAATTTATTCAACTAATATTTATTGAATATGGGTTAAATGATATATATGGGCATTAAGGATAAGGGTGTCTAACTCTCTGGCAGTGGAGAATTGGAAAGGCTTCCCAAAGAAGGTCCTCTAGAAATTGTCATACCACAGAGCAGAGCTTTAGAGACTTTGGAGCTAGAACTAATGCCCACTCAGAGATGACCAGTATTGATTCCCACCTACTTTGAATTCCTTTTTACCTCTTCCACCCTCAAGTCATTTTTTACCACCCAGACTCTAATCTCCTGGCTGTTCTGGAAATCTGTTGTAGCCCAATCCCCTACTCTTTTCCTCCCCTCCAAACCCTTACTCTGTGATATCAATAGACTGCCAGATAACCTTCACTTCTTCTGGGTGTTTTCCTCTATTTTTGCATTAGTTGACATCTGAATATCCCACAAAGTACAGCAGTTTCACAGCCTTCTCAGTTAGAGGCTTTGTTTTTCTATCATGTCCACATATTGTAAGGTCAGGGAGTAGAGTAGATATTACTCTCCTATTGCTGCTCCAGACTGTAACTTATTCTCATCAATTGTGAACCCCAGCTCCTTTGAGGTATTCTATCTGTATATAAATATGTCTGTTTGCTACTATATATAATATTTATTTCATTAATTTTTTCTGACCTCTTTGAAAGAAGATTGCATATGTATGACTCTTAATATATCAGTATGTATTTCCTAAGAATAAGGAATATTATCTTAAATAACTCCAGTACAGTTACCAAATTCAGGAAGTTTAACATTGTTACAATACTTTTTAAAAATCTATAGTTATTTTCTAATATTTTAATCTGCAGTTATTATATTCCACTTTTGTTAACTGTCCCAATGATGTCTATTAAGGCGTTTTTTTCCTTCTAAGAAAGGATCTGCTCCAAGATTATGTTTTATGTTTAGTTGACATGTCTCTTTAATCTCCTTTAACATGGAATAGTTTTTTGCTTTTCTTTGATTGTATTAACATTTTTTAAGAATATAAACCAGTTTTTTTTTTTTTAATGTTTCTCAATTTGGATTTACCTACTAAAAATAGTTCAAGATCTGTTTGCAGCTTTTTCTCCACAGACTGACTCTGTAGACCAACTGAGAGCATATGGTGAAAGTATCTGGATTAGGTCTTCCACTCCTCCCTCCCCTGCTTCAGTTTAATTATAATAGTCATTTGAAATATAGTTAGTTTGGTTGGTTTGGTTTGTTTGCATTCAATTTAAGGGTTTTTTTGTGCCCCTTCCCCCCAATTTAAGTTTTTTCCCCCATCCTTCTAGGCTTAATTTTATTTTTGAATAGAATATTTGCATGATTTCAAAAATCAAAACTATAACAAAAGGCGTTACTCAGAGATGTGTGTAGTTCAGTTCCCTCTCCCCACACCCAGCTCCAAGCAACCATGATCTGATTTCTGTCCCTACAGTTTTTGCCTTTTCCAAAGTGTTATTTGAACAAAAGTATATGATATGTCTTTTTTGTGTCTGCTGTCTTTCACTTAGCATAATGCTTTTGAGATTCATCCACACTGTACGTATATCATTTCCTTTTTGGTGTGTTATTTGTTTCTTGCCATAATTTGGTAGATACTGTTATCCTCATTTTGCAGATGACAAAACTGATGCCCATATTGGTTAAATAAGCCTAATTTCACACAGGAAGTGTTGGAGGCTGGCAGTTTGATTTTTTTCCCCCAACTTTAAAATTTTGAAATAATTACAGATTTACAGAAAGTTGTAAGGATAGTACAGAGAGGTCCTGTGTACCCTTCATTCTTTTTCCCTCAGTGGGTACATCTTGCATGACTATAGCACAATACCAAAACCAGGAAATTTACATTGGCATAATGTATGTATATAGTTATAGATCATTTTATCATGTGTGTTGATTTGTGTAACTACCACCACCAAGATACGAAACTCTTCTGTCACCATAAAGATATCTCTCATCCCATAGCTTTATAGTCATAACCACTCCTCTCTTCTAACCCTTGGCAACCTCTAATCTGTCTTTATATCTATAATTTTGTCATTTCAAGAATGTTATGTGAATGGAATCTTATAATATGTGACCTTTTGAGATTGGCTTTTTTTACTCAGATCTATCTGAATGACTGTGTGTAGTTTTTTGTAGACAGAATATAGTTGGGTCACTTTTTTAAAAAAATCATTTTTGCCAATCTCTGTCTTTTTTTGGTGAGTTTTTTCCATTTATTTTTAATGTAATTATTGAATATTAGGCTTAAATATGCCATTTTTTGTTTGTTTTCTGTTTGTCTCCTATTTTATAGTTTTCTGTTTTCTTTTTCCTGTGGGTTACTTGAACACTTTTTAGAATTCCATTTTGATTTATTTATATTGTGTTTTTAAAAAATCTATGGTCTCTTTGTATAGATTTTTTTTTAGTGGTTGCTCTAGGTATTACATTATACATGCATAACTAATCATAATGTACTGATGTCAACATTTTACCAATTAGAATAAAATGTATGTACTTTACCTTTCTTTAAATCCCTTTACCCTCCCCCATTTGTAATATACTTTGTCTTAAATATTTTGTCTACATATATTGAGAACCACATCAAACAATGTTATAATTTTTGCTTCAGCCATCTAACACAGTTGAAAAGAGTTAGAGGAAAAGGAAAGTGTAAGTCTGTTGTCTCTACCCACATTTTTGCCCTTTCCATGTTATTTTTTTCCTTTCTGATGTTTCACGATTCCTTCTGTGATTAAGTGTATAGAGTTTCCTCTTAACATTCTTTTAGAGTAAGTCTCTTGGTGATACATTCTCTTGGTTTTCCTTCATCTCAGAAGGTCTTGATTTCCTCTTCATTTGTAAAAGATAATTATACTAGATATAGAATTCTGAGTGGACAGTTCTTTTCTTTCCACATTTGAAAATGTACCACTTCCTTGTGTCCTCGATGGTTTCTGATGTGAAGTTCATTGTCATTCAAATTGTTTTTCCCTATAGGTAACACACCGTTTTTCTCTGGCTTCTTTTAAGGTTGTTCTTTGCCTTTAGATTTCTTTTCTTTTTTCTTTCTTTCTTTCTTTTTTCTTTTTTTTTTTTTTTTTGATATGGAGTCTAGTTCTGTCACTCAGGCTGGAGTGCATTGGTGTGATCTCAGCTCACTGCAACCTCTGCCTCCCGGATTCAAGCGATTTTCATGCCTCAGCCTCCTAAGTAGCTGGAATTACAGGCATGCACCACCATGCCCAGCTAATTTTTACATTTTTAGTAGAAACAGGGTTTCGCCATATTGGCCAGGCTGCTCTCGAACTCCTGGCCTGAAGTGATCCTTCTGCCTTGGCCTCCCAAAGTCCTGGGGTTATAGGTGTAAGCCACCACGCCCAGCCTGCCTTTAGATTTCTATATGTTTTAGCTTGATTGTGATGTATCCTGGAATAGATTTATTTAATTTATCCTGTTTGGGGTTCGCTCAGCTTCTTGACTATGTATATTTATGTCTTTTGCCAGATTTGGGGAATTTTCAACCATTATTTCTTCTATTAATTCTTTATCACCTCTGCTATCTTTCTCTTCTTCTTTCAGAACGCCAGTGGCACAAATGTTAGGTCTTTTTTTTACAGTCCCAGAGGTCCCCCTGAGGCTTTGTCCTTTGCTTTTCCCCCCAGTCTATTTTCCCTCTGTTGTTCAAATTGGGTGATTTCTATTGTTATGTCTTCAAGTTCACTGATTCTTTCCTCTGTCTTCTTCATTCTTCTGTTTAGCTTATCTGTTGAGTTTTTTATTTTGGTTATTTATATTTTTAAGTTCTAAAATTTATATTTGATTCTTCTTTATAACTTTTTTCCTTTGGTGAGAGTTTCTTTTGCAGAGACTTTCTTGTTTTTTTGTTTCAAACATATTCATAATTGTTCATTGCATTATTCACAATAGCAAAGACATGGAATCAACTTAAATGGCCATCAATCGCAGACTGGATAAAGAAAATGCAGTACATACATGCCATGGAATACTAGCCGTAAAAAAGAAAGAGATCATATCCTTTGCAGGAACATAGGCGGAGCTGAAGGCCATTATCCTTAGCAGACTAACGCAGAAACAGAAAATGAAACCAAATACTGCACGTGCTCACTTATAGTGGGAGCTAAATGATGAGAATGCATGGACACATAGAGAAGAACAACAGACGTTAGGGCCTACCAGAGGGTGGAGAGTAGGAGGAGGGAGAGGATCAGGAACAATAACTAATGGGTGCTAGCCTTAATACCTAAGTGACAAAATAATCTGTACAACAAACCCTTGTGACACAAGTTTGCCTATATAACAGACCTGCACATGTACCCCTGAACTTAAGTTAAAAAGAAATTGCTCATTGAATTATTTTTATGATGGCTGCTTTCAGATCCATGTCACATAATCATAACAATCATGTCATCTTGGTGTTAGTGTCTTGTGTTAGTCCATTCTCACATTGCTATAAAGAAATACCTGAGACTGGGTAATTTATAAAGAAGTTTAATTCACTCATGGTTCTGCAGGCTGTACAGGAAGCATGGCAGCATCTGCTTCTGGGGAGGCCTCAGGAAGCTTCCAATCATAACAAACACCAAGCGGGAGCAGGTGTCCTACATGGCAGGAGCAGGAACAGGAGAGAGAGTGGGGAGGTACTACATACTTTTTTTTTTTTTTTTTTTTTGAGATGGAGTCTCACTCTGTCGACCAGGCTGGGGTGCAGTGACACGACCTCCACCTCCTGGGTTCAAGTGATTCTCCTGCCTCAGCCTCCGAGTAGCTGGGATTACAGGTGTGCACCACCAGACCTGGCTAATTTTTGTATTTTTAGTAGAGTTGGGGTTTCATCATGTTGGTCAGGCTGGTCTCGAACTCTTGACCTCGTGATGTGCCCACCTCAGCCTCCCAAAGTGCTGGGATTACAGGCATGAGCCACCAAGCCTGGCCCTCTTTTAGTTATTTTTAAATGTATAATAAATTATTGTTGTCTGTAGTCACCTTCTTATGCTGTTAAATACGAGATCTTATCCATTATATCTAACTATATTTTTGTACCCTCACTTCCCGTCCCAGCCCCTGGAAAACTTTGTTCTACTCTCTGTTATCATGAGTTCAATTGTTTGAGTTTTTAGCTCCCACAAGTGAGACCATACGAGGTTTGTCTTTCTGTGCCTGGTTTATTTCACTTAACGTAATGATCTCCAGTTCCATCCCTGTTATTTTGAATGACAGGACCTGATTCTTTTTTGTGACTGAAAAGTACTCCATTATGTATATATACCACATTTTCTTTATCAGTTCGCCTGTTGATGGACACTTAGATTGCTTCCAATTCTTGACTATTGTGAATAGTGCCACAGTAACCATGAGAGCGCAGATACCTCTTCAATATACTGATTCCCTTTCTTTAGTGGGATTGCTGGATCATGTGGTAGCTCTATTTTTAGTTTTTTGAGGAACCTCCAAACTGTTCTCCATAGTGGTTTTATTAATTTACATTGCCACCAGCAGTGTACAAGGGTTCCCTTTTCTCCATATCCTCACCAATATTTGTTACGCATGTCTTTTGGATAAAAGCCATTTTAACTGGAGAAAAATTATAATTTCATTGTAGTTTTGATTTACACTTCTCTGATGATCAGTGATGTTGAGCACCTTTTCATAAATTTGTTTGCCATTTGTATGTCTTCTTTTGAGAAATATTTATTCAGATCTTTTGCTCATTTTTAAATCAGATTATTATATTCTTTTCCCGTAGAGTTGTTTGACCTCCTTACATATTCTGGTTATTAATCCGTTCTCAGATGGTTAGTTAGCAAATATTCTCCCATTCTGTGGGTTGTCTCTTCACTTTGTTGATCCTTCCTTTGTTGTGTAGAAGCTTTTTAACTTGGTGTGATCCCATTTGTCTATTTTCGCTTTGGTTGCCTGTGCTTGTGTGCTTGTGGCAACCATTATGCAAGAAATCTTTGTCTAGTCCAATGTCCTGGAGAGTTTCCCAATGTTTTCTTGTAGTAATTTCATAGTCTGTGGTCTAGATTTAAGCCTTTAATCCATTTTTATTTGATTTTTTTAATATGGTGAGAGATACGGGTTTAGTTTCATTCTTCTGCATATGGATATCTATTTTTCCCAGCACCATTTATTGAAGAAACTGTCCTTTCCCCAGTGTATGTTCTTGGCACCTTTATTAAAAATGAGTTCACTGTAGATGTACGGATTTGTTTCTAGGTTCTCTGTAATGATCTGTTGGTCTATGTGTCTGTTTTTATGCCAGTACAATGCTGTTTTGATTATTATAGCTCTGTAGTATAATTTGAAATCAGATAATTGTGATTCTTCCAGTTTTGTTCTTTTTGCTCAGGATAGCTTTGGTTATTCTGGGTCTTTTGTGGTTTCATATAAATTTTGGGATTTTTTTTTTCTATTTCTGTGAAGAATGACATTGGTATTTCAGTAGGGATTGCATTGAATCTGTAGATTGCTTTAGGTAGTATGGACATTTTAACAACATTGATTCTTCCAGTCCATGAACTTGGAATATCTTTCCATTTTTGAGTGTCCTCTTCAATTTCCTGCATCAGTGTTTTACAGTTTTCATTATAGATGTCTTTCACTTCTGTGGTTAATTCCTAGCTATTTTGTTTTATTTGTAGCTATTGTGTAAGCAGTATTACTTTCTTGATTTATTTTTCAAATTGTTCACTGTTGGCATACAGAAACCCCACTGATTTTTGTTGTGTTAATTTTGAATCCTGCCACTTTACTAAATTTGTTTATCAGTTCTAATAGTTTTTTGGTGGAGTCTTTAGGTTTTTTCCAAATAAGATCATATCATCTGTGAACAAGGATGATTTTACTTCTTTCTTTCCAGTTTGGATGCCTTTATTTCTATCTCTTGTCTGATTGCTCTAGCTAGGACTTGAATAACAGTGGTGAAAGTGGGCATCCTTGTCATGTTCCAGATCTTAGAGAAAAGACTTTCAGTTGTTCCCCATTCAGTATGATACTAGCTATGGATATGTACTATATGGCTTTTATTGTGTTGAGGTTTGATCCTTCTGTACCTATTTTTTGAGGGTTTTATTATTATGAAGGACTGTTGAATTTTGTCAAATACTTTTTGGCATCAGTTGAAATGATCATATGGTTCTTGCCCTTCATTCTGTTGATATGATGTGTCACACTGATTAATTTGCACATATTGAACCATCCTTGCATCCCTGAGACAAATCCCACTTGGTCATGATGAATGATCTTTTTAACGTGTTGTCGAATTGGGTTTGCTCATATTTTGTTGAAGATTTTTGCATCAAGGTTCATCAGGGATATTGGCCTATAGTTTTCTTTTTTTGATGTATCTCTCTCTGGTTTGGTATCAGGGTAACACTGGCCTCATAGGATGAATTTGGAAGTGTTCCCCTCTCTATTTTTTGGACTAGCTGAGTAGGATTGGTATTAGTTCTTCTTGAAATATTTGGTAGAATTCAGCAGTGAAGCCATCAGGTCCCAGGCTTTTCTTTGCTGCAAGACTTTTTACTGTGGCTTCAATTTCATTACTTGTTATTGGTCTCTTCAGGTTTTGGATTTTTTCATGGTTCAATCTTGGTAGGTTGTATATGTCCAGGAATTTATCCATTTCTTCTAGGTTTTTCCATTTATTCTTTTTTTCAAAGTTTCTTAAGCTTTTGCTCTCCATACTCACTGTCTTGTAGCAGCAGAGTTCCAGTGGTAGCTTTATGGAATTTATTGTTGATTTCTCATCCTTATAGATATTCTGAAATTCATGACATTCTCTGTTTTTTAGTATTGCTAAAGGCATGGTTTCACATATGGCTTTCTTTGTGCTTCTTGCTGGACTTTGGTTTTGGGGGAGTAATGTATGGGAAGATTCATATCCTAGTAGTTACTATTATCCTCCAGACCTAGAAAGTCCCCACTACAACATTTTTTGAACTTTAGTGAGACCTCCCTGCCATCCATTGATCTTCACTGTGTTCCTGTTTTCACTTCTTTCTACATCTTTTTCCGTGACCTATTGCTGTAGTCATTTTCTCGCAGGTTCCGTAAACTCCCCTATTGTTCTCATCATTCTTATTTATCTGGAAAAACTCTAATTGAAAATGACCTCTTCCTCTGTGTTCAATCTGCACATGAATATAGCTGGAGAAAATCATGTAGGCTGATTTCACTTTAAATTTATCATCACAGGCCTCACATGGGCACTTATATCTGCCCTGGAATTTAACTGTGCTTCTCTAATACAGCTATAAGATTCTCTACCACCACAGCCTGGAAATTGCTTACATCTTCCTGAATCCAAATCTATAAACCTAATTTGCATCCATAATTTTGTCCTTAGAGCAGAGGAGGTACTCCTTTTCTTGACATTGAATTCTTCCATCTGAGCTCTGGATTCCATTTATTTCCTCTACTTAATGAGTTTTGCTCCTTCAGTTATGCCTTCTTTTTCTTGTTTTGTCAGCTTTACCTTCTCTCCTACATGGTTCTCACCACAAATAAACATGGTCTAGTATCTCTGTCCTAAAAGGCATGCCTCCCCAGACCTCATCTCTGCCCACCCATACCCCAGTCCTTTTTATCATTCCCATTCCTCTGCTCTCCTTTGAAGGCAGACTTCTCTAGGGAAAAATAGTGGTAGGAGTGTGTATGAGTGTGTGTGTGCGTGTGTGTGTGTGTGTGTGTGTGTGTGTGTTTGCAATTCTCCAGTCAGCACTCTCCAGTAGATTTTTCTGTGATGTGGAAAATGCTTTGTATCTTCACTGTCCAAAACAGTAGCCACTAGCCATGTGTGGATATTGAAAACTTGAAATACAGCTAATGTGACCAAAGAGCTGAAGTTTAATTTTATTTAATTTTAATTAAATGTAAAAAACCACACATGGCTAATGACTACAGCATTAGTGCAGCTTCAGTAAAAGAACCTGGACTCCTTTTTAGCAGTAGCTTATTTCAGGACTTGGGCAGGGAAAATATGAGATGAGTCTGGAGCATCTTGGGGTCTCAAAAAGTAAGAAAGTGCTAAAAAATAATGGGGATATGTAAAAAGGACATTGAAGCCAATGTAAAGGGACTTCAAATTACCAAATCTGGAACAATTTGAGCTTCAGAATAAATAATAATAGTGGATTAAAACTTATAGAATAAAATAAATATAAGCGAATACTGGTACAAATAAACAATTAAAAACTCAAATACTTGGTAGGGAGAAAGGACTGATTTTTCCTATAGTAGAATTCTAGTTAATGAATGTAGGAGGAATGATGGAAATGAAAATCAACATTGGCAAACATCACAATAATAAGTGGGTGAGGGGACAATTCAAAAAATCATCTATGGATGCTAAGTGAGCATAAGTGTGGTGACAAGATGTCTGATAGATGCCACCTTAATTGAGTGATCAAAGTTAACATCACCAATAATGAGACATCCAGTACTTCCCAATAGGATGCATTGAGAAGGACACCAAGATACATAACCTCAACCTAATCATGAGTAAACATCAGACAAACTCAGATTAAGGAATACACTACAAAATAACTGGCCAATACTGGCAAGATCACGGGGCAAAGAAGGAAAACTAATGAACTGTCTCAGGATGGAGAGGAATAAGAAGACATGACAACTAAATGCACTATGGGATCCTGTATTGTGTCCTAGATCAAAAAAGGACATTGGTGAAATTTGAGTAAGGGCTACAGATTTCAGTAATTCTGCTGTGGTTCTACAAAACGTTAACATTTGTTGATGAGTATACAGAAACTATTATTTTAACAGCTTTTTTGAATATCTGAAATTATTTCAAAATAAGGTTTTTAAAATTGCCTGTACCTTGTGCATTCAACCCAGGTCTGTTTTCTGAGTTTCAGATTAATATGTCTACTTTGATGAATCACATTGCAAACTTAACACATTTAAAACTGAAGTACAGGGAGGCTGAGGCAGGAGAATGGCGTAAAACCGGGAGGCGGAGCTTGCGGGGAGCCGAGATTGCGCCACTGCACTCCAGCCTGGGCGACAGAGTGAGACTCTGTCTCAAAAACTGAAGTACTGATTCTCATGTCTATCCAACTCCTCCCCCAAAGTCTTAGCAAATGTTTAATTCCGCTCAGTATGTTTTTCATCTCTAGATTTTTCCATTTTTATTGTCTTCTGTGTCTGGATGGATCATATGGAATATAATTATAACTTTTAAATGTCTTTGTCTGCTAGTTCTGTCTTCTTTGTCATTTCTGATTCTGTTTCTATTGATTTTTCTTTTCATTATGGATCATAATTTCTTAGTTCCTTGCATTCCTGGTTATTTTCTGTTGCATGCCAGACATTGTGAAGTTGCTGGATATTTTAATATTTCTATGAATGTACTTGAGCTTTGTTCGGCACTTGGTTAAGTTACTTAGAAACAGTTTGATCCTTTTGTGGTTTACTTTTAACTTTTGTTAAACAGACAAGCACAGTCTTTACTGGAGGGCTTATGTTTTCCTACTATTAAGGCAGTACCCATGAATTACCAGGTTTTCTACTGTGGCTGATGGTACCTCTTGCTAGCCATGTGTGGGTTTTAGGAACTATTGCCTCTATTCTTTTCAAATGGTTCTTTCCCCAGCCTCAGATGATTTCCTCATATATACACGTATCAATACTCAGCTGAATACTCAGTGGGGATTCTTGTAGCTCCCTGGAGGTTTTTCTTTCTCTGTGCAACTTTCTTCCCTTTAGTACTCTGCCCTGGGGTCCCTAGTCACTTTGACCTCCTCCTGCTGACAGCTTTGCCTCTTCTTCTCAGAGAAACCATTTAGCTGTAAGCTGGGGCAGTTGGAGGGCTCACCTGTCCTTCACTGCTGATTTTGTTCAATTCGTTTTGGGTGGAGAGTAAATCTAGTTCCTGTTACTCCATCTTACCTGGATGTAGAAGTTAAAATTTTCTTTTAGTTTAAAAAAAAATCCAAAGAAAAGAATCAGATCAGTCTTATTCTGAACTGTTTATAATATTTTCTTACCTTTGTAAATTTTAGATACTATATTGTAAATGCTTTATATGTCACATATAAATAAAATATCAAATTCCTTATTGAGGTTATTTTCAACATTTGTTTTCTGCCCATCCATGATTTATGATATGAAATTGCTTACTTACAGATTGGAAGAACAGTGCTATGCTAGGTAATTAGAAAAATAATATTTCCAAATATATGTAATGAATAACCTATATTTAATAATATTACTTAAGTTTTGCAGAAAACTCAATTTTTAACTGTTTTATATTTAAAAATTAAGAGTACTGATGATTTCTGTAGGGTGCACTTCTGGTTTATGGGCATCCGTGTTTTGGTTTGTGGGTATTCTTATCGTTTCATAAGTTTTTTATAAGTCAGTACTGCATTTTCCTCTGCTTTTTTTTATACCTCATAAAATAGAAAATTGGATTTCTGTCATTAAGGTTTCTCATAATTGGTGTTTATGTGAGATAAATGTGGTATTACAAGGACAGTAATATTGTATTTGGGGGCACAGTGGGAATGTAGAAGGGCACTGGACTTCAGTAACAAAATTAAAAAGTAGAAGTTGAGTCTTGGCCAGCTTCTTACAAGTTACGCTACCTCTTTGAGCCTTACCTTGTAACTTCCTCACATAACCTGTGAGCCTTACTTCTTTTAAATGGCATAATTCTCTTCTCAAAGGCAGTTGTGAGAATTAGGTGCATTTTGTGAAAGTGCATAGTAAACTGCAAATGCCGTGTCAGATATCATTTTGAGGTTTAGCCTGAGAAGGGTAAGTTTTAAGCAGTATGTACAGTGGGAAAATCTGACTGTACCTCAACCCAACATTAAAACCCAGAATTATCTTGGCTTGTGTTTTCTTTGGCTAGTTTCAAAATTTCTTTCTTTATTTTTTTATGCTCAGCTATAATAGAAATGAGTCGTATTATCATTTCTGTCTTTACTCTGCAGTATACCAATAGCACTTCACTCACATCTGTGACCTGTGGGTTGTGGAGAGAAATAAGGATGTACTCAACAGCTTGCATCTTTCAACAAAGAATACTTTTCAGCAACACTCATGAGTTTCTCTTAGGCATTAGAAAATGCAGACCCTTAGACATTAAACTAAACTCATAAACTCAGTAATATTTAGTGAGAAAATTGGAGGAACAAATCACTAAAGTTAGATTCTGTGTTCTCTGTAAATGCCAACAACTGTGAGCCATGGAGTAGATTAGATGACCTTGGTTTTTATGGTCTAAAACATTTTCTACAGAATGGTGCTTACTGAGGAGCTGTTTACTGAGAATTGGAATAAAAGGCTGCAGAATTGTGTGAAGCTTGCCCTATATTTATGAATCAGATTTTTAAGTGGAAGCTGCAGTTGTTTCCTTGTTTGTCATTCATGCTTTAGCAGAGGATATGATGCCATAGAGCTGGCTTGGTTTGTAGCTTCTCATTTAGGGTTTGCACCACTTTCTTTTCCTTTTTAGAGGCCACAGCAGTTTTGATGTATTATCAAACCGCAAAATGTACCTTGTTGGGTATTTAGCAGAAGGAAATGTGTTGACTGTTACACATCCCTTATCTACAGTGCTTGAGACTGTTTTGAATTTCTTATTCTTATTTTTTTTTTGAGTATTTGCATTATATATACTTGCCCATTAAGCATCCCAAATCCAAAAAGCCCAAATTTGAAATGCTGCAGTGAGCATTTCCTTGGAGCATCATGTCAGTGCTCAGAAAGTTTTGAATTTTGGAGGACTTTGGATTTTTGAATTTGGAATGCTCAGTCTGTGTTTGATAGTTTCATTAGTGATTGTGGCATTCCTGTTTAGTCTCATTTTGAAAATACAGCATAAATTTAAAAATGCATACATACATATGTCCATACATATTACTACCTATTCCATATAGGTAGTATATAGCCATACAACTGCAGACACATGGAAAACAATTCTTAACCTTTTGAATGTATTAGTTTGTGTTTAAAGATAATGTTTTATCTTGTTTAACTGGAATCTAATATGTTAAATCTCTTTTATTCTACCTTAGCATCAAGGCATGCCATGGGTTGCCTCTCATAAATGGCCAAAGCTGTGACCCTTATGCAACAGTTTCTCTAGTGGGCCCTTCTAGGTAATATTTATTGAATTATTATTAGGTTTTAAAGTTTTGATGTTTGATTTAAAAATTTAAAAAGTAAGATTCTACGAGCAAATGATAAATAGCTATTTATAACACACAGTAATAAATGCTTTGAAAGAAAAATCTTTAGTGAGTTCTATTATACACTTGTCAATAACAAAGCCCTCTTTTTACAGACAGAAATTGGTACCCCATTTTAAATCTGCCATGCTCTTAGGCTTTAAGGAACAACTTCAGTTTTATACTAGTACAATGTAGTACTTTAAAACATAAACTTGACTTTTCATGCATCAGCATTCCTACTTTTCAAATATCCTGAATTTTATGCATGTAAAATCCTGTTTTAATGAATGCCAGTTCAGAATAACAAGACAATTTATATATTTTTATCTGGAAGGCAGCTCAGGACTGAAAATTGCCTTTTCTACTCATGAAATCTGTCCTCTACAGAGAGAATTCCAACTGTAGAAAAACTGCTGAAGTACTAGAGCATGGCAAAGTGTACCATATCATTGATTTAAATGATTTATAATAATTTGTGAAAAAACCTATAGCACTTTGTAATACGGTGTGTTATATGACTTCATTATGATTTCTTTAAGGAACTGACACATCTGAAATATGTCTACAACTTGAAGGTTTAGAATCAGGAAGCAAGAAACACAGTATTCCCTCTACACACACATACATGCATACATACACACCCCTTTTCCCCATCCCCAGAATCTCTAGTTATTCTTACTTTGTAGAAAATCACTACTAAGTCACTTTGAAAAATGTATTTATGTATGTATGTAAAGTACCTAGTACCATGCCGGTATTTATTAGGTGCTCAAACAATAGTATGCTATTAGCAGATACTCAGTCGTATGACATTAAATGCTATTAGAGAGATTTATTTTTGTGTGTTAAAAATGTTCAATCTAGTGGAGCTATTTTTGTTTTTTTTAATAATCTCTACCTGACAAATTATTTGGTAACATACAGTTAGAGACAATTTGGCATATGAATTTGTGTTTTAAAAAGTCTGGCCAGGCGCAGGTGGCTCACGCCTGTAATCCCAGCACTTTGGGAGGCCGAGGCGGGTGGATTACCTGAGGTCAGGAGTTCGAGATCAGCCTGACCAACAAGGAGAAACCCCGTCTCTACTAAAAATACAGAATTAGCTGGGTGTGGTGGCTCATGCCTGTAATCCCAGCTACTCGGGAGGCTGAGGCAGGAGAATCGCTTGAACCCTGAGGCGAAGGTTATGGTGAACCGAGATTGTGCCATTGCACTCCATCCAGCCTGGGCAACGAGCAAAACTCCATCTCAAAAAACTAAAAAATAAAAAGTCACTGTTGGTTTTGCTATTGTACTGTAGTTGTGTAAGATGTTAACACTGGGAGAGGCTGGGTAAAAACACAAGATTTCCTTATGCGTTTTTTGTGACCTCCTCTGAATCTATAATTAAATTAAAAGATTTTTTTAAGAAGTCTCTATTATACCTGAAGCCCAAGAAGTAAGCTGAGTTAAGAATGTTTTTCAAGTTCCTTGGGTATTTTTCAACATAGATGAAGGTGCTCTAAATCTTATTGTCTTCCTTCTATTTATTCTGAGTTGCTTATAGAATAGAATGTGTTTTTAAAACCCCTGAAAAAGGTTGGCAATCTAGTGTGTCCGTAGAGAGAATAATACAATCTTGGCACATAGGGGATGCCTAAAGCTTATATATTCTTTGATTTGAGTTTATAAGGACAGTTACTTTTTTCCAAGCAATATTTAAAACTGAATCTTCCCTGAGTCACCTTAACTTTTAAATGGAGGTCAGGCTCCCTGGTTGGAAATAGCATGTTTTATAATTGTGTACTGTTAAGTTCTACAAGGTAAAACTCTACCACATTGGAACAGGAATGACCAAAAGAAGACAAAAGTAAAGAAGAAAACAAGCAATCCGCAGTTTAATGAAATCTTTTATTTTGAGGTAATTTTTTGTTTTACGTAAATGTTAACATTAAATATGTAATATTTAATGCTAGTTGATTTCTTTTTTCAAACCACAGTCATAGTAATCATTTTATCAATTAATGCAGATAAGCATTTCTCTCCTGAAAGCAGTAGAACCATGGTGTGATGCAATGGATGCCCAATATATAAAATGAATAAAGGCAGAGCTCTAATTTGGGAGCAGGAAGGGCCAGGGCCATACCCACTCCCCAGTCATCCTCACTATTCATGCCCTTCCTTTGCACCCTCCCTTACCCTACCCAGCTCCCTACCTAACACATAGTGGCCACAGGATTCTTCTGCAGGGTACCCTTTGACAGTCACTAGTGAAGTAAGTGTAATTATCACTCAAGAAATCTGAGTTCCAGTCAAGTTGACTGAAAGAGTCACTAAATGTGACTCAAGTTTCTTATCCTGTGAAAGAATAATCGGAAGGGAAACTAGCAGCACTACCTGACTCAGAGTTTTTGTAAGACCCAAAGCATGTGAGAATCCTTTGAGACCATAAAATACTTTATGATTACAGCTTTATTATTACTTTTTTTTTTAAGCCTAATTCATTCTGTGGACGCCTGCTTATCTTCATAGACAGCTTCAGCTGCCTTGAAGTTGTCCCAAATACAGTTTGGACAAAAGCTTTGGAGTGCTTTTCTTTGGAGCATTTGTTAAAGAAATCCTTTTTCATATTATTTGCAAACTACAGAAAAAAAAAATCAAACTCTCAAAAAGATTGTATTCTAATAAAGCATGTTGCAGTTCATATCAACGTGTAGGGAAGGTTTGAAAAAAGGAGTTACATTTTGTGCCTTTTCTTCTGTGTGTATTTTTCTTGGTATTTCACAGTGGAGAGAATAACGGTACCTCTAGTCATGCCTGATTGCTGTACTTTAATAAAGGAACACAGGCCGAAGAAAATGCCAAAAGTGAAGCAGGAAGAATTGTGGAGGGGGAAGCAAGGGAGAAAAAAAAAACAAAAGAAAAAGTACCAATGTGAGACTTTTCCATTTCCTGGCTAAGGACTTGGTGCAGTTGTTCTACGTTTATTAATGGCGGTTGCATCTAACCTGGAGAAAACAAAGAAGGCAGCAATGTAAAGGGCCGCTGACTAAAGGCACTCACACTCCCCATTAGCCCACATACCTTAAACCTCAGCTGGATGGAATCTACTCTGCTTCATGGATCCTTACAGTCAGCAGATGACCTTTTAAAAGTAGAAGGCCTGACCTGCCTGCTGTAGCAGGAGTACTTGTTAGGCCTTGCAACATTCATTCAGAGGGCCTTTAGTTGGTTATAAAGATAGATACATTTCCATCTCTGTCCTTTAACTGAAGCAAGGAACACAAAGCAGACATATGTATGCATATACACAACAGTAAAATGCAGTAGATATTGGGGAGGTCAGATGAACTCTGCTCCATTAAAGGCTTGAAGAAATATTGGATTTTCTAAGATTGAGGAAAGAGAGTATTAGAGATGACGAACATTTTGAGCAGAGGCACAGAGACAGAAAAGCAGAAAGTTATGTCCAAAGTACAGTGAGTACTGATTTTACTGGGCTTGTGTAAGGAAATAATGGAAACTAAGATTAGAAAGGTAGAGTAAGACCAGCTGATGAAAGGCCTTGAGTGCCTAGTTATGGTGCTTAAGTAAATGATTTTGAGCCTATAAGTTATGAGTAAAACAGTGTTTGGGAAGGAATTAACTATGATCTGAGGTCCAGGTGGCTTAGGGAGAAAGAACAAAGCTGGGGAGACTGTTGTACTTTAGGTGTAAGAAAAATGGGGAGGGGATGGGGTATCTTTCAAGAGAGTGCTATGGAAATAGAGAGGAAGAGGCAGATAAAAGAGAGAATGCAAAGGGCAAGGTAACAAATTGGTTATAGAAAAAAAGAGAAAGGAAGTAGTTGAATGCTGCCCCCAAGGTTCCAAATCTGGAAAAATAGAAGAGTAGGGAAGAAGGAAAATAAAAGTGGCTTAGTTTGGAGCATAATTAGCTTGAGGGCTGACATTTTAAATCCTCCAGTAGGGAGTTTATGACTGAAACTTAATATGAGTGATAGTTATTGACCAACACTCAAGGTTTGTTTATATAAACAGCCAAGAAAGCCAAGAGAATAGAGGTATACAATACAGGAGAAAAGTGAAGAAACTAATTTCTGCGACTCAAGTATTTAACTTTCAGCATGTCATTTAATTTCTGTACTTCAGCTTCCTCATTTTTAAGTGAGGGTAATAAATCTAGCCCTGTCCGCCTCTGAGCAGCGTTCTGATGAACAAAGGAGATAATGCATGTGAAAGCACTTTGTAGATTGTACAGCACTGTGCAGCTCCAAGTTGTTTTTAGTGCAAAATAAAACATAAAATTTTGAAGAATAATTTATCTATAGATTCTGAAAAAGAAACAAAGACAGCAGCATAAGGTTGCCAAGGTAGTGCCCAGGTAAATTCTATAGAGTGTTTCTGGGAAAGGAGATACAGTTGTATGATCACTAAATTAAATAGGAGATCAAGGGAGGTAAGAACTGAGAATTTATCGTCAGATGTGGTGATGAAGAGAGATTTTAGGAGAGTGATCTGTGAGGAAGCCAAGATTATAAGGAGTTACTATAGTGAGTGGGTGGTGAGGAAGTACAAGCTGTAAGGATGGATTGCAGTTTTCAGATTTGTCTAAGAAAGGAAAGAGATAGGAAGACCATAATTTAAGGGGAGAATTTTTCTTAGACTTGAGTGAGATGAACAAGCTGGTATTATTTTGATTTTTTTTTTACACTACCTTATTCTTTTCTGCTACTTCCATAGTTGCTTTTATATTCAGCTATTGAGTAAAATATTACTTGGACATTTTCCTCTGCTTTTATCCACAATTGAATATTTTGCAGATGATCATTTTTAAGCTGTAGGAAAAATGTATTTTTTTAAAAAAAATTTTTACTAAAATATTTTGTTTACAGGTAACCAGATCCAGTAGTTACACCAGAAAGTCCCAGTTCCAGGTAGAAGAGGAGGACATTGAAAAGCTAGAAATCAGGTATGTGCCTTGGGGTTTTACAGAATTGCTTTTTTGTATACCAAAAGAAAATCCTAGATTCAACCAAAAAAAGTAAACCAACTTTAATAGAATTCTCTATAGCAAGTTGGTTGATGAAACTTAGAGGAATATGCAACTAATTTAAATCCAGATTATCTTTCCAAAGTCTGATTTGTTTGCAGAAATAGTCAAAGTGTATTAATTTTATAAACAAAGATGATCTAATTTTCATCTGTTTTATTGTATTGATTTTTAATTTTTCCCAAATTGTTCCTTACATTTCTGGATTATAGTGTAATGGATGGAAAGGAAGTTATATCTCAGCCAATTTAGAAATTTTTTTTTATTCTTCTTAACATATCTGCTGTCTAACAGAAATTTCAGTGAGGTAAGAAGATAATTCAACAGGTGCATGTGTTTGAAGTTTGTGCTGTTTCCTGGGTCTTAAATATCTATGCCCTTTGCGAAGGAAAAATCTTATAAATGCATGTGTAGGTGTGATGTTAACAGTGTGTTCATCTAGATGGTATATTAATCATGTGTTTGGAGTGATCAGGTAATGTATTTTTCTAATTTTTCTATATATATATTAATTGGTGGTAATCTAGAGAGAAACTGTAGTCTTATTGTAGTTTCTTTCTGTAGTCCTTATTGCTATAGGTTAAAATAAAGCCTCGACTTTCAAACTAAGACAGTTTAAGTGCCTTCTTTCAGACTATTTAAAATTACTTTCTGTGCTTTTTAAATAAAAGCTGCTGTAGTATTTTGCTTCTCTAGTCTGGATAGTGAGGTATGTATATGGTGTTGCTAACATCTTTTAAGCATGTAAAATTAATGCTGTAATACAGATCAAAGTAATTTGAAGCTGTTTTGTGGTGTGAACTCTCTTAAACATTGTTTGCAAAACATAAAGCCAGTTTTCAATTTTCAGGATCGACTTGTGGAACAATGGAAACCTAGTCCAAGATGTTTTCCTAGGTGAGATTAAGGTTCCTGTGAACGTATTAAGAACTGATTCCTCTCATCAAGCCTGGTAAGGGCCCAGCATTTTAGTGAACTCCATAGTTTAATTCTCTTTAGTACAGTATATATATGCAAATAAATGCTTACTCTGAACATATTTTAAATTTGCCATGTAATAAGCTAAACGTCATTAATATTGATATGTTCATTAATTCATTGTTGCAGAAGTAAATTGTAAGTTTTATGACTTGACCTGTGGTACTGAGATAAAAGAACTGAATCATCTAGGAATATTTTTCTGTTCAGAAGTGAAGACGACTCTTAAGGAGAAAAATGGGAAACATTTAAAACATTACATAAGAGTTGTTCATGTAAGAAAACGCTTGGTCACAAATCAGTGTCTGCATTTCAGAAGTTTTATTAGTGGTCATAGGAACTGTGGGTATTTGAAAGCAAAGGATTTTATTTAGGGGACTCAGTTGTTTATGGGAACTAACCACTGTTCTTCCTTCACCACACCCCATTGAAATGTACTGTAGATGGCCCTAATGTTACTTTTTGAATGTCTAAGGTCTTATGTTGTTGAGCTGGCACTTTTTAGGGCTCTTGGTTTTCAATAATGACTATAATATTATTTTAGTTTTCAGTGACTCTAATAATAACATTACACTGATGTTAAATTCAAATTAATGTTCAGACATTACATTGAGCTAGTTTCCTTAGCAGAATCAATGTGAAACTATTGTTTTTTTTCTGTCTATAGCACTTAAAAGCGTGTGTATCCTTTCAGTATGTTGCCCAGCATCTCTCTTGCTAGATTTTGGTTTCAACTGGGTATAAATGAACATGCCTTTCTCATTTGCCTTTTAAGGAGCACTTTTTGGATCTCAGTTTCTGCTGCCTCAAAGAGGAGTGTTTAGGTGTTTCTTATGGATATCAGTTTCATCTGTTCCTAAAAGAGCCTGCCTCTTCTGATTGGCCATCAGACATCTTCATTTTAGAGTCTTGTCCTAGAGCAGTTATCACTTGTAGACTGATATGGAGACTCTCAAAATTTTTACTTTATTTTTGCCTCTCTATAGTCCAAGGCAGATCTAAGATTTATTGGTCTTTATGTTGGCATTTTGTGTATTATAGTTTGTAAAATGCATCCACAGAGGGGGAAAAAAATCAAATGTAGTCACTATGAAAAATTGATGAAGATTTGGGACCTGTCATCCTCCCACTACACCATGTCTTCCACCTTCCATCAAATAGCATACATTTTAAAATGAAAATTTCTGAGCTCAGTTTGTCAAGTTTTTAAAATTATGTGCCAGACCACTCAGTACAGAAGAGAAAAACACGTTGTAGTGCCTCCGGGTCCCTCAAAATGAACTTGAAATGTGCCACATAATCTGTTTTTTAAGTAAGACTGTCTCCAGAGATGCCTTCCAAATTTGGCAAAACTTTGTGCAGCTTCCTTGGCAGTATGTAAGAACATTAACAAACTAATTTTATTTTTATAGATGTTTTTGGCCCATGATATTTTAAAGTAACCTGCCAGAAATATAAGTGCTGAAATTTATATAGCATGAAATAGGAACATCTGGTAATTCATATATAATTCCACAGTTGTAAGGAAACATAAAAATGTGAATGCCATTTCTTTTAAGTTGGAAATAAAACTCTTAACCTCCTCCATCAATTGTAGAGCCATAGCATCCCCTTGTGGGGTTGTTAGTAACTGCATGAAAACTCAAGAAAAGATTTATTTACCCTCAGGATTTCAGGCAAATTCTTTCTAATGTTGATGTTAAGAGAGTAATCATCAGTAATTTAATTCTGTTGTTTGAAAAGTCTCAAAATAGATTAATTTTTAAATTTGAAAGTAAGATTCAAATAATAGATAAAATGAATTACTGGGTTTTTCTTTTCAACAGAAGCACTTTATACATGATTTTAGACTAGATGAATATTTGATATGATTTAGCTTTCCAGTTTGTTAATTTTGACACCTTTTGTCCTCAAACTTTTTTTTGTGGGGGGGCGGTCTTACTTTTTTTGAGACAAAGCCTCACTCTGTTGTCCAAGCTGGAGTGCAGTGGCATGATCTCGGCTCACTGCAACCTCCACCTCCCGGGTTCAAGTGATTCTCCTGCCTCAGCCTCCCAAGTAGCTGGGACTTCAGGCACACACCACCATGCCGAGCTAATTTTTGTATTTTTAGTAGAGACGGGGTTTTAACTATGTTGGCCAGGCTGGTCTTGAACTCCTGACCTCGTGATCCGCCCACTTCGGCCTCCCAAAGTGCTGGGATTGTGAGCCATTGCGCCCAGCCTTTGGTCTCACATTTTTAACGTATCTGTTTAATATTTGAATTTAGAAAATATAACAAGTCTCCTGTCTTCAGTTAAAAAAAAAAAAAAAAGAAATAGGCCTGGCACGGTGGCTCAAGCCTGTAATCCCAGCACTTTGGGAGCGCAAGGCAGGCGGATCATGAGGTCAGGAGATCGAGACATCCTGGCTAACAATGGTGAAACCCCATCTCTACTAAAAATACAAAAAATTAGCTGGGCTTGGTAGTGGGCAACTGTAGTGCCAGCTACTCAGGAGCTGGCGCAGGAGAAATTGCGTGCACCTGGGAGCGGGAGCTTACAGTAAGCTGAGATCCACCACTGCACTCCAGCCTGGGAGACAGAGCGAGACTCCGTCTCAAAAAAAGAAAACAAAAAACAACAACAACACACAAAAAAAAACCAGAAATAACGTTAAACTTTTTTTTTTTATACGGAGTCTCGCTCTGTCTCCAGGCTGGAGTGCAGTAGCGCCATCTTGGCCCACTGCAATCTCCACCTCCCGAGTTTAAGCCATTCTCCTGCCTCAGCCTCCTGAGTAGCTGGGATGACAGGCATCCGCCACCACACCCAGCTAATTTTTGTATTTTTAGTAGAGATGGGGTTTCACCATGTTCACCAGGCTGGTCTTGATCTCCTGACCTCTTGATCCCCCCGCCTCGGCCTCCCAAAGTGCTGGGATTACAGGCGTGAGCCACCGCACCTGGCCCACGTTCAGTTATTAATAGAACTGCTTCTTTATTCTCTCATTTACATAGCATTATGTACAAATAATTGCACTTTGGGTTTGTCTACCTCAATTTTAATTACACAGACCCTATGGTTAGAATTGTTTAAATGCTGATTTTTTTCTGTTAAGGGACTGTCAAAACTGCTTACTCTTGAGAGCATAAGGATTGCTTTTATGCCTGTGAATGAAAAGTACATGTTTAGAGCAACTGAATGCTACTTTCAGTTAAAAATTTCTCTTTATTCCCTGTTTCTTTTTCTTTCAAACGGAAATATTTCATTCAAAAACTGACATATATATATATGAGTTTTTTGTTTTGTTTTCACTTAGAAATGCCAGATAGTCCTGAACTATTTAACAAATCTTGAGCCTTTTCTCTTTAGCTCTAATTCATACAGAATTATTTAATTCACAAGGATCCTTCAGGCAGTTTATTAAATTGAGCTTTTGTAATAATATTTTAAAATAATCACATTTATATAGTTATACAAATGACTATTGATAGTTATTCATATATTTAAGTGGTAATAGTTATACATCACATATATAAATGTTATATGTGTAACATTTACATAGTGATTACTGTGTGCCAGGAACTATTCTAAGTACTTTACTTATAATAACTTTTTTAGGGCTGTTGTAGGGTTTTAATGTGTTAAGACACTATTAATACTCCTTATTTGACAAATGAGGAAAAAGCACAGAGAAATTTAGCAACTTGTCTAAGGTCACACAGCTGGGATTTGAACCAAACTGTTTGACCCCAAAGTTTGTGCTTTTAACCAGTGTACTGTAAGTTTGAACTCTGGCATATTTCTGAATATATTTAAAACTCAAAAACATTCTTTTAAGCCATTAGCAAAGATTTGAGTGTCCCTTGCTTATAAAATATTATATAAAAGAGAATCAGAGAGTTCCCTACTCATTTAAAAAATGATCTTTTCAAGGGATGGGTAAAACAACAACATGTTGTGAAGTCTTTTTTTTTTTTTTTCAAGTAGACATAGATGAGATATTTTGTCTATGGGGATTTCTTATCCTGCAAAGAAAATCCAAGGAAACAAGTTTAGAAAGTATGGCAGGAGTGAACCCTTCTGGAGTTCTTAAGCATCCAAAAACAATGTATGCATAAAAATGAGTAATTGGTATAGCACTACCCTAATTCCTCTACATAGAACAATGCTATGTTAAGACTGTAGGCCTGGTAATTTTCAGTTATATGAGAGTAAAGAGGGATGTCATACCCCTCCCTCAGTTATTTGGAGCTAAAGGAAATAAAGTTGCGCTCTGAGCAAAATTTCTGTAGTAAAAACCAAAACAGAGTTTGTTTTGACTGTAGAGTTCAGAGACACTGTTTAAGATGGATAGGGATGGTCCCAGAGAGGCAGAACCAGTTGTAACTGAGTAAGCAGTAATACAAGTAATGTTAATCTACTGTGCATGGAAAACATTAGTTCAATAGGAGGAAAAGATTCATCTAGAGTAATAAAAAAGGATTCCAAAGAGGTAGGCATGGTACTGCCTATTCAAGCACAATTGAGGGGGTAGGGGATTCTGGTCCAGAAGAATTACTGTTTCCTTGGCAAGACTGTTGTCTTAGCTGAGAGATTCTTAAGGCTGCATAAAACTCCTTGTCATGCCTCTGTACTCACCACAACGCCTTTTGATAATTTGCCTTTCCAAATAGCCTACCAACAGGTAAAAAAATACAGTGAAAGATATAGATGAAAACCCTATGGTAAATGGTGATAATTGTTGTAACCAAGTGACAAGCACATGGGGGTGGTGGTAAGAAAGGGTGTTCATTATTACTATTATCACTCTTCTCCCTACTTTTGTAAGTGAGCATTTCTATAATAAAATGCATTGGTCACTTAACAATCCAGGTACTTATGCCACTTGACTATATTTCTTTTTCATAAATTTAATAATTGACCTGCTTTTAAGTATATCAGGCTCTGCACTCAGTCATTGCAATTCAGGTGCACCTTATTCTTTTTTTTTATTTTTTTGAGATGCAGTCTCTCTCTGTCGCCCAGGCTGGAGTGCAGTGGTGCAATCTTGGCTCAGTGCAACCTCCACCTCCTGGGTTCAAGCGATTCTCCTGCCTCAGCCTCCCAAGTAGCTGGGACTACAGGCCTGTGCCACCATGCCTGGCTAATTTTTGTATTTTGGTAGAGATGGGGTTTCACCATGTTGGCCAGCCTGGTCTCGAACTCCTGACCTCAGGTGATCCACCCGCCTTGGCCTCCCAAAGTGCTGGGATTACAGGCGGGAGCCACCACACTTGACCTTCAGGTTCACTTTAGATGTGCTGATAAAACGAGATGTCTGAATTTGCAAGGTTGCCGAACATGCCCTGGATTGTGAAAAATTGACCAAAGTATCAATTGTCAGGATGCTTGGTCATCAACCAGCTAAACTTCCTGATGTGGTTTGGCTGTGTCCCTACCCAAATCTCACCTTGAATTGTAATCATCCCCACATGTCAAGGGCAGGGCCAGGTGAAGATAATTGAATCATCGGGTGGTTTCAAATCCCCATACTGTTCTTGTGGTAGTGAATAAGTCTCATGAGATCTGATGGTTTTATAAATGGGAGTTCTCCTGCACAAGCTCTCTTGCCTGCCGCATGTAAGACGTCCCTTTACTCTTCTTTGTCTTCTGCCATGATTGCGAGGTCTCCCCAGCCGTGTGGAACTATGAGTCAATTAAACCTCTTTCCTTTATAAATTACCCAGCTTTGGGTATGTCTGTATTAGCAGCATAAGGACAGACTAAATACACTTCCCTTAGAGGTACTTCTGAGTCACCTTTGCTAACAGGCTTGTTTCTAATTATTTCATTGACCATATCTTTACATCACTATTTCTTAAATCAGACAGTAGATGTTCTGAAGGTTGATCTTCCTCTTTTGTGGGATAGTGATGTAATTTCTTCTTGTATTAACCATCCCTTCATCCTTTAAATTTGCCTTGGTTAATTCGCTAGTTGTCTTTTCTGTCTTTATCTTATCTTTCTCAAAGCTAATAAATGTTCTATTAAAGCCTTCCTCCTTCTATTTTTAAATGAATTAATATATTAGAGGAGGTCATAGCTGATAAATATATAAATTAAGTATTAAAACTACTATTTCTTTTATAAAAAGCATCTCAGCATTCCAGCTAAGTGAAGGAGGAGTGATAGAGTTATAAAATTATCATTTTGATGATTAATGGCTCTAAGCCGTGATCATCAGTGGCTGCTGATATTGCAAAAGGAGAAACAACCAGACATTTATGCCTCTTGGTAGAACTACACAGCATTATCAATGAAGCATTCTTGCCAGAACATCAAATCTGAATCTAACCAAGCCTCTAGATCTAACTACCAATATAGAGGAAATACAGAGAGGATGAAGGAATATGGTAAATGACATTGTGGAGGTAGAGATAAGAGTTAACACAATTCCAAAGGTGGAAAACTCTATAGGACCAACAGTGAGGAATCTATAAAAGAGACTTAAGAATGCTATTACCAATTCTAATCTATGGACCTTATTTGGATTCGAACAAACTGTAGAAAAACATTTATGATAAGTTTGGGGAAATTTGAATACTAAGTGAATAGTGATGACTTTTTAAAATTATATATGAAATTATACCTGGAAATTGCTTTAAAATAATAATGCAGGAACAGGATGGGAGAGTGAGTGAAGGTATGGCTGAAACAAGATCAGTCTTTTATTAAAAAAAAATCAGTGTATGTATTTTTAAATTTTGTTTGGCATTGCCTTTAGATAGAGAATAGAGAAGATGGCAGCTTTTTTCTCATGTTAGTTAGAAACTTCTAATTGCTTTCAAAAAGTGACCCAAGGCTTCAAAACCAAAGCATTCATTCACTCACTCTCTAGTCAATATCCATGGAATGTCTACTACTAAGCCCATGTGCCCTATTCTGACCTATCTACTGAAAATAAAATCGTGGGTTCAAACAGCAATGCTTAAAAAAACTCAAACTGCTTAAAAATATTGCACCTGTGAATCTGTTTTAGTATTTTTAGGGAATTACTTTACTACTGGGCTTTGTAATTTTAAACTTTAGAAAGGCCTTAGCACAGGATTTATAAAACTTGAAAACTATGAGTATAAATAAATAATTCCAGGCCAGGCATGGTGGCTTACACCTGTAATCCCAGCACTTTGGGAGGCTGAGGCGGGTAGATCACCTGAGGTCAGGAGTTCAAGACCAGCCTGGCCAACATAGTGAAACCCTGTCTCTACTAAAAATACAAAAATTAGCCCGGTGTGGTGGCCCGCGCCTGTAGTCCCAGCTACTCGGGAGGCTGAGGCGGGAGAATCGCTTGAACCCGGGAGGCAGAGGTTCAGTGAGCCGAGAGCATGCCATTGCACTCCAGCCTGGGTGACAGAGTGAGACTCTGTCTCAAATAATAATAATAATAATAATTCCAAACATTCTACATTCTTAGATAAAATATGTAATTTATTTCTCAAACAGTATAGGGGAAATATTGACAACATTTAAAATGCATTTTAATGTATTTTAAAACTTTTTAAATGTATTTTTAAAACATTAAAATGCATTCTTAATGTATTTTACATGTATTCACAAAATATAAGAAAATGCAATTCGTGTCATAATTGTGACATGATACCAAAGGAGAAAATCCCTCCCTTTACTGTAGCAAGTGTATACCATAGAGGCAGTGAGTAAGAGAGGAACAGAATAGAGCAGTAACAAGATGAAAATGGAAAGACAAACTCTTCCTCAGTATAAGTAACCAGTGCTATAAATTTGCCGTGCCTAGTACAAATGTTGAACAATTGTATAAACAGAGGTTGAGGATTTTCTGCAAATAATAAAAGAAATATCAGTGCAGATTATTCTGGGAGAAGAATGGCAAAGAAAATCCACAAAAGCATTTTAGCAGGACTTGGGTAACAGAGGACTGAGAGAGAGAATTTCCCAGACCCAAAAAGCAAATAAATAATTTTCCCCAGTCTCTTAGTAAGGAGGGTTGAAATTAAATTCAAAATTTTAATGTTTGCTGTTTATTGCTTTCTGAACACAATTATTTTTAAGTTACTTATGGCCTATTAAGCTGTATAGCATTTTCACTTCACAAGACAGTACAATTATTTTTCATTATATTCATAAATACCTCTCTTAAAGAACTCGAGTCCATTCATTGCATGAATATTATGTACCCGTTAAAAAGAACAAACTGGATCTATGAAAAGTAGTTTCAAAGAGTTAACTAGGAAGTGCTTTCAGGTAAAAAAAACAAGATACAGGAGAGTAGAATATGATAACATTTTTGTAAACTGACTAATAGGCTCAGAACTCATTTATAAATGTGTATATATGCACACATTTTTAAAAATCTATATAAAATTATATAAGCATGAAGAAAATAGAGAAGGGTCCATAGTAGGTAGTTAACAGGTTCCTAAGAGAAGCGGAGGTGCAGAATGGTAGTGTTTTGAAGATAGGAAAAAAGATAAGAGAAAAACAAAGTTAAAAGAGAAAATAAAGAAAACGTTCCTTAAAAAAACAAAAGCATTGATTTGATGACATTGTTTATATATGTATGCATCGTTATCTATTTGTCTATGTGTAGTAAGGATTTTTTAATATTAAATAAAGAAGATTCTGGTTCAAAGAGTGATGAAAATAGTAAGTGGCACTCCACACAGATTCTTTCTTAGTTCTTGAAGTTTGAGCTTCACTACAAAAAGAATCTCCATTCAGTTGCTTTTATCTACCCTACAGCGTTTGTTAATAGCAAATCCAAATTTGTAAATTTAATTTGGAGTTATTTCTGAAAATAAATTTTGTGGGCAATATGATGATAAGCCACAGGAAAAAAAATATGCAGATAAATATTTATAAATAAATTCCTTTAATATATTCTAATTGTGATAGTTTCTGCAGCATAATTTAAAATTATGCTATTTTCAGTGTCCAAATAAGGATGTTATCAGTGTTAGTATTGATCATCTGGCTGCACATAGTAACTTAAAATAATTTTGTTTTAGAATATACTAATAAAAGACATATATAATACAGTTTTTCTGCAGTTTGGTTTCTGGTTATAGTTAAGTAAAGCAAAGATTCACTATTTTATATACAGCACAAGAAAACGCCTTTTTAAAATAATGAATTATTGAAGAATAAGAATACAGTTAAGTTTTTTTCCTGGATGTTTTTAGATATTTTGCTCTAATGGAATAAAGGGGATGAAGTATTTGTAATGGGCATATTATTTTAGATAAATAAATTTTTAAGAGTTTGAACAATTTTTTAACTCCTGGAACTCTTGTGATATCTTGAATGAGTAGCAAACTTTTTTTTTTCCAGTCCTAGAAAGATATATTTTGGCTAAAGCCCAGCAATTCTGAAGTTTTAATGACCAAATTAGTTGAGTTCAATTGTTTTTGCCAACTTAGGCTACTTTAAGAGTAAAAATTGCCTTTCTCTAATCCTGATATAGTCTAGAAAAAAATAGGTATTTACACTAACAACAAATCATAAATTTCAAATTTAGGCAAGCATATTGCTGAGTATCCCCCCAAAAAGGAAATATGAATACTTGATTGTCAATGGTACTTTACAATTTTTATCAGCCTTCATCCAATTTTGTTTTGTTTTGTTTTTTAATTTTAGATTCAGGGGTATAGGTACAGGTTTGTTACATGGGTATATTGTGTAATGCTGAGGTTTAGGCTTATTATCCCTTCACCCAAGTAGCGAACAAAGTACCGGATGGTTTTTTCAATCCCTACCCCCCTATCTCCCTCCCCACTTTTGGAACCCCCAGTGTCTATTGTTACCATCTTTGTGTTTGTGCATACCCAGTGTTCAGCTCCCACTTACAAGTGAGAACATAGGGTATTTGGTTTTCTGTTTCTGCATTAATTCGCATAGGGTAGTGGCCTCCAGCAGCATCCATGTTAGTGCAAAGGACATAATTTTTTTCTTTCTGTGACTGCGAACAAGATTAGTCTTCAGTTGATAATTGTTTAAGCTAGATAATGGGTACATGAGCGTTCAATATTCTCTTTTGTTTGTGTTTTTAAATTCCCATGATAAAAAGCTTTTTTTTTTTTTTTTTAAACTCTTAGATTTCTGGTTTTGGTCCTGCAAATTTCTCTTAAGTTCAAATTTTTGGAAAAAGAATTTACTTTAAAACAAGGTTACTTACGCATTCTGATATGTCTTATCTACTTTTTTTTTTTTGAGACGAAGTCTTGCTCTGTCATCCAGGCAAGCCCAGACTGGAGTACAGTGGCGGGATCTCAGCTCACTGCAACTCCGCCTCCTGAGTTCAAGTGATTCTCCTGCCTCAGCCTCCCAAGCAGCTGGATTACAGGCACCTGCCACCATGCCGGACTGATTTTTGTATTTTTAGTAAAGACAGGGTTTCACCATGGTGGCCAGGCTGGTCTCGAACTCCTGACCTCAAGTGATCTGCCTGCGTCAGCCTCCCAAAGTGCTGAGATTACAGTCATGAGCCACTGCACCCGGACTGTCTTAATTTTCAGCTAAATGCCTCTTTCTTAAATTTAGTTGGTAAAAATTTATTTTTGATAATACATTGGATTTTAAATGTTTACCTTTTATTATCATTTTTTCTAAACCTGCAAGCTAATCAAACTCTTGTTCAACTCCTTTGAGATCTTAATTTCTGTAATATCTATGCTTTTTGTTTCCTGGATAAAAATGTGTTTATAGCTTTGTAATCCAATGTATAACCAATATTAGTTTTCTGAAGATGAGTATCCTGCTACTTATGAAGCTTCCTAACTGTAAATACTAAGTTGACTTTTTTGGTTTAGTTTTTTTATAACTTAACTCTTAACTTGCCTCATTGGCTTGAATGCATTTCCATCACATGGAATCACTTATATTTTTACTTTAGGTACTTGCTACAGCCAAGAGACAATGGAAACAAGTCATCCAAAACTGATGACCTGGGGTCTCTTCGATTAAATATATGTTATACAGAAGACTACGTGCTTCCTTCAGAGTACTATGGTCCTTTGAAAACTTTGCTGCTAAAATCACCAGATGTTCAAGTATGTTAAGAATCTTAAGGATATGATTTAACACGAAACGGCTAAAATAATTCTATAAATGATAAGGAAAAGATTTCAAGAGTATCAAGTCTTATTAAAACAGTAAAAATTATATACATACATATATATACACACACACATTTCTATTTATCTGAACCAGAGTACTATGATTCCTACATGTGCTCCCACAATCATCTCTGATAAAAAATTTCGAAAATTAAATGTCCTGTATAACAGCTTTAGTGACATTATTTCAGTTACTTTTACAGGCTAGTGATTGAACAGTTAATCATGTTTCCTTGATGTTTGTGCTTGTTTTCTACCTTTCTGTATTTAGCCAATATCTGCCTCAGCTGCTTACATTTTGAGTGAAATATGTCGAGATAAAAATGATGCTGTTTTGCCCCTTGTACGACTGCTGCTGCACCATGATAAACTTGTTCCTTTTGCCACTGCTGTGGCTGAATTAGACTTGAAGGATACACAGTAAGAGTTATATTTTATTAAATGTTAATTACATGTTGTTGAAATTGGACCTTAGTTTGACAGATTGATTTTGTAGTCTGAATTTTTTTGTATTGATCAGCCTTACTGTATAGTAGGCTGAAAAGAAGTACTTAACAAATAACAAAAGGCAGTTAAGCTATCAAACAGTATTCACCTACCTTAAGGACAACAATTAATGAAGGATGTTTTTCTTTAACTCAGGAAATTTCATTTGTTACTAATCTGCTTCTTAGTGTAATGGTTCACGTGTCACAAGTTAAAACACCAGAGCAGAAGTGTTTTTTTCTTTATTCATTATGTATCACCCTTATATGCATATGTATGACATTCTAAAAAGCAGTCAAGTGACTTCTCATTCACGTCATAGTCTAACACTGTTGTTTTTTTACACACAGAGACATACATATACTCCACATTTTTGGTTCATAAACATGATTTGCCTTTTTAAAAAAACATATATATATATATATATATATATATATATATACACACACACACACACATATGTATTGAGTTTTTTGTTTGTTTGTTTTTAAGACAGAGTCTCGCTTTTTCACCCAGGTTGGAGTGCAGTGGCATGATCTTGGCTCACTGCAGCTTCTGCCTCCTAGGTTCAAGCGATTCTCATGCCTCAGCCTCCTGAGTAGCTGGGATTACAGGCACTCGCCACCACGCCCAGCTAATTTTTGTATTTTTGGTAGAGATGGGGTTTCACCATGTTGGCCAGGCTAGTCTCACACTCCTGACTTCAAGCGATCCACCTGCTTCGGACCCCCAAAGTGATGGGATAACAGGCATGAGCCATCACACCTGGCCATTATTTTAATATATTTTTGGTAAGTTTGAAAAACCTAATGGCAGCAAGCTTTTAAATAAATGGTAAAAATTACTAAAATTGTAGGTCACTTATGCCTTCTAGTATGTCTTAATCTATTTCAGCTAAATGCTTCTTTCTTAAATTGGTCAAGTATGTTATATTATTGGTTTCAAAACCTTTGTTTACTACATTTGGTTTCATCTATTTCTATTTCAGAGATGCAAACACAATTTTTAGAGGAAATTCCCTGGCTACCCGATGTCTGGATGAGATGATGAAAATAGTGGGAGGGCACTACCTGAAAGTAACATTAAAACCTATTCTTGATGAGGTACAGAATATATCTCCAACAATGATAGTTTGTGGCCTTATGATAGTTGTTCTTTTATCAAGTGATCTATTGATGGGAAGGATTTATTCATTCATGTGTTACTGAAAAAATAGACTGAACACTTTAGAAGCAAATTATTTACTTCTCTGTCAATGGATTTTTACTCAAAAGGTACAGTATAGTATAATCTACATTATTTCTTTGTTATGGGATTTCTATTTTAGCTAGAGTTTCAAATATATGACAAATACTTTTTGATATCATGTTTTAAGAAAATTGTATATGTTATCCCTGCATAGGACATTTTACGCTTTGCTACAGTTTAAATTTCTATAATTAACTTTTATTATCAGAAAAATAAGTTATTTTCATTTTGTCAGACTACTTAGAAAAAAATCATTAACTGAAAAATTTATTTTTCAGATATGTGACTCCTCAAAATCCTGTGAAATCGATCCTATTAAATTGAAAGAGGGAGATAATGTAGAAAATAATAAGGTAAGTCCTTGTTATATTATTTATAATTGCATTAAAATTGGTCTTAATGGTGTACCTTTCTCCCACTTACATTATGATAAAGCCATATAGAGGGAAGCAGTGCTGTTTATTCTTCACATAAGCCTTTATTATTAGCAGCACTTCCAGCTCCTAGGATTAGTTTTTAGAATGTTATTTCCTCAGTGGTTTCACTTTATTTTTGTTCTTGATTGTCTCTTTTTGGCTCTAGTAACAATAGTGAACTTAAGCTATAGCTAGTTGCAGCCCCCGTTCTAGCCATTCCTTTGGGCTCAAACTGATCAGGCTAAGTGACACAGTGACTTTATCAGTCAGTAGTTTCAGTGGCCTCTGAAAAAACAATGATTGTGTTAGGGTCACAAATTTTTATTGCAGTGGATAATAGTGTCACAATGTCCTTGTGCTTGTGTATCCGAGTTATTTTGTGATTTCCTTTTGGATCATTTTATTCCCTCTTGCTTCTTGTGAGGTTTATTCATAGATTCACCTCTTACGCCTAGCAAATCTAAATTTAATTTATTAAATTAAGTCAGTATGTAAATTGTCCTTAAACTGAATGAGTTTGGAAAAGGGTAACAGTACTTTAAAAAATGTTAGATAGTGACTGTCTAATAAACCTCATTTTCTTACATTTTTCTTTCATGAAGGCTATTGAAGATGTGTGAACATCAAAATCTTAATGTTTACCTTTTTAAATCCTGCAGGAGAATCTGCGCTACTATGTAGACAAGTTATTCAATACAATTGTAAAATCAAGTATGAGCTGCCCCACTGTAATGTGTGATATCTTTTATTCTCTAAGGCAGATGGCTACTCAGAGATTTCCTAGTAAGTGCCTTGTTTTACTAAAACATGCCATTTATTTTTCTTTGACTTTTTTATAGATATTAATTACATGTTTGGTTTGTGAGATATTTAAGGTTTTTATTTATTTATTTATTTTTATTTTATTTTATTTTATTTTTTTTGAGACGGAGTCTTGCTCTGTCACCCTGGCTGGAGTGCAGTGGCGCTATCTTGGCTCACTGCAACCTCCATCTCCCGGGTTCATGCCATTCTCCTGCCTCAGCCTCCCGAGTAGCTGGGACTACAGGCGCCCGCCACCATGCCCAGCTAATTTTTTATATTTTTAGTAGAGACGGGGTTTCACCATGTTAGCCAGGATAGTCTCGATCTCCTGAACTCGTGATCCGCCCGCCTCGGCCTCCCAAAGTTTCTGGGATTACAGGCGTGAGCCACCACGCCCAGCCTAAGGTTTTTAAGTACAACCTTCTTTAGTTTTTCAAAATGATTCTATCTTTCTCATAAGAAATCTGATTTTTCTTGAAATCTCAAAATACATATTCCATTTTATTTCAGTATAATGCAACTTTATACAAAGAGCAAATCAAAATCACCATTAAAGAAAGGCAAAAATTCAGAACTGTAACATTATATAAGTAAGCACTTATACCAGATGCTTATGAGAGTTAAAAATACCTTTGTTATTTATACCAACTATCTTTTCCAGCTGCATGCATTCAG
Source organism: Homo sapiens (assembly GCF_000001405.40). Classification (NCBI taxonomy): domain Eukaryota; kingdom Metazoa; phylum Chordata; class Mammalia; order Primates; family Hominidae; genus Homo; species Homo sapiens. The sequence continues at coordinate 141,574,764 of NC_000003.12, forward strand.
ATAGTGAGAATCTTTAGTTCCATAAAATTGACTAGATTTGACAGTTTGAGAATGCTAATAAGGTTTTGGTGGTGAGAGGTTTTTACAGAAATGGTCTTAGACATTAGAAACCTTTCTGTTGTAACATACATAGAGTTTTAAGGTACATATATCAGTAACTGGCATGTTTTAATTTTGAAAAAGTAGCTATGTCAAGGTTTTGCTTAGAAACTTTTCATAAAATTAAGTGTTACTGTCGCTGCTAATACTTAGAATTATTCACATTTTAATATATTTCTGATAAGTAAATAAACTTGCTATAGGTAGCTTTCCAGATCTGTCTATAATGGGAGGTGGTGGGTAGGAGGGTAAAATTAGGCAGGTACTTAAATTACCAGTCTTAACCAGCTGTGCAAAACTGTAAGTTTATTTCTGTAACCATCTGAAGAGATTTTGCAGTTTTATGTTCTTTTAAGCATGTGCTCACCCTGTACACACATGTGTGCAGTTAACTGCACTTCTACTAAATTGACCCATTACTAAATTAGTGGGGCTGAGTTGTCTAACATGTAGATAAATTTAGATCTAAATGTCTTTGCTAATTATAGTTGCAAATAAGTAACTAAATCTAATCTTCATAACAAAAATAAGGGGAGCCAGAGGCACACGGAAAGGTGAAATGCTCATTGAAATTATATTTTTAAATAGTTAAATCATGATAACCACATTGACTACTTAGTAACACACACAGTGTTAGTGTGTTAGCCTCCATTGTCTCCTGTTCTCATCTTCACAAAACCACATGAGGTAGGTACTACTCCCATTAGGTGAGAAACTAAGGTTTAGAGAAGCTGAGTAACTTTACCAAGGTCTGTGGCGTGGCCAACAGGCAAGCAGGGCCTCAAACCTGGGCCTAGTCTACTCCAAACTACATGCTGCCATTCACTATACTCTATACTAACTGGTGATCTTGGCCTTAAATCTGTTTTAGCAGTTTAATTCTTGTTTATATAAATGATCTTAAACACTTTATGGGGTTTTTTTGGGTTTTGTTTTTGTTTTTGTTTTTGAGACTGAGTTTCACTCTTGTTGCCCAGACTGGAGTGCAATGGCACAATCTCGGCTCACTGCAACTCCGCCTCCCAGGTTTCCAGCCTCCCGAGTTGCTGGGATTACAGACATGTGCCTCCACGCCTGGCTAATTTTGTATTTTTAGTATAGATGGGGTTTCTCCATGTTGGTCAGGCTGGTCTCAAACTCCTGACCTCAGATGATCCACCTGCCTCGGCCTCCCAAAGTGCTGGAATTACGGGCGTGGGCCACCGCGCCCGGCCAACACTTTATGTTTTTATATACATGCAGATGTATCTCTTTAGTTATGTTTTTGTTGACTTAACTATTAATATGGTTATCATATCCTCAGTAGACTATAGTAGTGACAGTTTTGTTGCCATAAGTGTTTCATATTCTCTCGTTTTTGTTGTTCTTACTACCCTAGAAGAATGGGGGAAGGAGGGCAGAGCAGACAGCAGGTAGAAAGCAGATATTACTAAAGAATGACAAATTAAACGACTTGTTAATGGTTACCTACTGAATGACTTAGAAGAGTTAAAACTCGAACCAAACCTAAAGATTCTTTCCCTCACCATCTGCTTCACCACCATCTGTCTGATTGTTGGGTAAATTGTTGACTCCAGTCTGAAACGAAAGTTGTAGGTGAATGATCAAAGCCACCAGTAGTCTTCAGTTCATCTGCATTTTTATTTATGGACTGTTGATAGCTTTTTAAAGTAAACATTTCTGCCTAATTGTTTTTGTTGCATAACTTTTGATATTATCAAGATTTTTGGGGGGGATATTGAAACAAGAACCTAAAACTGAAAGTAGCCTTGTATCATACTCTTAAGGGATTCAGTGTTACCACTAGGTAGTGCTAGATACTACTTTTATTTCTGTTGTAATTTTAGCAGTCTCTTCTTGCAGGTGAGGAAAGAGGTATTTTTCAAATTAAAATATTTCTGAAAACCTAGCAGCTTTGTCTTTTTTCATATTATTTCTTATTTCTTTTGGATTTTTTTAATCATAGGGGTTTTCTTTTAATTGAGTCATAAATATCACTATCATTTCATCAACTCAGTTCTTACTAGACAAATTATGTTGCTCTCCTAGTTTACATGTCTTTTCTATATTTTTTAATTTATCATCTTTGTTTTTTAATTGTTTTTGTGCATGACATTTCACCATTTTTTTCCTGCAGATGACCCTCATGTTCAGTATTCTGCAGTGAGCAGCTTTGTATTTCTTCGTTTCTTTGCTGTAGCCGTAGTATCACCTCATACTTTTCATTTGCGACCTCATCATCCAGTAAGTGTTCATTCTTCTGAAAGCTTTATTCCATTTTTTTAATTTTTATTAAAATGAAGAAAAGATAAAATAAACCAATTTCACTAGGCTGTATTTTCTTATAACTGATACTTAAATTTACTCAGCATTTTTCTTGGCCATTTCAGTCTTTCAAGTGAGGCTAATAATCCTATTTTTTGTTGTTGTTAAAAGATGTTCTACAAGAGTAATAAAATGTTGTTAATTATTGAAGCTTGGTGATGAGTACAAAGGGGATTTATTATATTTTTTCATCTGCTACTGTGTGTGTTTGTAAATTTCCATAAGTTTTTTTTCATTAGTTACAGGTTTCATTTTGATAGGTTTTTTATTTAAACAAAATCTACTTTCCTGATTTATTAAAATAGGTTAATTTTGCAGATATTTTTAAATTGCACAGAAATTTGAAGAGGCTCTTCTCTAAGAAAGAAGGCTACAAGAGAAATTCCATTTAATTTAGAAACAGCATCTAAGATAGATTTCAGTAGCAATGAAACTGAAAGCATATAATTAGAAAATATTAAATGGCAGGTGAACTGGATAAGCATTAACAGTAAAAACAGAAAAAGAAACCAAGAATGCAGTATAGTGAAAGGCGTAGGAACTTTTATTGGAATATAACTTGTTAAATATATCAGTATTTTCACTTTTTATTTACCTGAGGTAATACTGTAAACATGAGATTTAAAAATTTCTTAAGCATATAAACTTTGTTCTGGAGTCCTGTTTAATTACCAAAAATCTAAATCTCCACTGCATAGATTTACATGTTTATTTCTTAATTTTTAAAATTCTTTATTTTTGCTATACTTCTGATTCCTTCTTATATGGTGTAATTTGGTTGATTCTTTAAGCTTTTATGTTCCAAATACTTTATAATCTTACCTAATTGCTCCTAGTTGCTGATTTGTATAACAAATAATAACAATAGTCCACATTTATTTAGTGCTTTGTACTAGGCCTTGTTCTAACTACTTTATGTGTTAACTTATTTGGTCCTCCTAGCAACCTGGTAAGGTAAATTCTGTTATCATCCACATGTGCAGATAAGGAAATCACAATACAGTAACTTTTCCAAGCTCACACAACTGACAAATTATGATTTGATCATACTCGATTTGAATTGGATTTAACTGGGATTCAAATTCAGTCAGTCTTTATCATCTGTGAGCTTAATCCTATCCCTTCCAACCTCTTAGACAGATGTTCAAGTACCTATAATGTATCATTCCATGCTCAGTACTGGAGATGCAGTGATGAGTAAGATACTCTTTGCCCTTAGGAAACTCACAGCCAAGAGGAGTTGCTCAATAGTGTAGGGAAAACAGATGAGTTTTAGAGTTAAACCAGGTTCTGAATACCCATTTCTTCTCTCAACGGCTACATGACATTGACACTCACTTAACTTTGTGAGAACTGAATAGAACCATGTTGCAGTGGCAGCACCACGCCCTTTCTTGCCAAAGGATAAATGGTCTGTGAGTAGCCCCAGCAGAGAGTGGGCCAGTGTCCTTTTGTTCACAGGGCTGTCCATTCTGTGGCTTTGTTACTAAAGCTGCACAGAACTCTGAGGCAGTGAAAGCGTGGTAGCAACATTCTGGACATAAACAGAACACCTACTTCTGAACTTGTGAGTCTGCCTTGTATTCATACTTGAATTTGCATATTCCTGTAACAGATGTTGGTGGATACTTAGGTTGGTTCTATGACTTTGCTATTGTAAATAGTGCTGCAGGAAACATGAGTGCAGGTGCCAGGACATCTTTAAGAATATTATTTTCTTCAAAGACAGAGAATTGTAGGGACCTTTTATAGATGTAATGAAATCCCAGATGTTACAGCTAAAATGTTTTCTGAATAGACTTAATTTAGGTGTGTATCTACTTTATAAGTATATTATAAGGATCATATTTCGGATATTCCTTCCTTTCCAGATTACCTTATATTCTGGTCATCTCTTCCCCTTCACATTCATTGCCTGTTTTCAATGTGGGGGTTGGGGGGATACTAAAATATCAAGGAATGGGAGCCAAAAATCAAACTAAAGCTTTTCTGTATCTAAATTTTTCTGGATATGTTTTTAGATGCAAGATACTGTTTACTTGAATCCGTAAATAAAAATGGTCTGTGTTTTGATAGAAACTTACACAAATGTATGGATTGGTGAAAATTCAGCAGGGTATTCATTTAATACCTATTCATTTTGTCATATGTAAATTATATCTCAATTTTTAAAAAAATGAAGGAGCAAAGATTCCTGAGGGAACACCGTTTAGTCAATTTTATATGCTACTATATATTACTTCTTTCAGATAGACAGGCCTGAAAAACCTCTTGGATAATAGACCCAAATAATCACCCTCTGGTAAGATCCAAAAATAACTAGGTGACTTCACATTTCCTAAGCTGAATTTAGGTCTTTGCTTCCATGGTGAAAAGAGTTAATTGCAAAAGCCATTTAAAGTATTGAATATGTTTAGAGGTGAGCTGAGCACAGAAAATTTGGAACACCTAAAACTGCCATTTTAAGTTATAAGGTAGTAAAGTAGAAGTGACTATTCCAGAAGTGACTATAATTTGCCAGGTAATCCAAGGTGCCATACTGTACAAAACAACTTATATATAATATTGATAAAATTATGGCTTTTGGCTGGTGCCAAAAGGCTCATGCCTGTAATCCCAGCACTTCGGGAGGCCAAGGCAGGCAGATCACCTGAGGTCAAGAGTTCGAGACCAGCCTGGCCAACATGGCAAAACTCTGTTTCTACTGAAAATACAAAAATTAGCCAGGTGTGGTGTCAGGCACCTGCAATCCCAGCTACTTAGGAGACTGAGACAGGAGAATCGCTTGAACCCAGAAGGTGGAGGTTACAGTGAGCTGCGGTTATGCCACTACACTCCAGCCTGGGCAACAGAGTGAGACTCCATCTCAGGAAAAAAAAAAGAAAAAAAAAAAAAAAAATATATATATATATATATATATATATATATATGACTTTTAAAAGCACCACATCTTTAATAATTACTTTGGGAAGAATTGTTAATTATATATGGTTTCTTTAGTCTCTTAATTCCTTAGGCTGGTGAGTTGTACCCAGCCTTAGCTAGATTTTAACTGTGTGTGTTTTGAACGTTTTTGAGTCATTGTTTTACAGCAATGTAGTCCATTTACTCTATTCTACTTTTTTATACAAACTATTTTCTTGAAAACTTAGTAGTTTTGGTCTTTTTTACATTCTTTAGGATGCACAGACAATTAGAACATTAACTCTCATCTCAAAAACTATACAAACTTTGGGAAGCTGGGGGAGTCTGTCCAAAAGCAAGGTAAGTCCTTACATCTTTTATTTTGTTTTTACACTTCTAAATGTTGTTACATCCTATGATCCCTTATCCTTGACTTACCTTCTTCCAAATTAAAAACAAAACATACACACACACACACACACACACAGACACAATAGCTGTCTTTTAAGTAGATACTCTCTTAGTCACCTGTTAAAGAGGACAGTTTCAGAAGCTGGGCATAGTGACTTGTGTCTTTAATCCCAGGAAGCCGAAGCGGGAAGATGACTTGAGGCCAGGAGTTCAAGGCTGTGGTGCACAATGATGGCACCTATGAATAGCCACTGCACTCCAGTCCCAGCAACATAGCAAGACCCTGTCTCTAGAAGTTTTAAAAAGAAAAAAAGTTTAATGAGAACATTAAAAAAAAAAAAAAGCAGACAGTTTCATGAAAACTGCTAAACAAGACAAGAGAGCCTAGTAAGGAGGTGCAGGACAGTCTGTCTGTCTGCCTGCTTCGGCCATAATCACATGACAGCTTTGAAAGAAGTCTTCCACTCCAAGCCCTGAACTCTCTGAAAATATATAATTGAGTCCTTTTAGGCCTTAATCCTCAGCTTAAAAATACAGTCCATTCTATTCTTAATTCTCTATTTAACACATATAAACCCTGTGTTTGTTTTTTCTTAGTCAAGTTTCAAAGAGACATTCATGTGTGAATTTTTCAAAATGTTTCAAGAAGAAGGATATATTATAGCAGTTAAAAAGGTATGATGGTTTTATTCTGGAATTGTTAATATTTATTTCATATAACATGGGGAAATAACATTTTATATATATTATTATTATCAATCCCCAGTTTAAATAATAATGTTTAAACTGTTCATCAAAAAGGCTTCCTTTTTCTTTTTTCTTCTTCCACAAAGCTGTGCTTTTCAGCTTTGAAAATACCTAAATAAGTTTAACAACAACTACTTTTGCCAGTGCATTAGAAACACAAATTACAGATGTCTAGGGTTAGGATTTCTCAAAGTGACACTATTGGCATTTGGGGCCAGATAATTCTTGATTCTGAGGGGCTGGCTTGTGCGTTTCAGGATATTTAGCAGCATGCCTGGCCTCTACCCCTTAGACGCAAGAAGTATGCCCCTGTTTTGACAGCCAAACATGCCTCCAGGTATTGCCAAATGTTCCTTGAGGGACAGAATTGCCTCTGGTTGAGAACCTCTGGTCTCTGGGGGTAAAGGCTTTGTATGGTGCCTGATGTAGAGTGGGCACTTAATTGCCATAGTAAAAAATATATACATTATTGAACATTTAATGAACAATATAAATTTATGGTAGTAACCTGAGGAAAATTACTATAAATGTACAAAAACCTGTAGTATATAATATCCTAACACAAGGCCTGCAGCATACAAAAATCACTGTACTTAGAAGTTCAGAATGTTTTGAAAGGATCTTTAATTTCTTGAGTCTTTAGTCCTGAATCATCTAAACAAAATATAGCATTATCGTAAAATGCTGAAAATTTATAAAGAAAAGTTACCTTTGAAGTACTCTATCCCATATAGTCTAGAAGTTAAGAATTAAAAAATAAGGAAAGAAATGAATTACATCTAAACTGGGCCTGAAGAAAGTACTGTATTTTATGTATCACAGTCTTAACTTAATGAATCCAAATTAGCAAAGCCAAATGTTAAAGACTTCATTCAATTTCTGTAGCACAACTAGCAGTTGGTTGCCAGAGTATTTATTTTGTTGAGATACATGTTTGAGCCTTTTTTTATACTTAGGATTCTTACAGAGACTTAGTAAGTGAAAAATGATGATTTAAAAAATTCAAGTCCGTTGGAATATTTTTCATCTGGAATAGTGCCTGTTTAACCAAAATTTTTTTAGGCAACCATTGAAGGCTTTTGAGGAGAAAGTCTTTCAAAAGAATAGGCAAAGAAAAAGCTGCCCTTTTATTTTTCAGACATTGTTGAAACATTTGTGACACTGTAGGCAGACTTTTATTGGCAGGATTATGATGTACTGTCTTTTGTTTGAGGGTTGTTTTTCCATGTTTTGTGACTGAGGCTACGGTAGCATCTGATCTTTTTTCCCCTGATATAATCAGAATGTTTAGAGTTGATAATGTCAGTGGAGAAAGGATTTAAGGGTTCCAGGAGTTTAGTCTGTTCCTGATCTACTCTGGGTCACCCACTCACATTCTAATGGACTATCGCCATAGTGTGCCTCTGTCTCAGATTTGGTTCTAGATCCCTAAGCTGACATAGGGTATTTTGCCCTAATATCCTAGTTTCCTTTATTATTTAGTAGTTACAACAAGATATGTGCAGTGCTATAAAGTGTAAAAGCTTGTGAAGCTCAATTTCTCATTTTATATTGGCACTCTGCCTAGTGACATTTACTATTGATGCAGAAGAAAATAAGAGTATAACTGAATCATATGCTATTCCCTGCAGAGTTTAGAAAGGATAACCTGGATAGTTCTATAAACAAGGTGACCATATAATTTGATGTCTAAACCAGAACACTTTTAAGAGTGAAAAATACTATTAGTGATTATTCTGGGATGATAGGAATGGTCCTGATAGGGATGGTCCTGAGCAAACTGGGACCTATAGTCACCCTGCCTATAGTCCATCTTAATTACTGGGTTTTCTTTCACTTATATCTCTGTATTTACCCCATAGTTCCTTAAGAATTATAATAAATAAATTATTGGCTGGGTGCAGTGGCTCATGCCTGTAATCCCAGCACTTTGGGAGGCCGAAGCGGGCAGATCACCTGAGGTCAGGAGTTGGAGACCAGCCTGGCTAACATGGTGAAACCCTGTTTCTACTAAAAATACAAAAAATTAGCCAGGCCTGGTGGCACGTGCCTGTAATCCCAGCTACTAGGGAGGCTGAGGCGAGAGAATCGCTTGAACCCAGGAGGTAGAGGTTGCAGTGAGCCGAGATCATGCCATTGCACTCCAGCTTGGGCAACAAGAGCAAAACTCTGTCTCAAAAAAATAAAATAAATTATTATAAATAATAAATATTTGCTAACAAATCAGTGACTTCAGGTATATATTAAGAAATAAAATATTCACATAACTCAGACTCCATTAGTGCATGGTCCATCTGGGAGAGTCGATGCTGTGATAGGGCGCTTCTTCAGTTCCCTTGGATACTTGTACCCACATTACCCACATATAATGCAAAAGGAACTCTGTTCTTGTTCTTTCACTTACCAATATTTTCTCCCAGCAAACAGAAGTAAACATTCCATTTCAAAACTCCTTAAGTCTGAGCTCTGGCAGGCAATTGTCAGCCAGTCTTAGGAGAAAATGGCTGTGCCTACAAATTCCACTTTAGAATAGGCACTGGAGCCTCAATACTATCCTTATTGGAATGTGGTTTGTTTTTAAGTCCTAAGCAGAATAATGTAGAGAAGTATAAAGGAAAAAGCAAAGAAATGCAGACCCTCTCTGAGTTTCTGAGTTTGTAATATCCATCTAATGAACTAAATAAATGGATAGCTCATTTAGGGGGCAAAATAGGATTCTTCTTTAAGAACAAGAATTGTTCCTCAAAATCAAAGTAATGGTAGATTAAAAAAAAAGAAGAAGAAAAGAAAAGAATTGTTCCAGCCAGGCACGGTGGCTTACGCCTGTAATCCCAGCACTTTGGGAGGCCGAGGCAGGTGGATCACAAGATCAGGAGTTCAAGACCAGCCTGGCCAATATGGTTAAACCCTGTCTCTACTAAAAATACAAAAATTAGCCGGGCATGGTGGCAGGCGCCGGTAGTCCCAGTTACTCGGGAGGCTGAGGCAGGAGAATCACTTGAACCTGAGAGGTGGAGGTTGAAGTGAGCCGAGATCGCACCATTGCGCTCCAGCCTGGGCGACAGAACAAAACTCCATCCCAAAAAAAAAAAAAAAAAAAAAAAAAGAAAGG